>NC_000024.10:2137488-2437897 GCF_000001405.40 Homo sapiens | reverse complement strand
GGACTCTGAAGGTTCTTAATTATGGTGGTTGAGTGACACGGTCTTTCTTCTATAAGAACCTAAGTTACACTGCATATCAGGAAAATGTGTTCCTGGGACCAGCTTTGTTGGGTTTTTGGCTGCTGGTCATCTTCACTTTACTCTCCCAAATTTGAGGACTGTGACACACACACACACACACACACACACACACACACACTCTCTCTCTCTCTCTCTCTCTCTCTCTGTCTCTCTTAGGAAACAATGGTATATCAACAATGAAATGATGCTTTTTTTTCTTCTTCTTTTTTTTTTGAGACAGGGTCTTGCTCTGTCACCTAGGCTGGAGTGCACTGATATGAACATGGCTCACTGCAGCCTTGCTCTCCCAGGCTCAAGCAATCCTCCCACCTCAGCCTCCTGAGTAGCTGGGACCACATGGGCACACCATCACACCTGGATAATTTTTGTATTTTTAGTAGAGACGGGGTTTCACTATGTTGGTCAGGCTGGTCTTGAACTTCTGACCTAGTGATTTTTCTACCTCGGCCTCCCAAAGTGCTGGGATTACAGACATGAGCCACCAGACTCGGCTGAGCATCTTTTCAATATGACCTTGTGTCCGGGCATGGTGGCTCACACCTGTAATCCCAGCACTTTGGGAGGCTGAGGTGGGCGGATCACGAGGTCAGGAGATCGAGACCATCCTGGCTAACACGGTGAAACTCCATCTCTACTAAAGATGCAAAAAAAATTAGTCAGGTGTGGTGGCGGGCACCTGTAATCCCAGCTACTCGGGAGGCTGAGGCAAGAGAATGGCATGAACCCAGGAGGCAGAGCTTGCAGTGAGCCGAGATTGCACCACTGCACTCCAGCCTGGGCAACAGAGCGAGACTCGGTCTCAAAAAAAGAGAAAGGATTCAAGGCAGTGTATACCAAACATGAAAGTAAAGTTCAGGAACCTCTTTGATGGAGGAGATGACGGTGGGGTCTGTAGCCTGTTCATGCCTATAATTGCAACACGTCGGGAGGCCAAGGTGGGAGGATCACTTGAGGCCAGGAGTTTGAGATCAGCTCGGCCAACATAGTGAGACCCCATCTCTACAAAAATAAAAATAAATTAGTGGGGCATGGTGGCACACACCTGTAGTTCCAGCTACTTGGGGGACTGAGGCAGGAGGATCACTTGAAAACAGGAGTTTGAGATCAGCCTGAACAATGGAGCAAGACCCTGTCTCTACAAAAGATTAAAAAAAAAACTGGCAGATGTGCTGGCACGTGCCTGTAGTCCCAGCTGCCTAGGAGGCTGAGGCAGGAGGATTGCTTAAGTCTGGGAGTTTGAGGCTGCAGTGAGCTGTGTTTTCACCACTGCACTCCAGCCGGGGTGACAGAGCAAGACCCTATCAGTAGTAGTAGTAGTAATAATAATAATAATAATAATAATAATAATAATAATATGTTGCTGCAAAAGTAATTGCTGCTTTTGCCATTAACTTTTGCACCAACCTCATGATAAAACAACAAAAACTCAACACCTGTACCTGCCATGCCCTGAAGCTCATGACAGTAGACAAAACTCACTGTGTCTCCAGCCCTCAGTGTTAGATGAAGGGACCAGGGTGTGGGAAGATCAGCAGTTCAAACGGGAATCATAAAACACATAGTTTTTATTTTTTTAGTTTTGTTTTATTATTTATTTATTTATTTTTGTTGTTATTATTTTTCTGAGATGGAGTCTCCCTCTGTCACCCAGGCTGGAGTGCAGTGGTGTGATCTCGGCTCACTGCTACCTCTGCCTCCCGGGTTCAAGTGATTCTCCTGCCTCAGCTTCCCGAGTAGCTGGGATTACAGGTGCGTGCTACCATGCCCGGCTAATTTTTGTACTTTTAGTACAGACGGGGTTTCACCATGTTGATTGGGCTGGTCTCAAACTCCTGACCTCGTGATCCGCCTGCCTCGGCCTCCCAAAGTGCTGGGATTACAGGCGTGAGCCACTGCGCCCAGCCCCCATGAAACATATAGATATTTTCAAAACAACTGTACTAGGATCAAGAAGGATAGGACTTTTGTTTTTCCTGTTTTTTAAGAATGAAATATCATATGGCGTAAGCATAGATTTATTTATTTACTTACTTATCTATTCATTTATTTTTAGAGACAGGATCTTGCTCTGTTGCCCAGGCTGGAGTGCAGTAATGCAATCATAGCTCACTGCAGCCTTCAAGTCCTGGGCTCAAACAATCCTCCCATCTCAGCCTCCCACGTACCTGGGACTACACATGCAAGCCACCATGCCTGGCTAAGTTTTAAATTTCTTTGTAGAGATGGGGTCTTGCTATGTTGCCCAAGCTGATCTCAAACTCCTGGCCTCAAGTGATTGTCTCACCCTGACCTCCTAAAGTGTTGGGATTACAGGTGTGACCCACTGCTTCCTGCCTAGACTTTTTTTTTTTTTTTCCAATTAAGGTTTTTACTTTGAGATCATTGTAGATTTATAAGCAGTTGTAAGAAATAATAGGAAAGAATCTTGTGTCTACTTCCCCCAGTGGTAACATCTTGGAAAGCAATAATACCATGTCACAAGGAGGATATTCACATTCAGGCAATAATGCATTGATCTTATGTTTTACTCGTATCCGTGTGGGTTTTTGTACCGAGTTCTGTGCAATTTCATAGTGCGTGCAGGTTTGTGAAGCCAGCATTGTCCGCAACACACAGAGCATTTCTTTCACCAACAACCCCTCCTGTTTCTCTCTCTGCATCCTACCTCAACCTCCTCTCCCGTCCTGAACCCCTGAGAATTACTAGTCTGTTCTCTATTTCTGTACCAACCTGCATCCTACCTCAACCTCCTCTCCTGTCCTGAACCCCTGAGAATTACTAGTCTGTTCTCTATTTCTGTACCTTTTCTCATGTCAAGAATGTCATATAAATGGAGTCATACAGAGTGTAACCCCTTTCAAATCACGTGTGTCTTTTTTTCCTTCACTCAATAGAATTCCCTGGAGAGCCATCCAAGTTGTTGCTAAGAACAATAAGATGTTTCTTTTTAAGTAACACCTGCAAAAAGTCTTTTATAAAATGGCGATGAAACTAAATGGTTTTTGATTCTAAACAAGGCAGCCATGAATGGTTTTCTCGTATATCTTAGCATATGTGTGGGAGTGTATCTGTGCAAGTAATTCTTGGAAGTGGAATAGCTGAGCCAAAAAGAAAATGCATGTAAATTTTCTTTTCTTTATTTTAAAGAGACAGCGTCTTGCTCTGTCACCCAGGCTGGAGTGCAGTGGTGCAATCATAGCTTGCCGCAGCCTCGACCTCCTGGGCTCCAGTGATCCTCCCATTTCAGCCTCCAGGGTAGCTGGGACTACAGGCGAGCATCACCACGTCTGGCTAATTTATTTTTATTTTTGTAGAGGTAGGGTCTTGCTATGTTGCCCAGGCTGGGCCTCGTGCTCCTAGCCTCCGCTGATCCTCCCACCTTGGCCTCTCAAAGTGTTGGGATTACAGGCATAAGCTACCAGGCCTGGCTGCCTGTCACCTTTCAGGAGTCATTGTCAACTTATCTCCTAAGAAAATGCAGTCTTGGTGGGTACATTTGAACTGAGTATGTAAACTTCTAACTTCTCCAAGGCATACGCATTCTGGATAACAACCCTACTTTTTAACCTATTCCATGTGATTGATGAAAGCTCACAATTGCTTTATTCATTATTTCATTGTCAGCGAGACTGAACTTTGTTTCATATGCTTATGTTTTATTTCATATCTCCAAATTGCATATTCATTTCCTTTACCCATTTGTGGAGGGACTGGGGTTTGGTTAGAAGAGCTCTTTATAGACCGGGCGCGGTGGCTCACGCCTGTAATCCCAGCACTTTGGGAGGCCGAGGCGGGCGGATCACGAGATCAGGAGATCGAGACCATCCTGGCTAACACAGTGAAACCCTGTCTCTACTAAAAATACAAAAACAAAATTAGCCGGGCGTGGTGGCGGGCGCCTGTAGTCCCAGCTACTCGGGAGGCTGAGGTGAGAGAACGGCGTGAACCCGGGAGGTGGAGCTTGCATTGAGCTGATATTGCGCCACTGCATTCCAGCCTGGGCGACAGAGCGAGACTCCATCTCAAAAAAGAAAAGGTTAGAAAAATACACCATGGAATACTACGCAGCCATAAAAAGGATGAGTTCATGTCCTTTGCAGGGACATGGATGAAGCTGGAAGGCATCATTCTCAGCCTAATAACGCAGGAACAGAAAACCAAACACCACATGTTCTCACTTACAAGTAGGAGCTGAACAGTGAGAACACAGGGACGCAGGGAGGGGGACATCACACACCAGAACCTGCTGGGGGCTGGGGAACAAGGAGAGGGAGCGCATTAGGACAAATACCTAATGCATGCAGGGCTTAAAAGCTAGATGATGGGTTGATGGGTGCAGCAAACCACCGTGGCACATGTATACCTATGTAACAAACCTGCGCGTTCTACACATGTATCCCAGAACTTTAAAAAAAAAAGAAATAGTATTTCAATATGGTCTGAATTAGGATGTCTGTTATTAGATATAAAGGAGAACATATGTGTTGAGGGCCATTTGAGCCTGTTCTGTATATAAACTCTTATTTTTGCCCTTTTCTTTGTAGCATGTTTGGGGTTTTTCTGGAGTTGAACTTTTTAGATATCTGAAAAATAGCTGTTAATATTTCTGATGGAAGTTGCAAATTTTCTTCCAGCTCATTATTTATTTTTTACTTTGCTTATGGAGATTTGTTTTGTTTTTTACCATGTGATTTTTTTTTTGAGATAGTGTCTTGTTCCTCCTGGAGTGCAGTGGCACGATCTTGGCTCACTGCAACCTCCATCCCTTGGGCTCAAGTGATCCTCCCATCTCAGCCTCCCAGCTTGCTGGAACTACAGGCACGCACCGCCACACCCGGTTAATTTTTTAAATTTTTTGTAGAGATGAGGCCTCTCTCTGTTTCCCAGGCTGGTCCTGAGCTTTTGGCCTCAAGCGATACCCCCACCTCAGCCCTCAAAGTGCTGGGATTACAGGCATGAGCCACTGCCCGGCCTGTTTTTTAAACAAGTAGTTTTTTAAATAGTGAAATCTATCTAACCATCTTTCTGAATTTTCGTTTAGGAAGCATTTTCTTTCTGTGGAGGTTAAACTAATGATTCCTGCTTTCTTGCAATCTTCTCATGGTTTAACTTTGTTTTTGCCTTGGAGTTCACTCATGCATGCTATGAGGTCTGGCACTAATTTTATCTGTTTCCTAATGTGGCTTCACGTGCCCCAACACGGTTTATTAAAACGCCCATCTTTTGCCCCTTTTGTCGTGTACTCAATTTCCACATGCAGTTGGCCTATTTTTGGAAATTGTACCCTGTTCCTTCCTCCATTAATGCCTGTAGTACCTCCCGTTTAATTATAGAAGCTTCTCAAATGTTTTAATCTCCTACAGGGCCATTGTGTTCTCAATCTTTGTACATATCAGAATTTTCCTCTTTGCCGCCTCATTTGGAATTCTTTTCCCCACAGCAATTTTCGAATCGATTCGTCCAGTTTGCCTAAAAGAAATTCTGTGAACTATCTTTATTGGATCACATCAAATTTGCATATTGACTTGGGTCATTCTGACACCTTTAGGATTGTATCAGTTTAGATTTTTTTTCCCCCTCCAACTTCTATTTTATTTTTTAAATTAAAAAAAATTTTTTTTTTGAGACGGAGTCTGGCTCTGTCGCCCTGGCTGGAGTGCACTGGCGTGATCTCAGCTCACTGCAAGCTCCACCTCCCGGGTTCAAGCGATCCTCCTGCCTCAGCCTCCCGAGTCGCTGGGATTACAGGTGGCACACACCACCACGCCCAGCTAAATTTTGTATTTTTAGTAGAGATGCGGTTTCACCATGTTGGCCAGGCTGGTCTTGAACTCCTGACCTCGTGATCCACCCGTCTCGGCCTCCCAAAGTGCTGGGATGACAGGTGTGAGCCACCGCATCTGGCCTCAACTTCTATTTTAGGTTCGGGGGTACATGTGCAGGTTTGTTCCCTGGGTATATTGTGTGATGTTGAGGTTTGGAGCACAAGGATCCCGTCACCCAGGTAGTCAGCACAGCACTCAATAGTTTTCCAACCCTTGCCCCATCCCTTCCTTGCCCCATTGAATTGCTCAGTGTTTATTGTTCCCATCTTTATGTCCATCTGTACTTGATGTTTACCTCCCAGTAAGAAGTGAGAACGTCTGATATTTAGTTTCCTGGTTCTGTGTTAATTCACATAGGAGAATGGCCTCCTCTTGCATCTATATTGCTGCAAAGGACATGATTTCATTCTTTTTAATGGGTGCATAGTATTCCATGGTATAGATGCACCATGTCTTCCTAAGAATTGAATTAACATTTGAGCCAGCAATCCCATTACTGGGTATCTACCCAAGGGAAAGTAAGTCATTCTACCAAAAAGACACACGTACTGTGTGTTCATCGCAGCACTATTCATAAAAGCAAAGACATGGAATCAAACTTAGGTGTCTGTCAACTCCGGATTGGACAAAGTTTGGGGGTTTTTTTTGTCTTTTTTTTTTTTTTTGTGAGATGGAGTCTAGCTCTGTCGCCCAGGCTGGAGTGCAGTGGCACAATCTCGGCTCACTGCAAGCTCTACCTCCCAGGTTCACGCCATTCTCCTGCCTCAGCCTTCCGAGTAGCTGGGACTACAGGCGCCCGCCACCACGCCAGGCTAATTTTTTGTATTTTTAGTAGAGACCGGGTTTCACCGTGTTAGCCAGGATGGTGTCGATCTCCTGACCTCGTGATCCACCCGCCTCGGCCTCCCAAAGTGCTGGGATTACAGGCATGAGCCACCGTGCCCGGCCGTCTTTTTTTTGTTTTGTTTTGAGACAGTCTTGCTCTGTCACCCAGGCTGGAGTGCAGTGGTATGATCGGAGCTCACTACAGCCTCAACCTCCCAGTCTTGCGTGATCCTCTGAACTCAGCCTCCCGGGTAGCTGAGATGACAGCCGTGTGCCACCATGCCTGGCTAATTTTTTTGTACCTTTTTTTTTGTTTTGTAGCAATGGGGCTTCACTATGTTGCCCAGGCTGGTCTTGAACTCCTGGGCTCAAGCGATCTGCCTGCCTTGGCTTCCCAAAGTGCTGGGATTACAGGCATGAGCCACTGCGCCTGACCCATTTGGGTCTTTGGAGAAGCACACACCAAGAAGGAACATGATGGGCCAGAGATTTACTAGGGGAACTGTGTGTGAAGGGTCAAACAGGCGCTGGCAGAAGAGTGGAGGAAGGCTTGCAGGTGATGGTGTAGGTGCCTCACACCTGTGAAGAAAGAGACGGCGAGGAATTGGGTAGAAGGAGCGTCCAGCCAGTTCTCTGGTCATGCCGAGTCATTGGCTGTGAAAACCCAAAACCCTGAGGAAGCCCGATCTTGCGAAACATGTTCCCCATCTGCAGAGGCACCGGGTGGCTGGTGTCAGGCGATTGTTGCAACCTGTTGTGTGCGGGGGTGTCTGTGTGGGTACATACATACTTCTCAGCCCCAATGCCAGCTTCCTGGTCCGTAAGGAAAACACTAAACTCTTCTAGCTAAAGTTACAAATGCAGCAAGGGTCCATTCTGCAATCTGTGATGCTTTTTTTTTTTTTTTTGAGCTGGGGTCTCGCTACCTTGCCCAGGCTGCGGTGCAGTGGCACAATCACGGCTCACTGTGCGTTTTCAGGGAAGACCCCACGGGCACCTCCAAAACCATGTGGCATGACATCCTCACCGAGACCCGAGGGCATCTTTCCATGGCCTCAACTCTACTTTTATGTCTTTAGGTTTCCTGATATAGGTTTTGCACACTCTCGATGACCAAGTCTCATTTCAGTGTTGCTGTTGTTTCTATATTATAAGCAGGACTGTCTCTTCCCCTACCTTTTTAACCTGCCAATTGTTTGTGTATGTATGGAAGCTATTGATATTTGCTTCTGAGTTTTCTATCTGACTACCTTCCTGAATTCTCTTCTTGGATTTATTTAATGTTGATTTTGTTAGTTTTTTCCTGGCATACCATCATATCATCTGCAAAGTATATTTTGACTCTCCCTCTGCCGTTCTTGTGTCTGTTGTAATTATTTGTCTGACCATGTTGGATAAGATCTCCAGTAGCATGTTAAATGACAGGGTGCACTCCTGGAATCCAGCTCTTTGGGAGGCCGGGGTGGGAGGATGACTTGAGCCCCGGAGATCAAGACCGGTCTGGGCAACACAGCAAGACCCCATCTTTACAAAAAAAAAATAGTAAAAAAAATTAGCCAAGTGTGGTGGCTCACACCTGTAGTCCCAGCTACTTGGGAGGCTGAGGCAGGAGGATCATTTGAGTCCAGGAGGTCGAGGCTTCAGCGAGCCATGATTGCACCACTGCACTGCAGCCTGGGCAATGTAGTAAGACCCCAGCTCAAAAAAAAAAAAAAGCATCACAGAGAACAGGATGGATACTTGCTGCTTTTCCAAGTTTAGCTGGAAGATTTTAGAGATTTCTTTATTGACTAGGAAGTTGGCATTGGGGCTGAGAAATATGTATGTACACACACAGACACACCCACACACAGACACACATGTATACATACACAGTATATATGCATACTGTGTGTCTGTAATTACAATTTAATAATACATTCCTATTTTTAAAATAAACTTAGTAAATTAAGAACATCAATACATCTACTGATACTACATATAGTATTTGCAAGTCCCTCAGCTTGGGTCAGGAACACGGGAATGTCATTGTACAGGTTCTATCTTCAGGTTACGAGGGATACACCAGAAAACCTAAGCATATGGAAAACTTATTCGGCAATTTTCTAAGTGAACATACCTTTTCATCGATTCATGCGTGTATCAAGAAAAACAAAATGAAAGTCTTACACACCAAGAGGATTGTTCGCACAATACTGACAACGAAATGTACGGGCTGACAAATAACAGATTATATGTTGAAGCCTCCTCCACAGGCCCCACCTCCTGATACCATCACCCTGGCGATTGTATGTTCTCAACATAGGAATTATTTTGGGGGGAGAGGAGACACAACATTTTATACTTGGAAAGGTGAAATGGAAAAGCAGCATAGGCTTTATTGTTTTATTTTATTTTATTATACTTTAAGTTCTGGGGTACATGTGCAGAACGTGCAGGTTTGTTACATAGGTATACACGTGCCATGGTGGTTTGCTGCACCCATCAACCCATCATCTACATTAGGTGTTTGTCCTAATGCTCTCCCTCCCCTAGTCCCTCACCTCCTGACAGGCCCTGGTGTGTGATGTTCCCCTCCCTGTTTCCATGTGTTCTCATTGTTCAACTCCCACTTGTGAGTGAGAACATGTGGTGTTTGGTTTTCTGTTCTTGTGTTAGTTCGCTGAGAAGGATGGTTTCCAGCTTCATCCATGTCCCTGCAAAGGACATGAACCCATCCTTTTTTATGGCTGCATAGTATTCCATGGTGTCCATGTGCCACATTTTCTTTATTCAGTCTATCGTTGATGGGCATTTGGGTTGGTTCCAAGTCTTTACTATTGTGAACAGTGCTGCAATAAACATACGTGTGTGTGTCGTTATAGTGGAATGATTTATAAACCTATTTCTATTTAAATTACCTTTGTATTTTTATAGATTTTGTGGGTATGAGTACACTTGTGTTACATGAATATATTGCATAGTGGTAATGTTTGGGCTGTTAGTGAGGCCATCACTCAAATAACGTACATGGTAGCCAATAGGTAATTTCTCATCCCTCATCCCATCCCACCCTGTGAGACTTCTGAGTCCTCGATGTCTATTTTTTATGCTCTATGTCGACGTGTACACATTATTTAATTCCCGCTTATAAGGGATAACATGTGGTACTTGACTTTCTGTTTCTGAGCCATTTCACTTAGGATAATGGCCTCCAGTTCCCTTCGTGTTGCTGCAAAAGACACAACATCATTCCTTTTCATGGCTGTGTAGTATTCCATGGTATATATGTGCCATATTTTAAAAAATCAAATTGTCTGATGGTGGACACTTAGGCTTTATATTTTAATAAAGAACATTCCAAATATGTTGAACAAAATAATCTCCTAACTTGAAAAAGATCATATGTGCCTATAATAATTCACAGAAAGGGACTTTCCTGACTACCTGCCTGCAAAATCCACTTTTCCCTCAGTCTTTCTTTCTCAAGGGAATTCATGGAAATTCCCTCCTTGAATTTTCTCAGCCCCCAGTACAAGGAGTCATTCTTGCCTCATCATGTCCCCCTCTCTGTCCTTGTCTTGTGATTTCTTTTTATTTTGAACGCGAGAAGTCTGACTCCCACCAGCACCCCTGTGGCCAGTACCTGTGAGACATATTCTGAATCCAGCACCTCTCATACCACCTGTGCTGAACTGTGGCGGAGCTCCCCCGTCAGTCCCTGCAGCTGCTTCAGGAGACCCTTGATAGCCTTGTCTTCCTCCAGCTCAAGTGGATTCTCCATGAATCTATTCCTTCCTGTGAAACATATCACAGATTGGCTCAGAGCCCCGTGATGACGCCCTGTCTGCCAGAGAGAAGCTCACGAACTCTGGGGTGCCCCTACTCCTTCTTCCCTCCTCTCTTCCCTCCTTCCATGTGCTTGGCTCCAGCTAGCCAGCCAGCCGCCTTCCTCTTCCTGGAATATCCCAGGCCTGCTAGACTTTTGCTCTCACCGTCACAACATCAGCTCAGGAGCCCCTCCTTGGAAGATTGTTCTCTAACCCTCCGTCCAGAATCACTGCTTCTCCCTTTCCTCTTCTTCCTTTGAAGTTCATTCATAACTGGAAGATGTGAGATCTGGAAAGTTCTGCATTATTGCCAGACACATCTGTGTATTTAGAGTGGTTGGTATCTTTCCCAGGGGAACCAAATGTCCTTGAGGCAGACAACATGTTTATCTTTGTCTAATTCATTTCCCTGTATGCTGGGCACAGAGTGTGGGCTCTACACATATTTTATAAAAGAAGGAGGGAAGGGTTAGAAGATGGACAGAAGGAAGGAGGAAGAAAGGAAGGAAAGAGGGAGGAAAGAAAGGAAAGAGGGAGGGAAGGAAAGAGGGAAAGAAGGAAGGAAAGAGTGAGAGAAGGAAGTAAAGAGGAAAGGAAGGGAAGGGAAGGAAGGAAGGAAAAAGTGAGAGAAAGAAGTGAAGAGGAAAGGATGGAAGGAGAAAGGAAGGAAAGGGAGGGAAGGAAAAAGGAAAAGAAGAAAGAAGGAGTGAGACAAGGAAGTAAAGAAGAAAGGAGGGAAAGAGGAAAGGAAAGAAGGAAAGAGGGAGGGAAGGAAGGAATGAAGAAAAGAAAGAGGGAAGGAAGGAAGGAAAGAAGGAAGGAGGAAGGAAGGAAAAAGGGAGGGAAGGAAGGAATGAAGAAAGGAAAGAGGGAGGGAAGGAAGGAAGGAGGGAGGGAAGGAAAGAGGGAGGGAAGGAAAGAATGAAGGAAGGAAGGAATGAAGGAAGAAAGGAAAAAGAGAAGGAAGGAGGAAGGAAGGAAAGAGGGAAGGAAGGAAGGAAAGATGGAGAGAAGGAAGGGAGGACAAGTGGAAGGAAGAAAAAGAAATACAAATCTCCCTCAAAATGTGGATCACTCGTCTTAACCAGAAATTCAAGTGAGATGCTATCTGCACGTGTGATACCAGCAGCTATGAAGCAAACTGTATTAACCAAGTCTTTTATTTTCTGTGTTCTGATGCATGACTTTCATGGCCTTGTCAACCCTAGAGACCCTGCCCCTCCCATAGCTAGCGAATCCCCAGAGGTGGTGAAGAGCCCACCTATGAACCTGTCTTTCATATGCAAACCCATCAATCCAGAATCCACCCCCCAGCCATCTCCTTTATTGGGGTTGCATATTCCACGTCACTCTCCACCTGCCCTAACCACCCCAAAGCCAGGTACCAGAGAGTCAGGGACAGCCCCTATGCCCCAGAGCCTGCTGAAATCATTCACACTAGCCAACTGTAAGCCTACTCGCCTGTTCCTTCCCTTGGAAACCACAGTGAGAGCTCTGGTCTCCTTTGTCTTCCCACCTGACCAAACTTGGTGCGCCCCTGTGTGGTCCTGAGTGGTGTCAACACGCCCCTCCTCTTGGGACCTGTGAGTAACAAACCACTTGCTTAACGGCAGTCTCCTGATCTGTTGGCCCCACCATACCTACATCATAATAAAGTCTACATTTTACAACGCAAACGAACAAAAATGTCCTGCTCAGTGCTGCCCTGAGAGCAGAGGTTATTCCAGGATTCTTGCTCGCCTCTGTAAAGGGTATCCGTTCTGCAGACCTTTCTGCCGGTCACACTGACGGCATATTGCAGAGCCTGCCAGGGACTCACAGGGGATGACAGGGGATTTATCAGGTGGTTTTTTACTGCACTGTCATTACTGGGGGCGAATCCACTTTAATACATTCATGCCTCCTGAGCCTGTGGGAATTCAAGAGGAACAGAACCAGAAATAAATGAACCATAACTCCCTTTGGCATCTTGCCTCTCTGGAGGCTTAATTCTTACAAATATGTGCTCTGCTTTCAAATCTTAGTTTGATGATTTTCTCTTCTTCTTTTTCAGTTTTCCCCCCACGACCTGACCGTGTCGCTATAGTGACGGGAGGGACAGATGGCATTGGCTATTCTACAGCGAAGCATCTGGCGAGACTTGGCATGCATGTTATCATAGGTGATGACTTTTACAGTTACTTGTGTTTTTTGTTTTTTCGGTTTTTTTTTTTTTCTGAGACAGGATCGCAGTCCGTCAACCCGTGCTGGACTGCAGTGGTGCAATCTTGGCTCACTGCAGCCTCCACCTCCTGGGTTAAAGTGATTCTCCTACCTCAGCCTCCCGAGTAGCTGGGTTTACAGACATGCACCACCACGCCTGGATAATTTTTGTATTTTTAGTAGAGACAGAGTTTCCATATGCTGGCCAGGCTGGTCTTGAACTCCTGAGCTCAAGCCATCCGCCTGCCGTGGCCTCCCAAAGTGCTAGGATTACAGGTGTGAGCCACTGCGCCTGGCAGAGTTAGTTGTGTCTTATACCTAATGTGAGCTACTTAGGTGTCGATTCAGACATGTATGCAAATGTTGATGTGCATATAGAAAATTCAGTCAGATCCAGAAAGCTCATGAAGGTGATATTCACAACCTAGAAAACACAGAAAATTGTTGTACCCTTTTGGAAGTAGATATATATTCTGCTTAAATATTGATCCTGTGTTTCTTTCACATGGTTTACTGGAAAAAAATAACCATATATCTTTATGACTTTACTAGGGCTGTTATAACAAAGTATCTCAAGGAGACTGGAGGTTGCTTAAAAAGCCAAAATTTATTTTTCACAATTCCAGAGGCTGGAAGTTCAATATCACAGTGTAAGTAGGGCTGGTTCCTCCCAATTCCAGAGGCTGGAGGTTCAATATCACAGTGTGAGTAAGGCTGGTTCCTCCCGACACCTCACTCCTTGGCTTGTAGACACCATCTTCTCCCTGTGTCCTCACAGGGTCGTCCCTCTGTGTGTTTTCATCTCCTCTTCTCCTGAGATGTCTTAGTCCATTTCAGGCGCTATAACAGAATTACCATAGAATGGGCAGCTTATATACAACAGACATTGAGTTTCCCACAGTCCTGGAGGCTGGATGTCTGAGATCCAGGTGTGGGCAGGGCTGGTTCCTCCTGAGGCCTCTCTCCTTGGTTTCTCTCTGTGTCCTCACAGGGTCATCCCTCTGTGTGTGTCCGTGTCCTCATATGCTCTCCTTATAAGGACACCAGTTCAATTAGATCGGGGCCCACTCTGGTGACCTCATTTTACCTTAATCACCACTTTAAAGACCTTATTTCCAAACACAGTCACATTCTGAGGCCCTGGGCTTTAGGACTTCAATTTATGAATTTTGTTCAAACACAAGCTCCTAACAGAATCTGAACAATGTTGCGGGATACTTGTTTCTTCTGCAACCATGACCTATAGACACTCACGGTTTGATTTCTGCTCTTCTTTTTGAAAATTTCTCTAAAAGCTTATCGTGATCTCTGACTCCTCTTCCTCTGTGACCTCTTCAGGTCTCCCTTCAACTGGGAATATGAGGACAGTTCAAATTAACCCATTCCACTACTGCCAATGGAGACGGAGTGGGGGGCGGGGAGGAGGGGAGAGAGTCTATTGCATACCTGGGGAAGTCTAAATCAGCTAGCTTAAATGATGTGTGGAGACGAGCTTGGAAAAATAAAAGCCTTAATGTGTATTATGCCCACTCTTGACACTATCTGCATTTAATTAATTATTTTCAGACAGGATCCTACTCTGTCAGCCCAGACTGCAGTGCAGTGACATAATCATAGCTCACTGCAACCTCAAACTCCTGGGCTCCAGCAATCCTCCTGACTCAGCCTCATGAGTCGCTGATATGACAGGCGTGCACCACCATGCCAAGCTCATTTTATTTATTTATTTATTATTGTTTTTTTTGAGACAGAATCTTGCTCTGTCACCCAGGTGGAATGCAGTGACACGACCTCGGCTCACGGCATCCCCTGCCTCCTGGGTTCAAGCGACTCTCCTGCCTCAGCCTCCAGAGTAGCTGGGATTACAGGCGCCCGCCACCATGCCCTGCTAATTTTTGTATTTTTAGTAGAGATGGGGTTTTGCTTTGTTGGCCAGGCTGGTCTTGAACTCCTGACCTCACGTGATCTGCCCACCTCCGCCTCCCAAAGCGCTGGGATTACAGTCATGAACCACCGTGCCTGGCCCTGGCTCATTTAAAAAAGTTATTTTGGCGGCTGGGCGTGGTGGCTTATGCCTGTAATCCCAGCACTTTGGGAGGTCAAGGTGGGCAGATCACTTGAGGTTAAGAGTTCAAGACCAGCCTGGCCAACATGGTGAAGCCCTGACTGTCCTAAAAACACAAAAATTAGCTGGGCTTGGGGGTGAGTGCCTGCGTGGTGGTGGGCGCCTGTAGTCCCAGCTACTCGGGAGGCTGAGGCAGGTGAATTGCTTGAACCTGAGAGGCGGAGGTTGCAGTGAGCTGAGATCACGCCACTGCACTCCAGCCTGGGTGACAGAGCGAGACTCAGTCTCAAAAAAATAAACAAAATGTTTTGGAGATACTGGGTCTTGCTATGTTGCCCAGGCTGGTCTTGAACTCCTGGGTTGAAGTGATCCTCCCACCTTGGCCTCCCAAAGTGCTGGGATTACAAGTGTGAGCCACTAGGCCTGGGCACCCTTTGCTTTTAATAACTTTTATGGTGTCTGCTTTTATAAACATCATACTGTAGGTCTGGTTTGAGATATGCAGGATCGTATTGACTTAACACTTTCCAGGACGGGAGCAGTGGCTCATGCCTGTAATCCCAGCACTTTAGGAAGCCGAGGCGGGCAGATCACGAGGTCAGGAGATCGAGACCATCCTGGCTAACATGGTGAAACCCCGTCTCTACTAAAAATACAAAAAGTAGCTCGGCATGGTGGCGTATGCCTGTAATCCCAGCTGCTCGGGAGGCTGAGGCGGGAGCATCGCTTGAGCCAGGGAGCCGGAGGTTGCAGTGAACCGAGATCGCGCCACTGCACTCCAGCCTGGGTGACAGAGTGAGACTCTGTCTCAAAAAAAGACTTTCCAAAACCAATGCCCATTATTGATTGACTTCTTCCTCTCCGCCATTCTCTGTCCTTCTTTCCCTTGTTGTCATTATGGAAAGATGATCATGGATCATAAACAATGCTTAGGGCTGGAGATTTCAACATGAATTTGTCTCAGTTCTTCCTTATCTTTGAGGAGCTCTGTCCAGGACAGACACTTTTCTGGGCCTTGAATGCCTTTGCGATAGCCCAAAAGGCTCAAGCATAAGAGCATGAGTCTGATCTGGTGACCAGGGCTCAGCAAAGAGTCTTTCCAGGCCTTGAACCTCTGGACATCTGTTGGTGCTCATTGGACAGGCTAAAAGTCATCATGTTACGAATCGATGAAGTTGACATGCAGATAAAAGGTATAAGGAAAAAATGAACTCTCCACATCATTGTATGCATTACATCTATACGATAAAAACTGTGATATACTCATGCGTTTAAATAGCTGCTCTGGTCCTGGGCCTCATGCGTTTCAATAGCTGCTAGCGTTCTGAGCCTCGATGGCCATCCACTTGGCTTTGAGTTAGCTCTCTCCAAAAATCTCCATGGCAGTTTCTGCTGGGGCAAATGCACGGCTGCTGCCCACACCTCTGTGTTTTCTCATCTTCATTTACAAAAGAAGAAAATGCTAACCTTGCTGATGCTAACCTCCTGAATTTCATGCAGGAATCCCCAGGAGTCTTTGACTCAGATGGGGAAACCCCATGTTCAGCCCATGTGGCCTTCTGGTCTCCCTGGAGATGCGTGGTCCATGTCAGCGCACATGGCTCCTTGCTCCGTCCTTCACTTAAGTTTGAGCCTTTTTGGCTTTTGCAAAACATGAATGCAAAACTTGAAATTTTTCTATGTCATGGCTCTTCCCAACTTTCACATTTTTGAGACAGCGTCTCACTCTGTCACCCAGGCTGGAGTGCAATGGCGTGATCTCAGCCCACTACAACCTCTGCCTCCTGGGCTCAAGCGATCCTCCCACCTCAGCCTCCCAAGTAGCTGGGACCACAGGCGTGCACCACCAGGCTTGGATAATTTTTTGTAGTTTTAGTAGAGATGGGGCCTCACCATGTTGCTTGGACTTGTCTCAAACACCTGAGTTCAAGCGATCTGCCTGCCTCGGCTTCCCAAAGTGCTGGGATTACAGGTGTGAGCCACTGTGCCCAGAGTCTTTTAAAATAATAATTTTGTACACGCAGTTCCATTCCTCATATAACCATCTTTCTCTGATGCACTTCAGGGTTTGTAAAATAGTATACAGAGATGTGTACTGTTTCACATGATGAAGCTTAGTTGTATTAGATAATGATAACATCGTGTTTGGCTATGTCATAATGAGGCAATTGAGTAGAATATAATGAAATCTTGTTGGATTAGTTAATGACTTGTTGAGCTTCGGAAGCAGGTGAGCACTTTTTGGTCTATATCAGTCTCTTTCTTTCCATCAAGCAGTTATTTTCCTCAAAGTTGTGCCTAACTCCCACTTGAGCATTTTTTTTATCCATTCTTTTTTTTTTTACTTTGACATGAAGTCTCACTCTGTTGCCCAGGCTGGAGTGCAGTGGCGCGATCTCAGCTCACTTCAACCTCCGCCTCCCGGGTTCAAGCGATTCTGCTGCCTCAGCCTCCTGAGTAGCTGGGACTACAGGAGCACACCACCACACCCAGCTAATTTTTGTATTTTTAGTAGAGACGGGGTTTCACCATGTTGGCCAAGATGGTCTCGATCTCTTGACCTTGTGATCCACCTGCCTCAGCCTCCCAAAATGCTGGTATTACAGGCGTGAGCCACTGTGCCCGGCCCCATTCTCTTTATTTTATTTTATTATTTTATTATTATTATTATTATTATTTTTTGAGATGGAGTTTCGCTGTTATTGCCCAGGCTGGAGTGCAGTGGCGCGATCTCAGCTCACCGCAAACTCTGCCTCCCGGGTTGAAGCGATTCTCCTGCCTCAGCCTCCCAAGTAGCTGGGATTACAGGCGCGTGCCAGCACACCAAGCTAATTTTTTGTATTTTTAGTAGAGGGGGGGTTTCACCATGTAGGTCAGGATGGTCTTGATCTCTTGACCTCGTAATTTGCCTGCCTCGGCCTCCCAAAGTGCTGGGATTACAGGCGTGAGCCACTGCGCCCGGCCTCATTCTCTTAATAGACTGGGACAAGTTAAAACTTTATGACAATTTCTTGAAATTGTCAAGTTCATCCATGTCCCTAACTCTCCTGTCTTGGTGTGTTTGGGCTGCTGTAGCCTGAGTGCCTTGCAAACCATAGAAACTTTTTTTTTAAAATTTTATTATTATACTTTAAGTTTTAGGGTACATGTGCACAACGTGCAGGTTTGTTACATATGTATACATGTGCCATGCTGGTGTGCTGCACCTATTAACTCGTCATTTAGCATTAGGTATATCTCCTAATGCTATCCCTCCCCCCTCCCCCCACCCCACAACAGTCCCCGGTGTGTGATGTTCCCCTTCCTGTGTCCATGTGTTCTCATTGTTCAGTTCCCACCTATGAGTGAGAACATGCGGTGTTTGGTTTTTTGTCCTTGCGATAGTTTGCTGAGAATGATGGTTTCCAGCTTCATCCATGTCCCTACGAAGGACATGAACTCATCATTTTTGATGGCTGCATAGTATTCTGTGGTGTATATGTGCCACATTTTCTTAATCCAGTCTATCGTTGTTGGACATTTAGGTTGGTTCCAAGTCTTTGCTATTGTGAATAGTGCTGCTATAAACATACGTGTGCGTGTGTCTTTATAGCAGCATGATTTATAATCCTTTGGGTATATACCCAGTAATGGGATGGCTGGGTCAAATGGTATTTCTAGTTCTAGATCCCTGAGGAATCGCCACACTGACTTCCACAATAAACCATAGAAACTTATTGTCCTACAGTTCTCAAGGCTGGAAGTCCCAAGACCAGGGGGTCAGTGTGGTCAGATTCTGGTGTAGTCTGTCTTCTAGGTTGTGGATGGCCACTTTCTCCTGTGTCCTCACATGGTGGAACCTGGATGGGGTCTCTTTTATAAGGGTACTAATTCCATTCATTGTGCTCCACCCTCGTGACCTAATCATCCCGCAAAGCCTCCGCCTCCCAACAGAATCACTGGGGATGTTAGAATTTCAACATAGGAACTTTGGAGGGATACAAACATTCAGTTTATTGCGCCCCCTCTAGATGCAAAAGGATTGGGTTTAGATGAGGAGACCCCAGGGGAGAGGGTGCCCATCTGAGAGTGTATTTCTAGAACTTCTTATGAACTTGAGCACCTCCATGATCTGTTTACATCTCCCTGGGACCTGAGTAAATTAGAGACAAGATGTAGGGCAGGGGGGGTTCTGAGATTTAGCTTGGAGACTGTGAGGTGGTGATGGATGGCAACCCTTGGTTTTGACCATCCATGCTAGGTGGATATCTGCTGTATCATTAACAACATGACAAACTTTCCAGGACTTTCTATATCTCAGACTTCTGCCAATATTTGAGATGACTGGGTCAAAATGATGCTGATTTTTTGAACAGGGAGAGCAATAGGTATTCTCTGAAGGTTGGCTGGATGTGAGCCTAGTGGCTTCAATGATGGTGGAGTAGGATGAAGAGAGACCCTCAAGGTTGAACAAAGATGGGAGGGCTCACATCCATTACTGGTTATATTTGATCTTTTGTCTCCTCCAGTGCAATGATCTTTTTCATCTTCTTAATTCTTAATTTAGCTAGGCAATGTTTAATTATTAGTTTAATTCTTAATCAAACTAGGAAAGGAAGAAAACACCCCATTTCTTTGTGCTTTTTTGCCTCATTGTGGTGGTTTAGGTCATGATGAGGTCTAGTTGGGCAGGTCATGATGAAGTCTAGTTGTATTAGGTTCTGATGATGTCTGGTTGAGTTAGATCATGCTGAGGTACAGTTTGGTTTGGTCATGATGAAGTCTAGTTGTATTAGATCATGATAACGTCTCCTTTGGTTATGTCATGATGAAGTAGTTGAGTAGAATGTAATGAAGTCTTGTTCGATTAGATCATGATGACTGGTTGAGTTAGGTCATTATGAGGTATGGTTTGATTAGGTCTTAATGAAGTCTAGTTCAGTAACAGCATGATGAGATCTAGTTGGATTAGACTTGATGATGTGTGACTTATTTAGGTGATGATGAAATCTTGTTGGGCTAGGTCACTTTGAGATCTAATTGGGTAGGTCATGATGAGGTCTTGTTGAGTTAGGTCCTGATGAAATGTAGTTGAGTTAGGTCACATTGAGGTCTAGTTGGGTAGGCCATGATGAGGTCTATTTGTATTAAGTCATGATGAGGTTTGGTTGTATTAGATCATGGTAAGGTACAGTTTGGTTAGGTCATGATGAAGTCTAGTTGTATTAGTTCATCATAATGTTTAGTTTGGCTATGTCATGATGAGGTAGTTGAGTAGAATGTGATGAAATCTTGTTGGATTAGATTAGGATGACTGGTTGAGTTAGATCATTATGAGGTGTGATTTAATTAGGTCTTAATGAAGTCTACTTCAGTAATAGCATGATGAGATCTAGCTGGATCAGATCATGGTGATGTGTGGTTTGGCTAGGTCATGATGAAGTCTAGTTGGGTTAAGACTCAATGAGTTCTAGTTGGGTCAGGTCACATTGACGTCTAGTTGGGTAGGTCATGATGACGTCTAATTGGGTTAGATCATGAGGAGATCTAGTTAGGAAGGTCATGATGAGGCCTAGTGGATAGATCATGATGAGGTCTAGTTGGGTTAGGTCATGATAAGGTCTAGTTGGATTAGGTCATGATAAGGTCCAGCTGGGTTATGTCATCATGAGGTAGTTGAATAGAACACAATAAAGTCCTCTTGGATTAGATCATGATGACAGGTTGAGTTAGATCATGATGATGTGTGGTTTGGTTAGGTCACAGTGAGGTCTAGTTGACTGAGGACTTTGTAGGCACAAAGCAATGAAGACATGTGAGCAAGCTTCTTGTTCATGTGCATGGGAATCTCAAGTGTTACCACTTCATTTAGATGATGTTTACTGAGCATCAGGAGCAGTATATGTCAGCACCAATGTGCCTTTTTTCTTGAGATAAACAGAAAGTAAACACCACATCTGCACCCCACCTGTGTCTCCTATCCCACAGAGCTCCTGATGTCAGTGTTTAATTTTCACTGTGAGTTACAGTTTTGACCCTTCAGGTCAATCCAATCAATTATGCAGTCTTATTTCCCCTGTGTGACTTTGAGGATAATTGGATATATTCTGAGAGAGGCATTTTTTCATTTTGTATGGCAGTTTGATTCAAAGTCAATTAATGAAAAAATATCATTGAACACAATGAATTTTATATTAAATACAAAATAAGAGATGGGAAATTTAACTTCAAAATTTTAATTAAAAATTTATTAATATTTAAAGAATAATCAATTACTTGTAAAATAATTCAGATTATAACCTGGGTCCAACTGAAGCACATTAATATTACTAGACACATATATCAGTTGTTCAAATTCCCATCTGTCCACAAGATCTTAGTTCTCATTGTTTCAAAATATTATTTTGGTGGGGGATCATTTTTTTTCATAATGCTCAATGGACTGTCATCTAAGATGAAAGTGGGGTGGGTAAACTTTTTCTGTAAAGAGACAGATAATAAATGTGTTCATATGTTTCTCTCATAACTATGAGCTCTGCCCTAGTAGTGAGTAACCACCCATAGGTAATACTTAAAACAACAGGAAAGTCTATGTTGCTGTAAAACTTTTTGTACAATATCCAGCTGCAGGCCAGGTTTAGCCGCAGATTGGTGACTCTGGTTTGGGCTCAAAATCTTTTTATTTAGTAAGAGGAAATTATACTGCTTTTTTCCAATATAAGAAATCTCTTGTACAGTCCTCAGGAAGGGTAGATAATGATGAGGTCTAGTTGGGTTATAATGAAGTTTAGTTGGGTTATGATGAAGTCTACTTGGGTTGGTCATGATGAGATCTAGTTGTATTAGATCCTGATGAGATCCAGTTGGGTAAGGTTCTGATGAGGTCTAGTTGATTGGTCATGATGAGACTTAGTTAGGCTATAATGAGGACTAGTTGTGTTGGTCAGGATGAGATCAAGTTGTATTAGGTCATGACGAGATCTAGTTGGGTCAGGTTGTGATGAGATCTGGTTGGTTGGTCATGACGAGATCTAGTTAGGTTATGAGGAGGTCCGGTTGGGTTGGTCATGAGGAGAACTAATTGTATTAGGTCTTGATGAGATCTAGTTGGGTTAGGTTATGATGAGGTCTAGTTGGGTTGGTCATGATGAGAACTAGTTGTATTAGGTCATGATGAGATCTAGTTAGGTTCTGATGAGGTCTAGTTAGATTGGTCATGAGGAGATCTAGTTGTATTAGGTTATGATGTGATCTAATTGGGTGAAGTTATTATGAGGTCTAGTTGGGTTGGTCATGATGAGATCTGGTTGGGTTAGGTTATGATGCGATCTAGTTGGTTGGTCATGATGAGATCTAATTAGGTTATGATGAGGTCTATTTGGGTTGGTTGTGATGAGATCTAGTCATATTCAGTCATGATGAGGTCTAGTTGGGTTAGATTATGATGAGGTTTAGTTGGGTTAGGTCATGATGAGGTCTAGTTGGGTTAGGGTATGAGGAGATTTAATTGAGTTAGGTTATGATGAGGTCTAGTTGGGCTGGTCTTTATGAGATCTAGTTGTATTAGGTCATGATGAGATCTAATTGAATTATATTACGATGATATCTAGTTGGTTGGTCATGATGAGATCTAGTTGTATTAGGTCATGATGTGATGTAGTTGGGGTAAGTTATGATGAGGTCTCATTGAGTTTGTCATGATGAGAGCTAGTTGTACTAGATCATGATGAGTTATAGTTGGGTTAGGTTATGATGAGATCTAGTTGGTTGGTCATGTTGAGATCCAGTTAGGTTATGATGAGGTCCAGATGCGGTGGTCATAATGAAATCTAGTTGTATTAGGTCATGATGAGATCTAGTTGTGGTAGGATATGATGAGGTCTAGTGCATTGGTCATGATGAGATCTAGTTGTATTAGGTTATGATGAGATCTAGTTGGATTAGGTCATGATGAGATCTAGTTGTGGTAGGATATGATGAGGTCTAGTGCATTGGTCATGATGAGATCTAGTTGTATTAGGTTATGATGAGATCTAGTTGGATTAAGTTATAATGGGATCTGTTTGGTTGGTCACGATGTGATCTAGTTAGGTCGTGATGAGTTCTAGTTGGGTAGGTCGTGATGAGATCTAGTTGTCTCATGTCATGATGAGGTCTAGTTGGGTTAGGTTATGATGAAGTCCAGTTTGGTTAGGTCATGATGAGGTCTAGTGGGATTGGTCATTATGAGAATTAGTTGTATTAGGTCATAATGAAATCTAGTTGGCCTAGGCTATGATGAGCTCTGGTAGGTTGTTCATGATGAGATCTACTTGTATTGGGTCATGATGAGACCCAGGTGTGTTAGGTTATGATAAGATCTAGTTCGTTGTCATAATGAGATGTAATTTGTTTATGATGCAGTCTAGTTGTGTTGCTCATGATGGGATCTAGTTGTATTAGGTCATGATGAGACCTAGTTGGGTTAGGTTATGATGAGGTCTAGTTGGTTTGGTTATGATGAAATCTTGTTGGATTATGTCATGAGGAGATCTAGTTGGATGGTCATGATGAGATATAATTAGGTCATGATAAGGTCTAGTTGGGTTGGTCTTGATGAGATATAGTTGTATTAGGTCGTGATGAGGTCTAGTTTGGTTAGGTTATGATGAAGTCTAGTTTGGTTAGGTCATGATGAGTTCTAGTTGGGTTAGGGTATGAGGAGATTTACTTGGATAAGGTTGTGATGAGGTCTATTTGGGTTGGTCATGATGAGATTTTGTTAGGTCATGATGAGGACTAGTTTTGTTGGCCTTGATGAGATGTAGTTGTATTAGGTCATAATGAAGTCTTGTTGAGTTAGGTTATGATGTAGTTAAGTTGGGTTAAGTTATGATGAGGTATAGTTGGGTTGGTCATGATGAGAGTTAGTTAGGTCACGATGAGGTAGTTGGGTTGGTCATGATGAAATCTAGTCATAGTCAGTCATGATTAGTTCTTGTTGGGCTTGTTTATAATGAGATTTAGCTGTGTCAGGTCATGATGAGGTCTAGTTGAGTTGGTCATGATGTGATCTAGTTGTATTAGGTCATGATGAGGTCTAGTTTGGTTAGGTTATGAGGTCTAGTGTCGTTGGTTGTGATGAGATTCAGTTAAGTTATGATGAGGTGTATTTGGGTTGGTCATAAAGATACCTGTTTGTATTAGGTCATGTTGAGGTTTATTTGGGCTAGGTTATAATGAGATTTAGTTGGGTTAGGTCATGATGAGGTCTAGTTGGGTTAGGGTATAATCAGATCTATTTGGGTTAAGTTATGATGAGGTGTATTTTGGTTAGTCCTAATGAGATTTAGTTGGGTTAGAGTATGATGAGGTGTAGTTGCGTTGGTCATCATAAAATCTAGTTTTGTAGGTCACAGGAAGTCTAGTTGGTTAGGTTATCTAAATTGCAACTGTCTTTTAAAAATGACTTGTGCCACATATACTTTGTATTGTCCATGAATAGTACATGTGAAACGTGTAAAATATTTAAACTTGTATTTAATTATCTATTTACTTATTTTAATAGACAAAAACAAGTTACATATTTTTATGGTGTACAAAATGTGGTTTTGATATATGTTTCCATCTGGAATGGCCAATTCAAGCTAATTCACATATCCATTACCTTACATGTTTCTTTTTGTGTGTGTTTTTGGAAACACTTAAAATCTACTCTCTTTGCAATTTTCAAATATTAATTATAGTCACTGTGACTAATTATAGTCAGGTTCAAGATTATAGTCACTAATTTAGTCACCTTAAGTACAATAGATCTCTTGAACTTATACCTTCTGTCAAACTGACATTTGGTGTCATTTGAACAAAATCTCAGCAACCCACCCCCCTAGCACCTGGTAATCACCATAATTCTTTTTCTTTTCTTTCTTTCTTTTTTTTGAGATGGAGTCTCACTCTGTCACCAGGCTGGAGTGCAGTGGCGCAATCTCGGCTCACTGCAACCTCCACCTCCTGGGTTCAAGCGATTCTCCTGCCTCAGCCTCCTGAGTAGCTGGGACTACAGGTGCATGCCACCGTACCCGGCTAATTTTTGTATTTTTAGTAGAGACAGGCTTTTGCCAGGTTGGCCAGGATGGTCTCGATCTCTTGACCTTGTGATCCACCTGCCTTGGCCTCCCAAAGTGCTGGGATTACAGGCATGAGATACCACGCCTGGCCAATAATCATCATAATACTTTTTCTTGTGAGTTCAACTTCTGGAGACTCTACATATGGGTGAGATCATGTGGGATTTGGTTTTATGTGGCTTATTTTACTTAACATGATGTACTCCTGGTTGATCCATGTTGTATCACAGGATAGGGTCCTCTGGTTTTCAAAGACTGAATGGTATTCCATGGTGTAGCTATCCCACATTTTATTTATCTACCCATCCTTAGATGGACACTTAGGTTGGTTTCATATCTTGGCTCTTGTGAATCATGCTGCAACGAACATGGGGGTGTAGATATCTCTATAAGGGGCTGATTTCATTTCCTTTGGATCTATACAGAGGAGTGAGATTGCTAGATCCTATGGTAGGCATAATGATCATTTTTTGAGGAACTCTTAAAAAAAAAAAGGCCACCCCTTTAGACACACCTTAAAATCCAACCTTTCTGGTCAAAGACATTTGAAAAAAATGACGACAACATCAAACTATAGTCTCCTGTCCAAGCACGTTCACTTCCTAAGATGTGAAAAAAACCAGGCCGGGTGCAGTGGCTCATGTCTGTCATCCCAGCACTTTGGGAGGCAAAGGCAAACGGGTCACCCGAGGTCAGGCGTTCAAGACCAGCCTGGCCAACATAGTGAAACCCCATCTCCACTGTTTTCCATAATGGCTATACCAATTTCCATTGCACATATAACATGTAACGCCCTCCCCTGCCCCCCCAAATACAAAGGATGAAGCAGAAGGCAGATGCACTGTGTTTGGGACGTGTGCGGTGTTTCTGCATATGCAGTACTTGCTCAGCAAATGTAGGAACCACTCCAGCAAATGCATATGAGGCCAAATGTCCCACGTCCAGTTCCTTAAAGCAGCTCCCTCCAGGTCTGAGGAGACAATTGCTGAAGGTGACATTGGCCAAAGAAGATACCGCACGTGCCACCTCACCTTCTCCATTCCTCCAGTGTGGTGCTTCTGTCCTATGCCAGCGTTGACGGTGCCACCATGGAAAATGGCCTGCCCATGAAGGTGGTCTTCCCAAATAATCACTTCACCTGGCTTTTTTTGATGCTCCCAGCTTTTTCTGGTCACTTTTGTCTTTCTTGAGAAGGTGGAGGCTCCCATCTTACTTCGTCCCAGCTTCCGGCATGTTTCCCTTTGTTTTTTTTTGTTTTGTTTTGTTTTGTTTTCTTTTTGAGATGGAGTCTCGCTGTGTTGCCCAGGCTGGAGTGCAGTGGCGCAATCTCATCTCACTGCAACCTCTGCCTACTGGGTTCAAGCAATTCTTCTGCCTTAGCCTCCAGAGTAGCTGGGATTACAGGTGCCTGCTACCATGTCTGGCTAACTTTTTTTTTTTTTTTTTTTTTTGGGACAGAGTTGGGCTCTGTCGCCCAGGCTGGAGTGCAGTGGTGTGATCTCAGTTCATGGCAACCTCTGCTTCCCGGGTCCTGGTTCAAGCAATTCTCCTGCCTCCGCTTCCCTAGTAGCTGGGATTACAGGCACACATCACCATGCCCATCTAATTTTTGTGTTTTTAGTAGAGATGGGGTTTCCTCATGTTGGCCAGGCTGGTCTTGAACTCCTGACCTCGTGATCCGCTTGCCTCGGCTTCCCAAATCCCAAAGGGCTGAGATTACAGGCATGAGCCACCGCACCCGGCCGCACCCTTTGATCTTGAGATGGCTGATACGGCAGAGCAGCCCAGCAGTGGATGAGTGCTTACATTTAAAAAGTTCATGGGATTTCATAAATAAGCTCATGAATGTACAAGTCCCCAGTGTAAAGGTTACCTTGACTTTGAATTTTTTTATCCTTTCTTTTTTTGTTTTGTGTTTGATGCATAGGACATTTATAGATGGAATATACCTTTCAGGCTATTTCTTCCTCTCCCTCCCGTCGAAACCCACCTCCCTGAAATGCCTGCTGCCTCCTCAGTGCCAAAGGACTGTCAAAGCAAAAATGTAATAATGGTATCATGTTCTGTTTCTTTAAGGAAGTCAAAGGTGCAAATTACCTTTGCAGCTTCAGTCTTCTGATGTCTGCAACTTTGAATTCCTTCAAGGAAGTGACAATTTAGATATTCCATTTACTCTGCCCCAAAGGATGGACTTTGCACTATTTATCTTAGCCGTCTCCCACTGGAGCCAAAAACATTTCCAACTTCATAAGTTTCACTGCTTCTCCTCTTTTATATATTTTTTCACTCTTTGCTGAAAACATTTTCATTGTTTTTTGAAAAGTGCATTCTAATAGTTAATTTGGGAGCCCATGGCCTTAACACAGAAGAAAGAATACCGAATACAATGATAGGATATCAAACAGCATGGTCTCTTCCTTGTGTTAGAGTGTGTAAATTCAATACGCCGTGTTGACTCAGTATTCAGGAATGCCAAAGAGAGGGATTATTTGGTAATGTATTTTCATGGAGACCCGGGGACGGTGCTGTACTACAGAACACCTCACTGGCCCGGGCTGGGTGCAGGTAGGATGGAGATAGACCGGCCCCACCCCCTTGGTAACTGCTCCTTGCAGATCAGCTGTTTGAAGCTCTCCGGGCACCCAAGACGTTCTTGTTCAAGCCTGTGCGCTTCCCCTGCTAGTTCTCATCTCCCTTCTCTCAACACTTTTTCCGTGACCCTCCCTGAAAGGGAGTTTTGGGCTTGGCTCACCCTGGAAAGCAGCTAATCCCACATGTTGCCAACAGGTTAATGAAGGATGAGGCTGAAGGAGGAAAAATTTGCCAAACTCCTTTCCCCTAAAGAGCCGCCCCTTCAGAAACACCTTAAAATCCAACCTCCCGGGTCAAAGACATTTGAAAAAATGACGAAGACAACATCAAACTATAGTCTCCTGTTCAACGCATGTTCACTTCCTAAGACATTAAAGAAACCAGGCCGGGTGTGGTGGCTCATACCTGTCATCCCAGCACTGTGGAGGCCGAGGCGGGAGGATCACCTGAGATCAGGAGTTCAAGACCAGCCTTGCCAACATGGTGAAACCCCCTCTCTACTAAAGATACGAAAAAATTAGCTGGGCATAGTGGCAGTCACCTCTAATCCCAGCTACTCAGGAGGCTGAGGCAGCAGAATCACTTGAATCAGAGAGGTGGAGGTTGCAGTGAGCTGAGATCGCACCACTGCACTCCAGCCTGGGCAACAGAGCAAGATTCTGTCTCAAAAAAAAAACAAAACAAAAAAACAAAACAAAAAAACCCAATTAACATTCTTTCACCCCGGATTTCCTAGTCTTTATTTTAGCTATAACAAGCAAAACACCTCTTTCCATCCTTCTAAAGGCGTGTTCCTGAAACCTCACTTGGAGAGTTTTACGGAAGTGCAGTGAGAGGAGTAAGAAATCCTGAGCACACAGCCAACTAACGCAGGAACAGAAAACCAAAGACCCCATGTTCTCCTTCATAAGTGGGAGTTGAACAATGAGAACGCATGGACACAGGGAGGGGAACATCCCACACCAGGGCCTGTCGAGGGGTTGAGGGGGCAGGGCAGGGAGAGCATTAGGAGAAATACCTAATGTAGATGATGGGTTGATGGGTGCAGCAAACTGCCATGGCACGTGTATACCTATGTAACCAACCTGCACATTCCGCACATGTGCCCCAGAACTTAAAGTAGAATTAAAAAAAAGAAACAGAAAGAAATCCTGAGCACGTAGTAGGAACCACGGTCTGTGATCACGTGCATCGTGCAGTCTGTGTGTGCACACTGGGATGTTTCCAGCATAAAAGCTCCTTCGAAAATTCGTTTCCATCCTGACATTTTAATGCACATTTTTTATGCTTATGCTATTCTCAGCTCTCACGTGCAAATTACACCAGCAGGTGCCCCGGGTCCCTGTCACTATTGAAAAGTAGAATGTCAAATGCATTTGTACTTTTTGCCAATGCAGGCTAAAGAAAATGACTCTTAAATGGATAGCTTTAGTCTGCCAAAATGGCTGTCAAGTTAGACGCTAGGATAAAGGGAAAGTCCATCAAAGGCACATTTCAGATTTGTGTTATACTTCTCTTAAAACCTCTTTTTTTTTTTGCAGTTAATAGTTTCTGGATAATCCTACAAGTCACCGTATCTTTTTTTTCTTTTTCCTTTTAGCTGGAAATAATGACAGCAAAGCCAAACAAGTTGTAAGCAAAATAAAAGAAGAAACCTTGAACGACAAAGGTACCGAGAGATACTCCAATGGCTTTTTTTTGTTTTTTTTTTTCCTTGGGACAGGTCGTTTGCGTGGTTCATGGCTGAGCTTCAGTCACGTGCCAGGTGGCATTTGGGAGAGATGGCTCTGATTTTTGCACTCTTCTTTTGGGGATTTCTGGCCCCATCCTAGAGCAGGAGATGGTCAAGGCAAGGCGAAGATAGCATCACTCAGCTCTGACATCTGCTAGGAAAGGCATGCAGATGTGCTGGTAGCTTGCACTCTTACTCAAATGTGTGTTCCCCAGGGAACAGGAGCCATTGTCCTTTCCTGTTGACCTCCAGGGCACATGCCAGGAGGTGCCTCTGCTGGTTGGGAGTTCTTGACTTAAGATAAATCAGGCCGGGCGCAGTGGCTCGCGCCTGTAATCCCAGCACTTTGGGAGGCTGAGGCGGGTGGATCACGAGGTCAGGAGTTGGAGACCAGCCTGGCCAACATGGTGAAACCCAATCTCTACTAAAAATACAAAAATTAGCCAGGCATGGTGGCATGTGCCTGTAATCCCAATGACCCAGGAGGCTGAGGCAGGAGAATCGCTTGAATCTGGGACTGCCTGGGAGAGAGAGCAAGACTCCGTCTCAAAAAAAAAAAAGAAAGAAAGAAAAAAAGATAAATCAAACAGGAATATGCTTGCCCTTAAGATTTTCGACCAGGTGCTAGACCAAATTCTGGTGTGCTCTTTCTGTCTGTTCACACTAAGGAAGGTGTGCACACAACTTTCTAATATCCATCTAGATTCTCAATGCTCTGTCCTTTTATTTATTTATTATTTTATTTTTCATTTGTATACAGGTAGGGAGTGCAAGTACAGTTTTGTTAACATGGATGAATGGCGTAGTGGTGAGGTCTGGGCTTTTAGTATAGCTAACACCTGAATCACGTACATTGTACCCGAGAGGTAATTTCTCATCCCTTGCTCCTCTTCCACCTCCCACCCTTCTGAGTCTCCAGTCTCTGTTATTCCACTCTTTCCATGTGGACACATTATTTAGCTCCTGCTTATAAGTAAGAATGTAGGAGGTCGGTCAGGGTGGTAGGAAAAATTGTAGAAGATGCAAACCTTCTTGGGAGGCCAGAAGGTTTTGCAAATGCTCCCGAATAAGATTTGGCTGAAGGCAGCCAGATTCTCTTATCCAGTGCCTGAAAGCTTAGGTTAGATAACGAGGGGATGTAAAGAAACTGATCTAGATAAGTTAGTTTGCTTAGGCCTCAGAACCTGGCCTTTAATCATCCACGCACAGAACTACTCTCTCCCTCTCTCCGGGTTGCGGGGGACGACCATATGAATTGCCCACGAATGTGTTGACTCAAGGCCTTTGTCATTAAATGTATACTAAATAAAGGCCCACAGCAGCAGCTTGTCAAAGCCGTGGCTGCTGACTCTTTAAAACACCCTCCTCAGTGTCTGTGAGTGGCCCCATCCCCTAGCCCACGCTTTCACTGGAAATCTGTGTCTGAGTGCATTTGTTCATCCGTCGCTCAGCCAAAGTCTGCGAGTCGGACCCAGCAAATTGGACTCGACCTAAGAAGAATGGTATTTGACTTTCGGTTTCTGAGTTATGTCCCTTAGGGTAATGGCCTCCAGTTCCATCTGTGTTGCTGCAGGAGATAGGATTTCCTCCTTTTTCATGGCTGCATAGTATTCCATCAGGTATAGATATATATTTTCTTTATGCTTTCGTGTGTTGTTGGACACCTAGGTTGTTTCCATATCTTGGCTCCTGTGAATAGTGCTGCAATGCACATAGGAATGCAGGCATCTCTTTGATACACTGATTTCATTTGCTTTGAGTCTGTGCCTAGCAGTGGAATTGCTGAATTATGTGGTGCTTTTATTTTTAATGATTTGAGGAACTTCTGTACTGTTTTTCATAGTGACTGTACTAATTGACATTCCCACCAGTGGTGTACAAGGGCCCCCTTTTCTCTACACCCTCCCCAACACTTGTAATTAACTGTAGAAATCATCATTCTGGCCAGCGTGGTGGCTGGCACCTGTAATCCCAGCACTTTGGGAGGCCGAGGCGGGTGGATCACCTGAGGTCAGGAGTTCGAGACCAGCCTGGCTAACATGGTGAAACCTCGAGTCTACTAAAAATACAAAAATTAGCCGAGCGTGGTGGCAGGGGCCTGTAACCCCAGCTACTCAGGAGGCTGAGGCAGGAGAATTGCTTGAACCTGGGAGTTGGAGGTTGCAGTGAGCTGAGATCACACCTTTGCACTCCAGCCTGGGTGACAGAGCAAGACTCTGTCTCAAAGAAAAAAAAAAACAAAAAACAAAAAAACACAAACAAAAACACCCTTCTGACAATATCCATTTTAGCTGGTGTGAGATAGTAGCTCATGGTGGTTTTCATTTGCATTTCCCTGATGATTAGTGATGTTGAGTACCTTTTCTTTGTTTATTTTTTTGTTTCTTTTTGAGACGGAGTCTCACTCTGTCACCTAGGCTGGAATGCAGTGGTGCGATCTCGGCTCACTGCAACCTCCGGCTCCCAGGTTCAAGCGATTCTTCTGCCTCAGCCTCCTGAGTAGCTGAGATTACAGGCATTGGCGACCATGCCCAGCTAATTTTTGTATTTTTAATAGAGACGGGGTTTCGCCATGTTGGCCAGGCTGGTCTCGAACTCCTGACCTCGTGATCCGTTCGCCTCAGCCTCCCAAAGTGTTGGGATTACAGGCGTGAGCCACTGCACCCGGCCGACTACCTTTTCCTATAAGCACCTTTTCATATACCTGTTGGCCATCCAAATGCTAAGTGCTTTTCTCGGCCATGTTTATGTGTGGTACCTTATTTTTTTTTTTTTTTTAAATGCACATCCCTTCCTTGGCTGTTTGAATTTGAGATGGTGTTTTGAGAATTCCCCCAAGTGGGGGATGGGTGTATTTTGATTCTTTATTTGTTTGTTTGTTTTTTGATACAGGGTCTCACTCTGTTGCCCAGGCTGGAGTACAGTGGTGTTATCTCGGCTCACTGCAACCTCCGCCTCCCAGGCCCAAGTGTTTCTCCTGCCTCAGCCTCCCCAGTAGCTGGGAATACAGGTGTGCAGCACCACACCCAGCTACTCTTTGTAGAGTTGGGGTTTTGCCTTGTTGCCCAGGTTCATCTTGAACTACTGGGTTCAAGCGGTCCATTCACCTCGGCCTCCCAAAGTGCTGGGATTATAGGTGTGAGCCACTGTGCCTGGCCTATTTTGATGATGATGACGATTATTATTAATATTTTGAGACAGAGTCTCACTCTATCACCCAGGCTGGAGTGCAGCAATGTGATCTCGGCTCACTGCAACCTCTGTGGCCCGGGTTCAAGCGATTCTCCTGCCTCAGCCTCCCGAGTAGCTGGGATTACAGGCGCCCACCCACCAAGCCCGGCTAATTTTTGTATTTTTAGTAGAGACGGGGTTTCACCATCTTGGCCAGGCTGGTCTTGAACTCCTGACCTCATGATCCACCCGCCTCAGCCTCCCAAAGTGCTGAGATGACCGGTGTGAGCCACCGCGCCCGGCCTTGATTCTTTTTAAAGCCATGAGAGTGAAATGAACGCTACACAGAGCTGAGCCTGGTCACTGCCTATGCCCCTATCTCCTCCTTTCTACCCTAAGCTGCTGTGAAACACCTTGTTATTACCTCTGCCAAGGGCTGGGGTATGTTGAAATTTCATAGCCGGCATTGCAGGATCCCTGTGATTTTCAGGAACACACTCCCACAGGGGCTCCCGCTCAGCCAGAGCCAAGCCCAGTGTACAATGTCACAGAGTGGCAGCAGCCTGGCCAGATCTTTTCTCCTCATTAGGATCTGCCTTGGGGCAAAAGGATTGGTTTCTGTGTAGAGGGATAATTAAGGAATTAGAGACACCGAGGGGTTGAGGAGGAATTATTTAATTATTTATTTGTACCGACCCCGTCGGATTAACATTTAAAGGACCGAGTTTTGAACAAAGAGTTTGGTTATTTTTTAAGTATTTTCTGGGGCGGGGGGAGCTCTGTGTAGGGGGAAGTATATCATAGAAGTGAGAAACAAAGACAGTTGTTTAATTGACACATGCATTATATTATTTTTTATTTTTTAAGGAATAATATGTTTTATGATTTGAGATTATTTGCCTAGTGACTTTGTAGCTGTATAGCTAGAGAAGCAGAGTTTTTATAATGCTTGGGAAAGGAAGAGACAAGGCTTATTAGCCGCAGAAAAACAGGCAGTTAATTTTTAATGGACTTCAACTCTTTCTCTTCCTCAGGGAGAACTGGGTTTTCTTACATACAACTGAGTTTTTGCTTATACATTTTTAAATTTTTTAAAATTCCTGTTTCATCTGTGACAGGGGGTCCTATTCCCTGCCACCTTGGCCCTTCCTCATTTGCAGCAGGTTTTCAAAGGAGTGGCATTTTCTAACACAATGAATCCAAAAGTGCCTTCTCCGGGCCTGTCACATCAGCATTTCCGGGGAGTAAACAAGAAATGCAGGTGCCCAGGGCCCATCTGTGAATCGGGGCCTCTGGGGGTGGGGGCGGGGCCCTGGAATCTGCATTCTTATGAGGCCGTTAAATGATCCCCACGCACCTTCAAATGGTACACTTGCTGCTGTCCTGAAGGCATTCAACCATCAATCTGGAGCCCAAAGAGAAGTTTCTGGAAACTGACAAGTGAGGCATTCTTTTCTCATGACTTTTTGCTTTTAATCTGAACGGCTTAAAAACTATATATAGTTCCCCAAAATTCACATATGTGATCCACCTAACCAAAATGACAGCCAAGAAACAATGATTTATAATCACCAACTTAATTTTATTAGATTCTGAAAATGTTTCAGATTTAGACAACATGAATTTTGACCAATAATTTTTTTTTTTTTTTTTTGAGACAGAGTTTCACTCTTGTTGCCCACGTTAGAATGCAGTGGTGTGATCTCGGCTCACTGCAACCTCCGCCTCCCGGGTTCAAGCGATTCTCCTGCCTCAGCCTCCCGAGTAACTGGGATCACAGACACCCACCACCAGGCCCGGCTAATTTTTTGTATTTTTAGTAGAGATGGGGTTTCACCGTGTTAGCCAGGCTTGTCTCAAACTCTTGACCTCAGATATCCACCCACCTCAGCCTCCCAAATTGCTGGGATTACAGGCGTGAGCCACTGCATCTGACCACAATAACAAATCATTGCTGTTTTCTTGGAAAAGTTTGTGTAGGATATTCGATCATCAGTTTTTAAAGTGCAGTGTTTTGTGGACAAGTAGCATGACGAATACATGATTTGTCCCCACCATTAAAAAATGTTAGTTTACTTGTGGCATATAAATACCGATGGCCTTTAAGCCAATCTTACAGAAAAGAAGAAAAGAATCGTTTGCACTTTCTGTGGCTGTTTAAAAGCTTTACCATCTTGTAAGAGGGTGGGAAGATGGGGTGTGCCGTGGAGATGGTTAATGGGCACAAAAATATACTTTAGATAGAATGAGTAAGGTCTCGTATTTGATAGCACAAAAGGGTGACTACAGTCAACAATCCTTCATGGTCCATTTAAAAATAACTAAAAGTTGCTGGACATGGTGGCTCACCCCTGAATCCCAGCACTTTGGAAAGCCGAGGCAGGTGGATGACTTGAGGTCAGGAGTTCGAGACCAGCCTGGCCAACATGGTGAAACCCCGTCTCTACTAAAAACACAAAAATTAGCCGGGCGTGGTGGTGCACACCTGTAGTCCCAGCTACTTGGGAGGCTGAAGCAGGAGAATTGCTTGAATCTGGGAGGCGGAGGTTGCTGTGAGCTGAGATTGTGCCACCGCACTCCAACCTGGACTACAGAGACTCCATCTCAAAAAAAAAAAAAAAAAAAAAGAAACCAATTAAAGGTGTAATTGGAATGTTAGTGACACAAACAAGTGATGAATGCTCGAGGGGATGGATACCCTATTTGCCCTGATGTGAGTATTACACATTGCATGCCTGTATCAAAATACCTCATTATCCCATAAATATATACACCTACTATGTGTGCATGCAATTTTTTTTTTTAAAAGAAAAAAGTTTAAAATCTGAACAGGTTTGGACATTCATCAGTGGTGGCCCTGGTATGTCCACTGCTGGGGGACTCTCCAGTCCTTGATAGATGATGCTGAGGCCCAGCTGGGTGGGGACATTTCGGCTGTGGCCATTGAGCCTTTACCTCGACTGAGTCTGCCTCCAGGCTCAGGAGCCCCCAGATCCGTGGTCCAGCCACACGGCAGGGTCTGCCCTCTGCCTGTGAGTGGTATCTGCTGCCCACAACATCTTATGGACGACCACAGCTCCTACAGGCATCCCTTCCCTCCTCAGCTGAGACCTGGGCACACCTCCACCAAACCCGTACGAACCTTGCTCTAAATTGTGCTTCTCTCTGGACTGGCCTGCACCTGCTGGAACTCTGATTCTTGTCCCCACAACCTCCAGTTGCCCAGCGAGGGACAGAGGGAGCTGAATGTGCTGTTTCGTTCTTGCTCTGCTGGGATCCCGGCATCGGGTAACCCCGGTTCAGCCATGTGGATTTATTTTTAAGCAAGTCGGCTCACGTCCTGACTCCAGGAGCACAGATTGCTGTGGAGTGTCAGTCACACAATTATTTCAACATGCTGGGCGCCTGTCTAGCCTGCTTTCCCCTCCTGCCTTTCCTGCTCTCAATTCTCTCTCCTTAGTTCTTGGGTTAATACTCTGGCCTGCGTACTTTGTTGTACTTTCTGTCTTTGAAGTCGTGCTCCTCTGAGATCCCACGCTGGGCAGGGCATGGGAAGCTACGTGCCCACAGAAGGACGGCTAATTGAGCTCTCGGAATTATAAATGCGCGATTGTTTTCAGGAATCTGGGCGAGATGGCTCATTTCCCAAGCTAGGGATTTTCCAGGGAAGCGTTTTCACTCCTTATCATCACTTAGCCATTGTGCCCACACCTTTGTGGCTCCTGGGTAATTATGTGCTGATGAAAGCTGTCTTACTTAGAACAAATAGTCTCATTCACTTACCGAAACTCCTCCAAATATAAATAAATCAAACCCCAGCGGCTCCATGAAAGCAAACACAGAAAGGCATAGCCGTGTTCAAATGAACTCAGATGGGGAGAGATAACCAGTTAAACACTCTTAAAAGCACTGAAGGCAGGCCCATTCTCTTTTGCAGCTCGTACATGCCATGGTGGAACCCCTGTAATCCTAAATCCTAAGAGAGATCAGACTAGACACGTGCTGTGTATCCTCTTTGGAAGGTGCACGGTGTCCTCATTTTCTATAATGATTGTGTAACTTTAATCACAAACAGCATCTTCTGATTCATTTAGCTTCCTGGCTAGGCACGATGGCTCACGCCTGTCATCCCAGCTCTTTGGGAGGCCTAGGCGGGCAGATAGCTTGAGGTCAGGAGTTTGAAACCAGCCTGGCCAACACGGTGAAACCCCATCTCTACTAAAAATATAAATGTTAGTCAGGTATGGTGGCGGGTGCCTGTAATTCCAGCTACTCAGGAGGCTGAGGCAGGAGAATGGCTTGGACCCGGGAGGCGGAGGTTTGCGGTGAGCCGAGATCATGCCACTGCACTCCGGCCTGGGCGACAGAGAAAAACTTCATCTAAAAAAAAAAAAAAAAAAAAGCTTCCCAAATATTATTCTTCCAGTAGCTTGTGCCGTCTTCATCAGAAGAGGGACTAGCTGTTTGGTTCATGTGCTTCCACCCAGTTATTAGACCAAGTTTGTTTTCAATAAAAGAAATCACTGGTCAATGCCTTCTGTAATTGATGGGTGTCAAGAAGGTAAATTTTGCACGCCGCCTTGGGAGGCACTTCTACTTTGAAAATAGATCTTTGTGAACCATCATTTTGGCCTATCCAATGACCTATAAAATACTTGAATTTATCATGAAAACAGAATACTGTGAAATCAGGATGAAGGTTGATAACAGGTCATCAACGTAATTGAGTAGATTGAAAATACAAGAGTCAGTGAAGTGTAGGATGAATGCTTGTTGTCAGTAAGAGAGCTCTTTGTGACCCGTTCCACGTGCAAGAGATGAGGGTTGTTGTTTTGGGAATACTCACCCTCCTCATCGCCTGTCCCTGCTAAAATCAGAGCTTTGTGAGGGCAGAGATGGATTCTGTGCACAGGTATCTTCTGAGTCTCTGATTCAGTGCCTGAAACACAGTGGCTCCCGAGACAATCTACCTCAGTGCCTGTTTTACAGGCTCACCTGTGACACATGACTGGGACATATGTTATTCATGATGACATGCAAGAGTCTCTGTGTAGGTGTCTACTGGTCTTCATCATCAAACAGAGCGAGAACTCCAAGTCAGGAGGCAGACATATCTTGGGGCAAGAAGACACCTAGAATTTTTCTTCAACCTGTAGACTTTCGGATTGGGTAGAAGGATTGTTAAGGAGGTTGCGAAACTTGGAAAAAGGATGATGTGAGTGTTGATGGCATGGAATTCTCCCCACACCCCTGGGTATCCATTTTTAATGTACAGAATTCTTGTGACATGATTTTAGGGCATAGAATCCTTGAGAGATCATGTCTGTGCTGAAGTTGGAATCACAGCACTTTATGTGAATGTGTTCGCCAACGATTAATTATGTTTATTCCCGAGAAGTTTTAACCAGATTGTGGATGTGTATTCTGGTTCAGCATATATTCACAATTACCTTTGTTTTTTGTTTTGTTGTTTTGGAGACAAGGTCTTGCTCTGTCACCCAGGTTGGAGTGCAGTGGTGTGATCATAGCTCACTGCAGCCTCAAACTCCTCAGTAGGAAACTTCCTACCCCAGCCTCCCGAGTAGCTGGGACTAGTAGCATGCACCACTACACATGGCTAATTTTGTTTTTTAAATTTTTTCTAGAGACGGGGTCTCATTATGTCGCCCAGGCTGGTCTCAAACTCCTGGCCTCAGGCGATCCTCCCACCTTCCAAAGTGCTGGGATTACAGGTGTAAGACACCAAGCTCAGCCCCTGTGTTTTTTTGTTTTTTTTTTTTTTTTTGCTTTTTGTTTGTTTGTTTTGAGACGGAGTCTTGCTCTGTTGCCCAGGCTGGAGTGCAGTGGTGCGATCTTGGCTCACTGCAACCTCTGACTCCCTGGTTCAAGCCATTCTCCTGCCTCAGCCTCCCAAGATGCTGGGATTACAGGCGTGCACCATCACACCCAGCTAATTTTTTGTATTTTTAGTAGAGACAGGGATTCACCGTGTTAGCCAGGATGGTCTTGATCTCCTGACTTTGTGATCTGCCTGCCTTGGCCTCCCGAAGTGCTGGGATTACAGGCGTGAGCTATCACGCCTGGCCTGTGTTTTTTTTTTTTTTAAACATAAAATGGCCCTTATTGACTGTTTTCCTTTTCATAGTGAGTCCTTTTGTTTCTTTCATGTTTTCGAGAAGTGTCCCGAGTCAGGCTGTAGACAGGCATATGCGTAGATAAACAGATAGACTCATGCGTTCCTGTTGGTAATTTTTCCTTGAGGTCACCGTATGTGTTCTCATGCGTGGGCATAGATGTCCCACACTCTCTGAAAGTTTAATTGGTCCTCGCAGGTCTCATTGTGTTCCTTCTCTTCAGGGCTCTTCATATCTCAGGGTGGTAATAACCTTCCAAATCTCTATGGCCGAGGCGGGCAGATCACGAGATCAGGAGATCGAGACCATCCTGGCTAACACAGTGAAACCCCGTCTCTACTAAAAGTACAAAAAAAATTAGCTGGGCTTGGTGGCGGGTGCCTGTAGTCCCAGCTACTCGGGAGGCTGAGGTGGGAGAATGGCGTGAACCCGGGAGGGGGAGCTTGCAGTGAGCCGAGATCGCGCCACTGCACTCCAGCCTGGGCGACAGAGCGAGACACCGTCTCCAAATAAATAAACAAATAAATAGAAATACAAAAATTAGCCAGGCATGGTGGCGCATGCCTGTAATCCCAGCTACTCAGGAGGCTGATGCAGGAGAATTGCTTGAACCTGGGAGGCGGAGTTTTCAGTGAGCCGAGATCGCACCACTGCACTTCAGCCTAGGTGACACAGCGAGAGTCCATCTCAAAAAAAAAAAAAAAAAGGAATATGCATTTAACGTTTCTTTGCGTCTTTTCGTGGCTCGATAGAGCCCAGTATATATTTTCACTAAAGAGCAAAAGCGCCTTTCCATGGGCCTTTAAATACTTAAGAATAAGCACATCCACACATGGGCCTCCCAGATAGTCGGTGCGTTTCCAGAAATGACGGTGTGTTGTGGTTCACAGCCTCTTTGGGTTTTGGTCTCCAACTCCCAGCCTCAGGCGATCCTCCTACCTGAGCCTCCCAAAGTGCTGGGATGACAGGCACAGTGAGCCACCATACCCAGCTATTTTTTGAAAACTCATAGTCTCATATTTCCCTAATATTTAGGGTTAGGGCTAGAGTTAGGTAGAGGTTAGAGGTGCTCTGACGAGTGTTTCCCAAGTCTTGGAGCCCACCTCTGGCCAAATCACCGCCTGCAGTTGGAAGCAAGGCTGTTTCTGAGATGAGTCATACTGACATATTTTGCTATTGAATGCACGGTTGCCCTGATCCATTCAGAGATACTTCTGCAGCACCATGAGCTCCTTAATCCCTGCCCCTGTTCACCTACAAGGGTCTGCAAGCGAGCCCCCTTCCGCAACTCATCTCTTTGTGTAATCCTTCTCCAGACCCTGAATATATCAGCCTGTTGGCATATGTATCTATGTGTGTGAGATCAGCCTGTTGGCATATGTATCTATGTGTGTGAGATCAGCCTGTTGGCATATGTATCTATGTGTGTGTGTGTGTGTGTGTGTGCGCGCTCTGAGGATATTGGCACTTTTTAATCTTCTTCCATTAGACGACAAGGCTGAGGGCTTCCACTTGCCGCCGACTTGCCGGCACACCTGGGGCATGTTTAATAAGTAATTGTGTATGGTCTGCTTTGCAAATGCGCTACTTCACATTTTTCCATCCCGCCCGTAACGAGGACTGGGGTTGTTTTACAAGTTAATTACCCAAAAGATTATCGAGTGGGTTTAGAGGCACAAATTCTACGCGCTATTTAACAGATAAGAATTAATGAGTGTTGTTAAAATGGGAAAAAAAAAATGTCTCTGTCAGTGGAGGGAGTTATCTCTACCCTGCCTGGCTGTGTTACTGTTGTTTTTTTTTTTGTCTGTGAATGAGAACCGAGGTAGAGAAACAAGGCGAGTGTTCTCATTGCTCTTCTCCCACCAGAGCACAGGCGGCACGTGTGAAAATAACTATTCACAGTTTCTTTCCCACCGTGTCTCAAGAGGGGTGAATGCCAGGGTCGGGCCCGGTGGCTCACGCTTGGAATTCCAGCACTTTGGGAGGCTGAGGCAAGAAGATTGCTTGAGGCCAGGAGTTCGACAGCAGTCAGGGTGGCGTAGAGAGACTCCGTCTCTACAAAATATTAACAAATCAGTCTGGCTTGGTGGGGTGCACTGTGGTCCCAGCTACTCGGGAGGCAGAGGCAGGAGGATCGCTTGAGCCCAGGACTTCAAGACCAGCCTGGGCAACATGGCAAGACCTTGTCTCTACAACTAAATAAAAAAATTAGTCAGGCGTGGTGTGCGTGCCTGGAGTCTCAGCTACTCAGGAGGCTGAGGCAGGAGGATCGTTTGAGCCTGGAGGTCAAGGCTGTGGTGAGCCATGATCGCGACCCTGTACTTTAGCTTGGGCGACAGAGCAAGACCCTTTTCTCTAAATAAAAATGGAATAATAGTAAAAAGAAGCTGAATTTCAGCTGTTTTCAGCCATTCTCTTTATTCCTTCAAATGCCTCTGTATTCTGCAGTATCCTTTAAAATATTAAGAGCAATTTTAGCTAATCAGGAGGCTGAGACAGGAGAATCGCTTGAACCCAGGAGGCGGAGGTTGTGGTGAGCCGAGATCGTGGTATTGCGCTCCGGCCTGGGCAACAAGAGTGAAACTCCATCTCAAAAAAAAAAAAAAAAGGGAGACACAGATAAGGCCATGTGGAGACAGAGACTGGAGTGATGCGGCCATCAACTTAGGGATACCAGGAGCTGGAAGAGGCAGGAAGGATGCCCCCTAGAGTCTTCAGAAAGTATCAGACACCTTTGGGAGGCCAAGGCGGGTGGATTGCTTGAGGCCAGGAGTTCGAGACCAGCCTGGCCAACATGGTGAAACCTCATCTCTACTAAAAATACAAAAATTAGCCAGGCGTGGTGGCGGGAGCCTGTCATCCCAGCTCCTCGGGAGGCTGAGGCTGGAGAATGGCTTGAACCCGGGAGGCTGAGGTTGCAGTGAGCTGAGATATTGCCAATGCACTCCAGCCTGGGAGACAGAGCATGATTCTGTCTCAAAAAAAAAAAAAAAAAAAAGAAAAAGAAAGAAAGCATCAAACACAATTGCAAGGGGTTGAATGCTGATCTCCAAAAGATATGTCCATGTCCTAATCCCCAGAACCTGTGAACAGGAACTTATTTGGAAATAGGGTCTTTGCAGATGTAATTAGTTAAGGATCTCAAGATGAGATCATTCTGGATTAGGGTGAGTCTTAAATCCAATGATAGCTGTCCTTGTAGGAGACAGGAGAGGAGACACAGACACAGAGGAGAAGGCCTTGTGGAGACAGAGGCAGAGACTGGAGCGATGCGGCCACAAACCCAGGGACTCCTGGAGCCCCCAGGAACTAGGAGAGGCAGGGAGGCCCCTTCCTGAGAGCCCCCGGAGGGAGCATGGTCCTGAGACACCTGATCTCAGACTTTTGGTCTCCAGAGCCAGTAGAGGATGAATTCCTGTTGAATTAAGTTCCCCAGGTGTGGTCATTTGTCACAGCAGCCTCGGGAGACGAGTAGAGACATAGATCGGGCAGGAATAGAATATCTAGTTGCATTGCTGATAGAGGCATACTACAGCTGTGTGACATGGTGTGACATCAGCACACTGTGTCCTGACCCCAGGTCATGGGACAAGAACTTGGGGAGACATAGTCACCCCCCTGGCTCATCAGGGAAATGCATGGCTTCCGGTAAGGTGACCCTGAACATGCGTGTGTCACTCTGAAGTGTTGGCCTCAGACTCTGCCTCCAAATTCCAAGTCCCCTGGGGGTTCCGCTGGAGGTGGACACGCCCCCATCCATGCCTTCCTTGCAGTCACGGGAACATCCCTTACTCAGTCCTCTCTGGTCACCGATGGGGCATGACAGGAGGCGCTACATGTTTCCAAGCAGCCGGGGTTCCAGATGCTTGGAAATTCTGCGTGCGGCCTCTCTATGGGAAAAAGGGAGGTCTGCCAGGAGTGGAACCCCAGTGAGAAAGTAAACTCAAAACAGAAATGAAAGGTTTCTAGACACAGTACAAGCCCCCTTTGTGGTGCGCGCAGGGACTTACGTAGCTCGGCCCCTCCACCCCCTGGCTGGCCCCAGTGGCCGAGGTGTGTTGGGTGCTGATCTGTGACACCCTCCTGCTTCACACGGGCAGGGAGGGGTTCTGGAGAGAGTGCAGGTGGGCTGGAGAGCTGAGCTCCCTGCAGCAGGTGAGTGTGAGTCCTGAACAGACTCGTTCCAAGGAAACAGGTGCAGGAAAGAACACAGGTCTTGGAGGAATCAGGGTTGAGCCAGCCCTGTGACCTCGGGCTGTCCTTGGCCCCAGTGATGGCTTATCTTTACCTGGAACTTCAACCTCTTATCATCACCTATAACGCTGACCACTGATCCTCACCTGGGACTCGAACCTCTCCCCATCACCTGTAACTCGGACCACTTGTCCTCACCTAGGACTCCAACCTCCCTCCATCACCTGTAATGCTGACCACTCATTGTCACCTGGAAGTCCAACCTCTCATCACTACCTGGAACTCCAACTCCAACTCTTTTTTTTTTTTTTCATGAGACGGAGTCTCACTGTGTTGCCCAGGCTGGAGTGCAGTGGCACAATCTCGGCTCACGGCAACTTCCGCCTCCCAGGTTCACGCCATTCTCCCGCCTCAGCCTACTGAGTAGCTGGGACTACAGGCACGTGCCACCACGCCCATCTAATTTATGTATTTTTAGTAGAGATGGGGTTTCACCATGTTGGCCAGGACGGTCTCGATCTCTTGACCTTGTGATCTGCCCGCCTCAGCCTCCCAAAGTGCTGGGATTACAGGCGTGAGCCACTGTGCCCGGCCCCAACTCCAACTCTTATCCTCATCTGTAGCTCTAACCTGTTATCCTCACGTGTAAATGTGATGTCATCCTCACCTGTAGCTGTAATCTCATCTTCACCTGGCATTCTGACCTCTTACCCTCACCTGTAGCTCTAACCGGCTATCCTCACCGATAGCTCTGACATCATATCACCTGTAGCTGTAACCTCGTCCTCACCTGGAACTCTGACCTGGCTGACGTGCTTGCAGCATGTGGGTGGGGCCGATTTCCCTCCTGCCCCAGCTCCCTGCTGCTGCCAAGTCCAGGTCTCTCCTGTGGGGCAGGTATACCCCTCCCTGGGTCTCAGCTGGGCCCACTGGCCTTCACAGGGAGCCTGCTGTCTGCACTCCCATTCTTGTCCTGCCCTCTCCTCCGGCGCCCTGTCTGCTCAGATGTCCTCATGGCCTAGGCACCTGCAGCCGCCAGGACAGTGAGCCCGGACACAAGCAGCCTTCCATCCGGTTCCCCCTGCATCTGCCAACCCATCTTGCCCACAGCCAAGCTTCTGTGAAAAATCATAGCAGTCATGAAACTCATGAGTGCTCGGGCAAATCAGAAAAATTGCCAGGGATCCTACCATGGACACGCGTCCCTGAACCCCGAATGGTCCCTGTGTGTTGTGTGTGCGCAGGAGACGGGCAGGTCACTGTGTGTCGTGTGTGCAGGAGACAGGGAGGTCCCTGGGTGTTGTGTGCCCAGGAGATGGGGAGGTCCCTGTGTGTCGTGTGTGCAGGAGACGGGGAGGTCCCTGTGTGTCGTGTGTGCAGGAGACAGGGAGGTCCCTGGGTGTTGTGTGCCCAGGAGATGGGGAGGTCCCTGTGTGTCGTGTGTGCAGGAGACGGGGAGGTCCCTGTGTGTCGTGTGTGCGCAGGAGACAGGGAGGTCCCTGTGTGTCGTGTGTGCGGAGGAGACGGGGAGGTCCCTGTGTGTCGTGTGTGCAGGAGACGGGGAGGTCCCTGTGTGTCGTGTGTGCAGAGGAGATGGGGAGGTCCCTGGGTGTCCTGTGTGCGCCGGAGACAGGGAGGTCCCTGTGTGTCGTGTGTGCGGAGGAGACGGGGAGGTCCCTGTGTGTCATGTGTGTGCAGGAGATGGGGAGGTCCCTGTGTGTCATGTGTGTGCACAGGAGATGGGGAGGTCCCTGTGTGTCATGTGTGCGCAGGAGATGGGGAGGTCGCTGTGTCTTGTGTGTGCACAGGAGATGGGAGGCGTCAACACACATTTCATGCTCACATTTCCATTCACTGTCCACACTGCACACTTGTACATGGTCAATGTCTAGACATTTATAGTTTGTTTATGTGTTATATTCATCTACTTTATATATATTCATATTTTAGGTTCATATATTTATTGTATACACATTTATATATTTGATCTATATTAATATTTTAGGTTTATATACTTACTATATATTTATTATTATAAAGCATATACATTAAATTATAATGTATTATTATATATGATGTATTATGTTCAATGTATATATTAAATACATAATGACATAATATGAATTTATATTATAATGTATATACATATGAATTCACATTCATATGTATGTTACATTTTGTAATGTATATATATTTTGTAACATATATTTGTAATATAAAATTATATACAAGATATACTTTGATATATTTTATTTATATATTTATATATAAAACATAATATAATATGCACAATACATTTTGTGTATATATAAAATATATATTACATAAATATATAATGATAACTATAAATTATATTTGTGTCATTATAAATAATTTATATTAAATATTTATGCTATTCTATAAATAGTATATATATTTAGTATATATTTTTATATCATACTTTATAATAAACACGAATTTATAATATATAAGTATAAACTATAGTTATTGGATGTTTAATTTTATGTATATATTATTTTATATATATCATACTATGTAACACATAATATATAATAAATATAATATATAATAAGCATATATCATAATATATAATATAAATAAACATTGTAACATATAATATATAATACATATATATCAGTATACAAAATATAAAATTAATATATACATAAAATTATATACCTACTTATTTTATTTTATTTTTTAAGAGACGTGAGTCTTGCTGTGTTGCCCGGGCTGGCTTTGCCTCTGGAACTCAAGCGATCCTCCCACCTCAGCCTCTCGAGGAGCTGGGACTACAGGCGTGCACCATCATTTCCTCCTAAAATTGTATGTGCTGCATATATAAAATGATAAATGCTTTACATATACTTTATGAAATTATATATGCTTTAGATAAAAGCAGAGGTTTCATAAAACTGAACTGTAACATGCATGGCATTTAAATCCCATTGAAGTGAAGGGCTGGGCTTGAGGGTAGCGTCACCCTCCCTGACCGTCATACCCATTTCCATTTCCCCAGGAAGGACCAGGATGCTTTGTTTAAGCAGCACGTTTGAATTGCTGGCATTGCCTGTGGCCTCCCTGTGGCGAGGGATGGTGAACGACAGCGTTTTCCCTCCTCCTTCCTCACCTTGCAAACCTCACTTCGTTGGATGCATAATTGCTGACTCATCCCCATGGATCGCCTTGGACTGTGTAGCAATCACTGCTCTTTTCACAGTCCCTCTTGAATTTCTTTCCTTTTTTTTTCTTTTAGTCGGAATTTCGCTCTGTCACCCAGGCTGGAGTGCAGTGGTGCAATCTTGGCCCACTGCAACCTTCACCTCCTGGATTCAAGCAATTCTCCTGCCTCAGTCTCCCCAGTAGCTGGGATTACAGGTGTGTCCCACCACACCCAGCTAATTTTTGTATTTTTAGTAGAGATGGGAATTTCACCATGTTGGTCAGGCTGGTCTCGAACTCCTGACCTCAGGTGATCTGCCCACCTCGGCCTCCCAAAGTGCTGGGATTACAGGAGTCCTCTTGAATTTCACTTAAGATGGGCTGGGTGCTTCGTGGCAGGCTTTTCACATCAGCCTTTGCATTTCTGGGTGTGACCCCTGTGTCTGCTGCCTTCTATATTCCTCTCTTACTTGGCAGGATTCCACCCCTAGGTGGGTTTATTTTTTCCCCCAGTCCCCTGCCTGCCTGAGAATTCCTACCTATGGCTCCTCCTGGGAAAGGGCTCTTGGCTGCGTCTTAAATCTTGGGTTATGCCTTGGTGCATACTGGTGTTGCACCAGTGGTGCAACGTTGCCGGCATCCCTTTTGCCTGAGGGCAGGTCACTTGTATTCTGTCTTGAAGGAACCTGACTTTTAAGGAGGGACGACCTGGAGAGTTTCTTTATTATTGAACTTCACTGACTCCCTGAGGATAGACTGATCCTGCCAAATTCTTGGGTCCCCAATAAAACAGCATTCCATGAAATAAAAAGTAAGAACAGATGGCACCAGGAATTCCACTGCTGGGTATATACCTCAAAGAATTGGAAACAGGGTCTCCAACAGATATTTGCACAAACCACGTTTGCAGCAGCAGTATTACTTACAATAACCCGAAGGTGGAGAGAAACTGTGTCCTTCCAGAAGCAAATGGATAAGCAGAATGTGGTATATCCAAACGGTGGAATATTACGCAGCCATAAAAAAGGAAGGGTATTCAGATGCATGCTGCGATGTGGGCTAACCTTGAGGACATTAATGCTAAGTGAAATAATCCAATCCTAAAAGGTGGAGAGAAACTGTGTCCCTCCACAGGCAGATGGATAAGCAAAATGTGGTGTATCCAAATGATGGAATATTACACAGCCATAAAAAAGGAAGGATATTCAGATGCATGCTGCAATGTGGGCTAACCTTGAGGACATTAATGCTAAGTGAAATAAACCAATCCCCAAAGGACAAATACTGTAGGATTCCACTCCTATGAGGTACACAGAGTACCTTTAAATTTTTAGAGACAGAAAGTAGAATGGGGTAGTTATAGGGGTTGGGCGAGGAAAAGGTGGGGACTTAATGTTTAATGGGAACAGAGTTTCCATTTGGCAAGATGAAAATATTTTGGAGATGCATGGCAGTGATGGCTACATAACAATATGAATGTATTTAATACCACTTTACTGTGTACGTAAAAATGGTTAAAATGCTAAACTTTATGTGATGTGTATTTTTCCACAATTCAAAATTATAAAAAAAAAAAATGCAGCTGGGCATGGTGACTCATGCCCGTAATCCCAGCACTTTGGGAGGCCGAGGCGGGTGGATCACCTGAGGTCAGGAGTTTGAGACGAGCCTGACCAACATGGAGAAACCTCCTACTAAAAATACAAAATTAGCCGAGTGTGGTGGTGGGCGCCTATAATCCCAGCTATTTGGGAGGCTGAGCAGGAGAATCGCTTGAATCCGGGAGGCAGAGGTTGTGGTGAGCTGAGATCGCGCTATTACACTCCAGGATGGGCAACAAGAGCAAAGCTCCATTAAAAAAAAAAAAAAAAAAGGTTAAAATGCTAAACTTTATGTTATGTGTATTTTTCCACAATTAAAAATTATTTTAAAAATGAGGCCGGGCACGGTGGTTCATGCCTGTAATCCCAGCAATTTGGGAGGCTGAGGCGGGTGGATCACTTGAGGTCGGGAGTTCGAGACCACCGTGGCCGACATGGCGAAACCCCTTCTCTACTAAAAATACAAAAACTAGCCTGGCATGGTGGCTCAAGCCTGTAATCCCAGCTCCTCGGGAGGCTGAGGCAGCAGAATCACTTGATCCCCGGAGGCGGAGGTCGCAGTGAGCCGAGCTCATGCCACTGCACTCCAGCCTGGGTGACACGGCAAGAATCCATCTAAAACAATAAAAAAAAAATAAAATAAGTAATTGCCCTTAAATTGGAAATGCTCAACAACCCACGTGATTCTGAATCTGAAAAGGCCAGATCAGGGAGATACAGAGAAGAATAAATAAAACACAAGGCAAGAGAAGATTTATCTCTGGAGCATCCTTGTGCAGCTGTTGGTGAGTGACTCGTGTGTGTCAATTGATCATACACTCATGAGTGGATAAAAGTACCCATGTTTTAGGTCAAGAAAGACTGTGACACACGTGTCCAGCACGCCAAGCACACAGCCCGTGGGGTGTCATCCATGTGCTGTGCCCTCCCTGTCTCCCTCTCCCAAGCTCCTGCATGGAAACAGAGGTGGACACGAAACCTACCTACCCACCCCCTCCCAGGTTACCGCCATCACTTTCATCACAAAACAGAGTCTGGATTCAGGGATTCAGCCCAGGGCAGGAGCTCAGGTCATCTTCCTCTTTCAGAAGGGAGATTTCTGCTGCCTCTGGCCCAGCCTTTCCCTCTCTTTCCCCCCATGAGCTGCCATTGGAGCACCCACCTGGGTGCAGGTGAGAGAGAGGAGGAAGGAGACCAGGTGACCCCTTCCTGGCTGGTTACCCTATGTCCCGGTAACAGACGGTTAGAGCTGATTCTCATGGCAGAAGCGTGACTGCCAGAGACCACCTGCGGCGCTTCTAATGCTCTGGTCCGTGTATTCGTCTTGTAGCGTTGCCGAGTGTTACAGAGATCCACAGACCAGGTGGTTTAAACAAAAGATACTTATTCTCTCACAGCTGTAGAGGCTACATGTCTGAGGTCACCGTGTCGGTAGGCTTGCTTTCTCTCTGGCTTGTAGACGCCGTCTTCTCCCTGTGTCCTCACAGAGTCCTTCCTCTGTGTGTGTCTGTGTCCTCATCTCTTCTTATGAAATGTCTTAGTCTATTTCAGGCTGCTGTCACAGAATACCATAGGCTGGATGACTTACAAACAAGACATTTATTCTCCCACAGTCCTGGAGGCTGGATGTCTGAGATCAGGGTATGGGCAAGGCTGATTCCTCCTGAGGTCTCTCTCCTGGACTTGGAGATGCTGTCTTCTCCCTGTGTCCTCACAGAGTCCTTCCTCTGTCTGTGTCTGTGTCCTCATCTCCTCTTCTTATGAGATATCTTAGTCCATTTCAGGCTGCTATCACAGAATACCATAGGCTGGGTGGCTTAGAAACAATAGACATTGATTCTCCCACAGTACTGGAGGCTGGACATCTGAGATCAGGGTATGGGCAGGGCTGGTTCCTCCTGAGGTCTCTCTGCTGGACTTGGAGTCACCGTCTTCTCCCTGTGTCCTCACAGGGTTGTCCCTCTGTGTGTGTCTGTGTCCTCATCTCCTCTTCTTATAAGGAGCCAGTCCCATTGGATCAGCCTCCCCCCAACCCCCTGAAACCTCATTTTACCTTAATTGCCTCTTTAAAGACCCCATATCCAAATATGATCACATTCTGAAGTCCTAGGGGTGAGGATCTCAATGTATGAATTTGAGGGGGACAAAATTCAGCCCATGACAACCAGTGTTTCTTTCCAAGGGGCTACCTGAAAACGTTTCTGCAACCCCCAGCAAGCTGGCATCGTCTCAGCATCTTGCCATGGGGTTCCCTCCATGCCTCCCAATGGCTCCTTTGAGTAAGACCAAGGACAAACCCATACCACTCCCTTCTCCTGTTTTCTCTGCCCTCATTGTCCCCTCAAGCCCTGAGGCTGATCAGTCCCCACAGGACCACAGCTACCCTGTAGCTATGAGCAGTGGCTTCCTCAGGAGTGAGCCAGGCTCCTGTACCCCATGCCTCCCTGGCACAGAACAAGATTTAGGTTCTGGGGGTACCTGAGGGAATCCCGTTTTTTTTTTTTTTTTTTTTGCAGGGGAGGGTGGAGGCTCAGAGTAGGGAATTTTTTTTTTTTTCCGCCTGCTGTGAGGAAATTCACCCCTGTTATCTGATCCATGCACACTCTGGAGCTGGCTGAGGTCCTAACTATTTCCTCTGTAAACTTCTGCCCTTGGAATGGGTTCTGCGATGATTAATACTTAGAGTAAACTTGATTGGATTGAAGGATGCAAAGTATTGATCCTGGGTGTGTCTGTGAGGGTGTTGCCAAAGGACATTAACATTTGAGTCCGTGGGCTGGGAAAGGCAGACCCACCCTTAATCATCTGGGTGGCCACCATGTCATCAGCAGGCCAGCGAGGCTAGACTATAAGCAGGCAGAAAAACATGAAAAGACTAGACTGGTCTAGCCTCCCAGCCTGCATCTTTCTCTGTGCTGGATACTTCCTGCCCTGGAAAACTGGACTCCAAGTTCTTCAGCTTTGGGACTTGGGCTGGCTTCCTTGCCCCTCAGCCTGCAGACAGTCTATTGTGGGACCTTGTGATCGTGTGAGTTAATACCGAATAAATGCCCCTTTCTATATATCTATCCTGTTAGTTCTGTCCCTCTAGAGAACCCTGACCAATACAGGGTCCGTTCCTTACCCCCTACATCTATAACCCTGCTGCCTCAGTTGATAGGGAAGCAGAAAGAGCCGCTTTTTTAATGTTTAATTTTATTAAGTTTGCAGTTTCCCAGTGCCCAAACTCATGTTGATTTCAAAAACTGTCCTTTTAAAGCATGTGGGCAGGGTGACAATTCATAGCAGGTGACAAAAATGTTTTATAAATAATATCCATGGAAATGGAAGCTGTCACTGTCTGCAGAATGCAGCCAAAATATTCAGAAGATTTGTATCACTCTAAGTTCTCGTGCTAGTAAGAAATAAAAAAGCAAATGATGACTGGGCCTCTAAGAAATAAAGTAAAATTAGGAAGCAGGAGTATGAAAATAATGACATTGTGCAGAAATAAATACAAAAGGAAAGTAGCAGAGAAGCAAAAAAAAAAAAAAACAAAACCATCAATAGTAGTTTCCTTAAGAAAAATGAAAGAATAATATCCCACCATTTATTCATCCTTCATTCCACACACAAAAGAAGCAAGGACAGATTAGCATGAATTGGAACAAGAAAGAGGAAATAACATGTAATAAAAATATGATTTAAACTTATGCAAAAAAAGTAATTTATTCTTAACTCAACTAACATATTTGATTACCTCCTCCTGGGCAAAGGATGAAAGGCTGTCTTATTGCAAAAAATTAGAATTTTGCTAAATTCATGCAAATGGAATTACAGATCACAGATAAAACAACATGCTGAAATTTCAACCGTCAGAACTTTCCACCAAGTGTTCCTAATGAATTCTTGAATATCTGGTTGGGTGCAGTGGCTCACGCCTGTAATCCCAGCACTTTGGGAGGCTGAGTTGGGCGGGTCACCTGAGGTCCAGAGTTCGAGACCAGCCTGGCCAACATGGTAAAACCCTGTCTCTACTAAAAATACAAAAATTAGCTGGGTGTGGTGGCACAGGCCTGTAATCCCAGCTACTTGGGAGGCTGAGGCAGGAGAATTGCTTGAACCTGGGAGGTGGAGGTTGTAGTGAGCTGAAATCATGCCACTGCACTCTAGCCTGGTGACAGAGCAAGACTCCGTCTCTCTGTCTCTCTCTTTCTTTCTCTCTCTCTCTCACACACAAAATAAATAAATAAATAAATAAATAAATAAATAAATAAATAATTGATTATCTATATACTTTTTCCAAACCATCAAGGACAATCTAGATCAAGAATCTGGAAACTGTTGACCCTGGAACATATCTGACCCTTAACTTGTTTTTCTCATTAAAGTTTTCTTGAAACACAGCCATATACATTCATTTACTTATTGCCTGTGACTGTTTTTGCCTTAGGTACACAGGTTTGAAGAGTTGCAACAGAGACCTTATGGCCCACAAATCCTAAGGTGTGTAGTATTTGGCCATTTATCCAAAAATCTACTGGCTGTACTCTTCAAAGTGACCAGAGCCACCAACCTGTGTCTGAGTAAACCGTTTTACTCCCAAATGAACACTTTTCAAAGAAGCATCATCGGCTGGTTCTACTTACCAACCTAAATAAAGAAAATCTAGTTTAATCTTATCCACTGAATAGACTTCCAGGTTAAAAAAAAAATTACTCCTGACTTAGTTGCAACTCATCCACCTGTAGACCAAAGGATGCTTCTCATTAGGTAACAGGGAAGCATTTGGGATAATTCAACATCCATTAATTAGTAAACCTCTGAAGGAATTAATCTCATAACAGCAGCCGGAATGCAGGAGATGCTCTACACCCGAATCACAAATTGAATGGATGGCAAGTGGATTTTCCCTCCTAAGGCTGATTGATTGGTTCTGGCTGCCAGCACCCTGAGATAAGAATGATCCTGCAGCAAGGAATAGTCATCAATTAGTGATGCCTGCTGTGGCTATGGAATGAGAATTACGGTCTGTGTGCTACATTCTTTCCATTCTTGGTGGTTCTCTCATAAACCACAATAAAGCATGCATCTTTTAAAGCAACCATGACCATCACTAGCCACCACCATAGCCCTCTGGCTGATTCATGGATGAATTTCCAAATTCAAATGTGAATTTCCAGTGTCACATTTGTGTTCCTTTCCCTAAATGATGATGATGGTGATGATGGTGATGGTAATGATGGTACTTGTTGGATGTGTGTATGTATGTATACACACACACACATATATATACACATACACACACACACACACACACACACACATATATATTTGAGATGGAGTCTCACTCTGTCGCCAGGCTGGAGTGCAGTGGCACAATCTTGGCTCACTACAACCTCCGCCTTCCAGGCTCAAGCGATTCTCCTGCCTCAGCCTCCCGAGCAGCTGGGACTACAGGTGCGCAGCAAATGTATATATATATATTTTTTTTTCTTTTTTTTTTTAAATTTATTTATTTTTTATTATTATACTTTAAGTTTTAGGGTACATGTGCACATTGTGCAGGTTAGTTACATACGTATACATGTGCCATGCCGGTGTGCTGCACCCACCAACTGGTCATCCAGCATTAGGTATATCTCCCAATGCCATCCCCCCCCTCCCCCCACCCCACAACAGTCCGCAGAGTGTGATGTTCCCCTTCCTGTGTCCACGTGATCCCATTGTTCAATTTTAAATACAACCAAATAAGCTTGCTTCTTGCCTGTGTGGAATTTATAGTCCAGCTGGAGTGAGGAATTAAATAATCATCCACTTATCTGAGTGAGCAAAATTATGATAAACACTCTTAAAAAGTGTCCTTTAACAGCTGTCTTGAAAGATTCAATTCCATCCTCTCATGAGGTTCCACCCTCTGGGTTTGCTTTCTCCAAGACCTACCCTCCTGTGTGGCTTCTTTCTTGACTGTTTCTTTTATGCTGCCTTTCCTCAGCGTTTCCTCGTAGCATCTCACACTACACACCTTTCCTTAGGTCTTGCAACCACGTCCGTGTTCTCCAAAACTCTGCTCTGCTAGTTCTCACCAATATATTTGTTTCCAAACTCCTGCCTCCTACACCTCCCTGCTTCCACAGCAAGTGCAGGAATGTATTTGACATTTTCCTTCTCTCTGTGTAAGTCAGTGGACTACCATCCTCTCAGCTGCCTACAGTCGATCCTAGAGTGTCTGAGATGCTTTTCTCCACCTTGGCATTCCTCTCCCTGGTGGCAACTGAGAGCTCTGTAGACCACCTACATGCTTATCAAAAACACTCCGTCATTTTCGGTATCACTCCCTACAGCAGGTCACACCTATCCCTTACCTGCTTCATAACTCTGCTTCCTGGCTAGTCTCTCGGCTTCCAGGTTTCCCTCCCTGAACTGTCTACACTGCAGTCAGAGAGATCCTGCTGAGTCACACTGTTGTCTTAACCTGCTTAAACCCATATGGGCAGAATGCCCTTCATGCCTCCACCTGTTTGCTGTAGCTGTGCACATGTGGTTCCTGGTTCTTGAGAATTCTTCCCCTCCTCTGCCTCCTGACCATCCAAGTCCCTTTCATGCTAGTCTTCTCAGCTTTTATAGCATGCTGTAAAGCAGTTGTCCTGAAGCCAGGTGCCTTACAACTCCCTGCTCCCTTGGGACACTTAATCCCTTCTATCGCCAACCTCACACATTGTATCGTTGGTTGTTTAATTGTGTCACTGATTTCCCCAGCCCCATGATGGTCCATGGAACATCACTGGGATATAAAAAGTACTGGCCAAAGGAATAAAATACAGGAAAATATTTTGTGCATTGTGGGATCTCATGAATGACAGCTGCCACAATGATGATGTTGATGATAATGGTGATTCTGATGGTGATGATGGTTGTGATGATGGTGGTAGTGATGATGGCAATGATGATGACAGTGGTAATGGTGATGATGGTGATAATTATGGTGATGGTGATATAGTAATGACTGTGATGATGGTGATGATGATGATGATGGTGATGATCATGACGATGGTGATGATGGTGATGATAATGATTATGCTGCTGCTGCTGATGTGATAATGATGATGGTGATGGTGATGATGGTGTTTATGATGGTGATGATAGTGATGATGAAAATATTGGTGTTGATGATGCTGATGCTGATGGTGATGATGATGGGGTGATAGAAATGATAATGATGATGGTGATGAGGATGGTGATAGTGATGGTCATGGTCATGTGATGATGATGATGGTCAGTGATGATGATGGTCATGATGGTGATGACAATGGTGGTGGTGATAGAAATAATGATGATGGTGATGGTGGTGATGCTGCTGCTGCTGATGATGGTGATGGTGGTGATGATGATGATGGTGATAGTGGTGGTAATAGAAATGATAATGATGTTGGTGATGGTGATGATGCTGCTGATGATGGTGATGATGGTGATGGTGATGATAGAAATGATAATGATGGTGATGATGGTCATGCTGCTGCTGCTGCTAATGATGGTGATGATGGTGATGGTGGTGATGATGATGATGATAGTGATGATGATGGTGATAATGATGATGGCGATGATGATGGTGATGATGGTGGTGATGACGGTGATGGTGATGATGATGGTGATGATGGTGATGGTGATGATGATGATGATGATAGTGATGATGATGGCGATGATGATGGTGATGATGGTGGTGATGATGGTGATGGTGATGATGGTGATGATGGTGATGGTGATGATGATGGTGATGATGGTGGTGATGATGGTGATGGTGATGATGGTGATGATGGTGGTGATGATGGTGATGGTGATGATGGTGATGATGATGGTGATGGTGATGATGATGATGGTGATGGTGATGATGATGATGGTGATGATGGTAGTGATGATGGTGGTGATGGTGATGATGGTAATGATGATGGTGGTGGCTATGATGTTGGTGATGGTGGTGATAGTGATGATTATGAAAATGGTAATGATTGCTGTTCATGGATTCTGTGAAAGAACCAACCCCTTTTCCTGAAACAATCTTGCTCTACTTGACTATCTGTGGACTGTTCTGTGTCCTTCCTCCCAAGTCTCTGTGGCTTGCATGTCCTCCTTCTGGTGGGTAGGTTGGCCAAGTCTGACACCCTCAACTCTGCCCTCCTTCCATAGCTAACAACAGCCCTAATATCCGAAGACTCAGGGATTCTGCTGTCAGCTCCCTTGGCTCAGCCAAGCAAAGACTGTGCTTGTGGGAGCCCAGAAAGAGGGAATGGAATACTTCTCCAGAGAGTAGGTGTTGCATTTCTGAATATTGTAATTAAGCCAGATGAGTCTAGGCAGGCCCACAGGACCTCTTCAGGCATCTTCTTGTCCATGTTTTGCACTATGCAGGAGAAGTGATGCTGTCAGCCATGCAAGCCATGGCCCCCCATACAGCAGACTCTCCTACGAAGCCATGTAGCTTGCAAACAATGCCATGTTTTAGTTTCATGTTACCCCTCCTGCAGATTTGCACATCTAGGCTCTGCTTTTAAAATAATCATGCACCTGTCAGGCTGGAAGTTTTCAGGAAAATCCTTCTCACCTCATGTGTGTTGCTGGCTTTTTTTTTTTTTTTTTTTTTTTGGTTGTGGCTTCCTGAGAACGGGGATGCTACAGCCTGCCACTGTTGGAACAAAGGTGCTTTTAGTCACTCTACCTGTCGCTCTTAGGGAACGTACGTGCCCTCAGGGGAAATAGGCGGATGCACATTTTGCTTCTGGCTCTTTTGCCTCTTTATTTTTTTCATTTTTATTTTTTTGAGGCAGAGTTTCCCTCTTGTTGCCCAGGCTGGAGTGCAATGGTGTGATCTCGGCTCACCACAACCTCTGCCCTCTGGGTTCAAGCGATTCTCCTGCCTCAGCCTCCTGAGTAGCTGGGATTACAGGCATGCGCCACCATGCCCAGCTAATTTTGTATTTTTAGTATAGACGGGGTTTCTCCCTGTTGGTCAGGCTCACACTTCTGGAGGCTAGAAGTCCAAGATCAAAGCATGCCACGTTCAGTGTCTGGTGAGGACCTGCTTCCTGGTTCACAGACGGTGCCTTCTCACTCTTGTCATCACGTGGCAGAAGGGTCGAGGGAGCTCTCTGGGGTCCCTTTTAGAAGGACACTCATCTCATTCCTGAGGCCCCACCCTCATGACCTCATCACGTCTTAAAGGGCTCCACCTCTTAACACTATCACCTTGTAGGTTATGTCTCAAGACAGGGATCTGGGGCCGGGTGTGGTGGCTCACGCCTGTAATCCCAGCACTTTAGGAGGCTGAGGCAGGCGGATCACCTGAGGTCAGGAGTTCGAGGCCAGCCTGGCCAACATGGTGAAACCCTGTCTCTACTAAAAATACAAAAATTAGCCGGGTGTGGTGGTGCACACCTGTAATCCCAAGCTACTCAGGAAGCTGAGGCAGGAGAATCGCTTGAACCTCGGAGGCGGAGGTTGCAGTGAGCCGAGATCACACCACTGCACTCCAGCCTGGCGACTGTGTGAGACTCCGTCTCAAAAAACAAAACAAAACAAAAAAGCAAAAGCAAAAACAAAACAAAACAATAACCAAAAAATGGGGATTTCGAGAGGACACAGACATTGAAACCATAGCACATGGCGACCTTGAGTCTTTGAGTTTACGTGTGCAGCATGAATGCTCGGTGGTGATGGATGAAGAGAGAGCAAGGGGGGAATGCCACACACTTCTAAACTGTCAGACCTCGTGAGAACTCACTCACTATCATGAGAACAGCAAGGGGGAAATCCGCCACCATGATCCAATCACCTCCCACCAGGTCCCTCCCTCAACGCTGGGAATTACAATTCAACGTGAGATTTGGATGGGGACACAGAGCCAAACCATAACAGCAGCAATAGTAAACTCATACATCATATCTATACATCTCTCCTGAACCATCCCTGCTAGACTCAGTAGGACCTGTAGAGACCATCTTTCCCTGTATTCCTTCAACATCCTGCTTCCTTATCATATGTTTCTAAGGTTGTATAGTTCCATGAGAGATTACAGCTACTTTTTTTTTTTTAAGACATCTCATCCTGCAATGCAGTCTTTTTTTTTTTTTTTTTTTTTTTTTTGAGACGGAGTCTTGCTCTGTAGCCCAGGCTGGAGTGCAGTGGCATGATCTCAGCTCACTGCAACCTCCGCCTCCTGGGTCCCGGTTCAAGCAATTCTCCTGCCTCAGCCTCCCGAGTAGCTGGGATTATGGGGACGTGCCACCATGCACAGCTAAGCTCTGTATTTTTAGTAGAGACAGGGTTTCACCATGTTGGCCAGGCTGGTCTTGGACTCCTGACCTCATGGTTTGCCCGCCTCGGCCTCCCGAAGTGCTGGGATTACAGGTGTGAGCGAATGGGCCCGGCCAATGCAATCTTTTAGCAGGAAATCCATCCAGGATTTTGGAATCAACAGAAAAGAAAAACCTTGGGTTTTGGAGTCTCAGATTCTGGCGGTCCTGCTAGATGTGTTGACGAGTGTGTTGGGCCAGTTAATTACCCTCATAATTGTTCTAATTGCTTTTATCCTGCAAATATCCCTCTGTGTTCATTAGCTTTGCCATTACGACTGAGCCCAAGTGGATTAAAGAAAGCCTGTGATGCCACCAGACATCATTTTTGTTTCGGCAAAACAGCTTTCTCTAGGAATCTGGCCTTAATGTGTTTTGGATGCCCCCCACACTGACAGGGTCCTTCATGAGCTCTCCTGGATAGAATAACACAAAAAACTCAAAGCCCATTTTAAGAAACAGCAGCATCATTAAAAAAAAAAAAAAAAAAAAAAAACCTCCACTGCCAGCCCACAGGTCGCTCATTTTCTTCCTAGAAATAAATTCCAGTTGAGTGGACACGTCTTTTACGGGGGAATTTCAGTCGTGATTGATCATCCGTTGACCTGTTTAAAATGATTGTCAAGTGACTGGGCTATCCTCATTCACAGATAACTCAGGCAGGCTCAGATTAATTAACCCTTCGTTTGTTTGCCATGTAGGACTAATTAGTCATCATCCATCTACTGGGAATCAGACGTCATTGGCACAGTTATCAAGGACAGGGACTTTGCCGGCTTATCATGTAGAAGGAAGAATTAATGGTGTTGGTGATATATGGTCTTGTGTAGTGGTAGGGTATTCCTCTCCCTCTTTTCTTCATGTTCTTCTTTCTTTGCTTGCCACACATTCATTTACAGGGGACTCTGAAGCCACGTGAGGGTTAGGGGCACGTGAAGACCTTGTGTAACTCTTCACTCCCCCAAAACTTAACTAATAGCTTGCTGTTGGCTGGAAGCCTTTCCTGCAACTAGACGGTCCCATCTAGGGGTAATGGGAGACAGTGACAGATCATGAGGCAGGTCATTATTGCACCAGACACAAATAATATAGTAATATTCTTACAATAAAGTAAGCCAAAGGCCGGGCGCGGTGGCTCACGCCTGTAATCCTAACACTTTGGGAGGTTGAGGCAGGCGAATCACCTGAGGTTGGGAGTTCGTGACCAGCCTGACCATCATGGGGCTACCCCGTCTGTACTAAAAATACAAAAAAGTAGCCAGGCGTGGTGGTGCGCACCTGCAATCCCAGCTACTCGGGGGGCTGAGGTAGGAGAATCACTTGAACCTGGGAGGTGGAGGTTGCAGTGAGCCGAGATCGCACCACTGCACTCCAGCCTGGGTGACAAGAGCACAACTCTGTCTCAAAAAAAAAATTAATCAAGAGAAAAAAATATAGTATGTATTATATACTATATTCTTACAATGAAGTAACCTAGAGAAAAATATAGTAAATATTCTATATTATATTCTTACAATAAAGTAAGCTGTGATTTTCCTTAAGAAAATCGTAAGGATGAGAAAATATCTTTACTGTTTATCAGGTGGAAGTGGCTCATGATAAATGTCTTCATCCTCGTCATCTTGACGTTGAGGAGGAGGAGGAAGAGAAGGGGGTGTCTCGGGTGGCAGAGGCAGAAGAAAATCCACATATAAGGGGACACCCATTCAATTCAAGCCCGTGGTGTTCAAGGGTCCACTGTCATAGGGGAGGCTCAATATTTTAGTTTCCTGGAGCTGCTGCGACACAATTCTACAAACCAGCTGGCTGAAAGCCACAGAAGTCAAATCTCTGACAGCTCTGAACACCAGAAGTCCACAGCCAAGGCAGGCTGACCACCTGGTCATCCAAGGGCAGAGCCCGTGTCAAAGGACATTCCTGGAGCAGAAAGCCAACACATCCGGGTGGAAATACAACCTTCCAGTCACTAAGTATATTTGCAAATCTCCAGCAGGTCACTATTGCACCAGACACAAAGAATAAGCGTTCAGTAAGTTGAAGTATTGTGTGCACACGGCCGGGCGCAGTGGCTCATGCCTGTTATCCCAGCACTTTGGGAGGCCGAGGCAGGCGGATCACGAGGTCAAGAGATCGAGGCCATCCTGGCCAACATGGTGAAACTCCATCTCTACTAAACATACAAAAAATTAGCCGGGTGTGGTGGCACGCACCTGTAGTCCCAGCTACTCAGGAGGCTGAGGCAGGAGAATCACTTGAACCCGGGAGGCGGAGGTTGCAGTGAGCTGAGATCATGCCACTGCACTCCAGCCTGGCGACAGAGCAAGACTCTGTCTCAAAAAAAAAAAAAAAGTATTGTGTGCACACTGCAATTATGAAATGCATTTCATTCTGGAGTATTAAGGCAGGGCTGTGCCCCTTGCGGAGGCTCTGGAGGAGGATCCTCCGCTATCTCTTCTGGCTTCCTTCGCTAGCTAGCAATCCTGGTTGTTTCTTGTCCTGTAGAACAGAGGACTCCAACCCCCTGGCTGTGGACTGGTACTGAGCAAAGCTTCATGTGTGTTCACAGCCACTTCCCACTGCACGCATTACCGCCTGAGGTCACCTCCTGTCAGATCAGCAGTGGCATTAGATTATCAGAAGATTGAGAACCCTATTGGGAAGTGGGCAGACCAGGGATCTGGGTTGCATGCTTCTTATGAGAATCTAATGCCTGATGATCTGCCACTGTCTCCCATCACCCCCCGGATGGGACCATCTAGTTGCAGGAAAACAAGTTTGGGGCTCCCACTGAGTCTACATGGCAATGAGTTGTATTGTAGAATTACTTCATTTAACGTATCATCATAGAAATAAAGTGCACAATAAATGTCATACGCTCAAATCATCCCCAGATCCTTCCCCCTGCACTCACAGTGACTGTCTTTCTATGAAGACAGTTTTTGTGTGTGTGTGGAAAAATTGTGTTCCATGAAACTAGTCTCTGTGCCAGAAAGGCTGGGGACGGCTGGTGTAGAAGCATCAATACAGTATCTGCCTTTGTCGTGGCCATCTCTGTGTCTCTATGCCACAGTGTTCCTCTTCTCCTTTTTTTTTTTTGAGATAGAGTTTTTGCTCTTGTCACCCAGGCTGGAGTGCAGTGGTGTGATCTCGGCTCACTGCAACTTCTGCCTCCCGGGTTCAAGTGATTCTCCTGCCTTAGCCTCCTGAGTAGCTGGGACTACAGGTGTGCACCACCGTGCCCGGCTAATTTTTGTATTTTTAGTAGAGACAGGGTTTCACCATGTTGGGCAGGATGGTCTCAGTCTCCTGACCTCAAGATCTGCCTGCCTCAGCCTCCCAAAGTGCTGGGATGACAGGCGTGAGCCACTATACCCGGCCTCCAATGTTCCTTTTCTTATAAGGACACCAGTTATTCAGTTAACAGCGTACACTACTCTAATGCAACCTAATTGTATGCAATGACAACCTAGTTGTATGCAATGACACTACTCTAGTGCAACCTAATTGTATGCAAAGATCTGATATCCAAGTGAGCTTTCATTCCTAGGTTCTGGGTGGACACATCTTGGTGAGGTCACAGTTAAACCCACGTCACCCAAGGCTAGGGGCAGAATCAGAGTGGATGTTAGATCTCCAGGCTCTTGTTCTGGGAGTGTCATTCAAAGCCTTTCTTCATGGCCACCTGAATGACGATGTCATCCTCTGTGGGTAACAGACACCAGCATTGTGAATGATGCTGGCTTCCTTTGCTGGTTTCTTTCTGACATTTCCCTTTTGTGCTTTCGTTTATGGCAAGTGTAGACATACATGCACACTCAGACACATACACACACGCACACATGCACTCTTGCCATCTACAATGCCTCAGATCCGTACTGCAATTGGCCCCAGCCACCCTGTAGAATTTAGATTTAGCGAAAAAAGACTTCACGTGTTCGCCAAATTCTGCGTTTCCTCCTGAGTCAGAGGCACCTGCAATGCAGGCAGCGGGAAGTTGTTCTTCTACCAGAACAAGAGCCCCTAGGAAAATTGCCCCTTTTATTACTGTTTTGGTCAAAATATGGCAACAACATTGGTGACTCCAGGCGAGTTAGTAAAAATCACAGAGAGGCACATTTTGTGTCCGGGGAATGCTGGGATGCTCCTAAAACCCACTGAGCCGGCCGGGTGCAGTGGCTCCAGCCTGTCATCCCAGCACTTTGGGAGGCCGAGGCAGGTGGATCACGAGGTCAGGAGATCGAGACCAGCTTGGCCAACATGGTGAAACCCCGTCTCTACTAAAAATACAAAAATTAGCCAGGCGTGGGGGTGCACGCCTGTAGTCGTAGCTACTGAGGAGGCTGAGGCAGGAGAATCACTTGAACCTAGGAGGCGGACGTTGCAGTGAGCCGAGATCGCACTACTGCCCTCCAGCTTGGCGACAGAGTGAGACTCTGTCTCAAAAACCAACCAACCAGCCAACCAACCAACCAACCGACCAACCAACCAACCATCCCATCGAGCCGTTCTCTTGCTGACTCAAGAGAGAATAAATCAAGAAACAAACACACAAGGAAACCAAAACAACCCTGTAGCTGAGGATTCTCCCCTAGGAGGAAGAAAACGGGCATCCACACGGCGTGTGCCCAGCTAAATATAAACTGCGAGGGGAAGGGAGGAGACAGTGATGACAAGCCCCAGCCTTTTCCACAAGAAGAAAAAGGTTTAAGTTTTCAATGCTGCCCATGATATCCAAGAACGAACCGCATTTCACAGCCGCGGTGTGCATACCATACTTTCACTTATCGGAAGCTCATTCATTGTGTGATGTGCACTAATTACCCGCTGGAGATTTGAGAACGCACCTGCTGACTGGGAGGGCGTATTCCCACCTGATGTGGTTGCTTTCTGCACTCCAGAAATTCCCTTTGAGATGGGCTCCATCCTTCCATGACAGCGTGACCGCTTGTCCTGTAGTCACAGTGTTGTCTGAAGAATGCAGGATAGTTTATTTTCATTTTTGTTTATTTATGTTTCTGTTTTAGAGGCAGGTTCTTGCTCTGTTGCCCAGGCTGGAGTGTAGTGGTGCTATCTGGCTCACTGCAGCCTCTACCTCTTGGACTCAAGCGATCCTCCCACCTCAGCCTCCTATGTAGCTGAGACTACACATACATGCCACCAACACCCAGCTATTTTTATTTTTTATAGAGACAGGGTCTCACTATCTTGCCCTGGGTGGTCTTGAACTCCAGGGCTCAAGGGATCCTTCCACCACGGCCTCCCAAAGTGCTGGGATTACAGGACTGAACCTGGCCTTGCTGTGGTCTGTTTCGAGAAGACTTTGTTTTTCGTTTTTTGTTTTTTGGTTTTTTTGAGATGGAGTCTCGCTGTTGTCACCCGGGCTAGAGTGCAATGGCGTGATCTCGGCTCACTGCAACCTCCGCCTCCCGGGTTCCAGCAATTCTCCTGCCTTAGCCTCCCAAGTAGCTGGGATTACAGGCATGTACCACTATGCCTGGCTAATTTTTGTATTTTTAGTAGAGATGGGGTTTCTCCATGTTGGTCAGGCTGGCCTCGAACTCCCGACCTCAGGTGATTTGCCTGCCTCGGCCTCCCAAAGTGCTGGGATTACAGGCGTGAGTCACTGTGCCCGGCTGCTCACCCAGCTATTTTTATTTTTTGGATGGGGTCTCACTATGTTGCCCTGGGTGGTCTTGAACTCCTGAGCTCAAGGAATCTTCCCACCACGGCCTCCCAAAGTGCTGGGATTACAGCCCTGAGCCTGGCCTCACTGTGGTCTGTTTTGAGAAGCCTTTGTTTTTAAACAGAACCACATGTTGGTATTTCAGAGCCAACTCTTCTGTCAAGAATCCAAATCAGCCAGGCACGGTGGCATGCCTGTGTAGTCCCAGCAATTCCAGAGGCTGAGACAGAAGGATCATATGAGCCCAGGAGTTTGAGATCAGACTGGGCAACATAGTGAGACTCCATTTCTTTAGAACAATACTAATCACATGAGGGTGGTAGGCCATTGCCTGGGCTGGACAGGTGAGTAGAGGGCAGGTGTGCAGGTGCAGAGGTCTTTTTTTGTCCTCATTCCATGCACGACTGTTTCTCAAACTTGCTATGCTAAGATGCTACAGGAACTTACTTTACGTCACAATATCATTGACCTTTTTTCTTCCTTCCTGTGGCTTCCTCTTCCCCCACTCTCTCACCTGTGTGCCCTATTTTGGATAACCCTCCTCCTGGGTTCCTTTCTCACCATCTCCTGCTGTCAACATCTCACCTCTATTTCCTGGCCGGATGATGCCTCCTCCAGGAAGCCTGCCTAGGTTTCCTGTTGGCTTGCAAACTCTATGTGGGTGCGAACTGTCCACACCGCGTCAGGTACGCAGGGGCCCTTGAAGTATCACACGTTGGCAGCTCAGCCCTGAAAACTTCAGCTCCAGATACAACAACCCCTTCCCCTTTTCTCCAACCTGATAATTTATAACTCCAGGGTGACTCGGTTCAGCGGCACTGCAGTCCCTCAGCTCTTCCTTGCAGCAGCCGTGGTTTCCATGGGATGTAGAGGGTTATCCTGCTTGGAAAGCATTAGAGCTGGGGGACTAGAGACCCCCTAATTCTGGCGTGGGGAGAATGGAGGCCCCAGAGGAAATGGAGCAGGTGTTTTAGTGGAAAAGCTGGTTTTGAAATTCCAGCCTCGCCTCAGAACACAGCATAGCTTCCCTAGATGATGTTTCTTTTGAAAGGTCTCCTCTGAAAAGAGTGTGAGGATTCTGGCAAACTTGCAACAATCTCTGTAACGATGGGATGGCTGTGTCCCCACCCACATGGCACCTGGAATTGTAATGATTCCCACCTGTGAAGGGTGGGGCCAGGTGGAGGAAATTGAATCATGGGCGCGGTGACCCGCATACTGTTCTCGTGGTAGTGAGTGTGTTCTCACGAGATCTGATGTTTTATAAATGGAAGTTCCCCTACAGGAGCCATTTTGCCTGCCGCCGTGGAAGATATGGTTTTCGTCTTCCGTCGTGATTGTGAGGCCTCCCCAACCCCGTGGAACTGTGAGTCCATTAAAGCTCTTTTTCTTTATAAATTACCCCGTCTCGGGTATGTCTATCAGCAGCGTGAGAATGAACTAATACAGATGCAAAGTAGAGCCGCGGTTTATGAGCCACAAGAAATACCAACCCCCAGCCAGGCGCGGTGGCTGACGCCTGTAATCCCAGCACTTTGGGAGGCCGAGACCGGCGGATCACCTGAGGTTAGGGGTTCGAGACCAGCCTCGCCAACATGATGAAACCCCGTCTCTCTACTAAAAATACAAAAAATTAGCCGGGCAGGGTGGCGGGTGCCTGTAATCCCAGCTACTCGGGAGGCTGAGGCAGGAGCATCGCTTGAACCCGGGAGGCGGAGGTTGCAGTGAGCCGAGGTTGCGCCATTGCACTCCAGCCTGGGCAACAAGAGGAAAACTCCGTCTCAAAAAAAAAAAAACAAAGAAGGAAAAGAAAAGAAATACCAACCTCTCCCTTTCAAACCTAAAACCCCAACATGCTGGATGCTCTAGGGGGTCTCTGGGGCTTCGCTGCTTACGTTTGCCCTTGTTGGGTCCTGGGTTTTTATACTCAACGGGATCCTGGAATTTATGTTTCATTTGTGATTCGGTTCCAATTTGACACAACTGCCTGCCTTCCCCCAGCGGTTCGTGTGATAGACACACTCACGCTGTCAATCATGGAGCTGTGGGGCGCGTCTGGGAGATCTATAGCAAAACTCCATCCACTCCGGTTCCCTTGTATAATACAAAAGGGTTTTATCAGTCATGTATTTCGCCTCAAAACTAGAAGCATGGATTTCCCAACCCGATTCACCATTAAAATTGTGAATTTTTCTGGTTCTGGTAAGGATACGTTGACTGTATAATGGATTACATAACAGTGTGTTTTCTTCACCTTAGTAAGTAGCCCTGGGAGTTTGTAGCAAAGAAAGAAGAAACCCGAGCCTCAAGAAAATTTCTCCGACGATGGTGCCCAGAACAGGGGTCAGGGGTCACGTGTGATGCGCGAAAATTAAATAAGTGATAATTAAGGGAAAAGAAAAACTCAGTGCCTCATTGCACTAACTGTCTGGCAAGCGCCCAGTGTCCAGCTGTGGACAGCACAGTTGTCTGGGGCAGGGAAGATATGGACTTTCCTGCAGAGAGTGCTACTCTGCAGCAGTGAGGTACACCTTTCAGGGATGTCCCATGATGGTGACAGAGACACCAGATACACAGGTAGCAACAGTTTCATTTGAAAAGATCATTCCCACAGATGGGAGCTTTTGCAATAAGAGGAGGAGGGACTACTGTAATGGGAGGAGGAGGGGCTGTGATAATGGGAGGAGGAGGGGCTGTGATAATGGGAGGAGGAGGGGCGGTGATAATGGGAGGAGGAGGGACTATGGTAAGGGGAGGAGTGTGGACTATGGTAACGGGAGGAGGAAGGACTGGTAACAGAAGGAGGGACTCTGCTAATGGGAGGAGGTACTATGGTAATGGAAGGAGGGACTATGGTAACAGAAGGACGGACTATGGTAACGGAGGAGGGGCTGTGGTAACGGGGAGGGTCTACGGTAACGGGAGGAGGAGGGTCTATGGTAACGAGGAGGGACTATAGTAACGAAAGGAGGGTCTGTGGTAACAGAAGGAGGGACTATGGTAATGTGAGAAGGGGGGACTGTGGTAACGGAGGGTCTATAGTAATGGGAGGAGGGACTATGGTAACGGAAGGAGGGACTATAGTAACGGGAGGAGGGTCTATGGTAATGGAGGAGGGACTATGGTAACAGAAGTAGAAGGGTCTATGGTAATGGAGGAGGGACTATGGTAATGGGGAGGGACTACGGTAACGGGAGAAGGGACTGTGGTAACGGAGGAGGGTCTATGGTAACGGAAGGAGGGACTACGGTAATGGAGGAGGGGGGACTATGGTAATGGCGGGGAGGGATTATGGTAATAGGGGAGGAACTATTGTAACAAGAGGAGGAGGGACTAATGCAACCACTGGTGGACGCTGCCTATAGCACCATGAAGCACACCCGAGCAGTGACATCTGGGAGCCTCTTGGAGCGCAGGCAGCATACCATTTTCTTTTCTAGGGACAGGCACGTGATGCTCGGAACAACCGTGATTGGGGTCGTTCGATGTGGGGTTCAGTCATGGATAAAAGCTGCCAAACCCTGTGGCTGCATAGCTAATTTTGAGCAGGTCCTAAGGAAGCGTTGCTTGATCCTCTGACGTTTGCTCCAGGTGAGGCTGGCCCAACATCCCGGGGCCTGATAGGAGGAGAGAAACCCAACCAAAATGTGATCACGTTAGATGGGAATTTTGTTCAGGTCAAGGAAGACGAGGAATTCAGTCCATCCCTGAAGGGGCAAATAAAGAATGTGAATTTGGAGGATGTGGCCAGCCTTGTCCTAGGCTGACTTGGAAGCATCTGTGAGTAATGAGGAAGGGAATTTTTTTTTTTTTTTTTTCAGTAAAACCATTTTCTGGAAGACAAAGGCAGTGGGGAATTCTTAACCTTCACAGATTCCCAACAGCACAGTTGTGTGGAATGATGGACTGATTGTGTCTCCGTAAAATACAAAGCCCTCAGCTGGGCGCGGTGGCTCAGACTGTCATCCCAGCACTTTGGGATGCCGAGGCGGGTGGATCACCTGAGGTCAGGACTTTGAGACCAGCCTGACCAACATGGTGAAACCCCATCTCTACTAAAACTACAAAAATTAGCCGGGCATGGTGGCGGGTGCCTGTAATCCCAGCTACTGGGGAGGCTGAGGCAGGAGAATCGCTTGAACCCAGGAGGCGGAGGTTGCAGTGAGCCGAGATTGCGCCACTGCACTCCAGCCTGGGAGACAGAGTGAGACTCTGTTTCAAAAAAAAAGACGAACTGGGACTCCTCAAACTGGGGGAATGGTGCATTTGTAGACAAAACTCATGGTGTGCCATCTGCAGGTGTCATTGTCAGGAAGGTGAGCTTGGTTCATCTGTGCCCACTTGCAAGCTCTTTGGAGAGTGAGGAGCAGGTTGGGAAGCATCTATCCTCAGTCATGAACCCGGAGCTCCTGCTGGAAAAGACAGCCTTGGGGTCTCTGTCATGCACATTTCAGTAGGGGAGTCCGGGCCGGGCACAGGGGCTCATGCCTGTAATCCCAGCACTTTGGAAGGCTAAGGCGGGCAGATCACTTGATGTCAGGAGTTTGAGACCAGCCTGACCAACATGGTGAAACCCGTCTCTACTAAAATACAAAAAATAGCTGGGGCTGGGTGCTGTGGCTTAGGCCTGTAATCCCAGCACTTGGGGAGGCCGAAGTGGGTGGATTACTTGAGGTCAGGTGTTCGAGACCAGCCTGGCCAACATGGTGAAACCCCGTCTCTACTAAAAATAGAAAAAATTAGCCCCGGCTAATTTTGGTGGTGTGAGCCTGTAGTCCCAGCTACTTAGGAGGCTGAGGCAGGGGAATCGTTTGAACCTGGGAGATGGAGGTTGCAGTGAGCTGAGATCGTGCCACTGCACTCCAGCCTGGGTGACAGGGCGAGACTCTGTCTCCAAAAAGAAAAACAAACAAAAAAAAACAAAAACTAAACACATAGGAGAGTCCCTTAGCCCCTCACGAATACTCCACACACACATCTAGTCCAGCTGCATCTTGTTGACTCACAAGACATCAAGATAAGCCTGATTCAATGAAGTTCTTCAAAATCAGAGTTCATTTGCTCATTTTCTTTTCTTCTCTCCACCAATTAGTGGTGAGAGTTTCGCCTGAATCACAGTACCTGCTGTCTCCAGTTCTGATGTTGGTATCACCCATCTTCAGACAAGATTTCTTGTGTTATTTCCACATCAGCTTAGCCACTGTCTCTCAACATGAAATGCTGGCTGGGGGGAAGTTTCAACCGCAGAAGCAAAGCTCTTAAACTCATTGAAAAGACAAGCTCTTTCCCCCTTGGTAGGGTCACGAAGGCTCCTCAGTGAAGGGTGTGGTAGGTTTGCTTCTATAGGGTAGAAATGAGACACCCTGAAAATCAGGAGGCTTTCATTGGCTTTTAATTTACACAGAAGGCAATGTGTAGTTTCAAAATATTCTTTTTTATTTACTTATTTACTTTTATTTATTTATTTGAGATGGAGTCTTGCTCTTTCGCCCAGGCTGGAGTGCAGTGGTGCGATCTCGGCTCACTGCAAGCTCCACCTCCCGGGTTATTTATTTTTTTGAGACAGAGTCTTGTTCTGTTGCCCAGGCTGGAGTTCAGTGGCACAATCTTGGCTCACTGCAACCTCCGCCTCCCAGGTTCAAGTGATTCTCCTGCCTCAGCCTCCTGAGTAGCTGGGATTACAGGCACCTGTCACCATGCCTGGCTAATTTTTGTATTTTTAGTAGAGACGGGGTTTTGACATGTTGGCCAGGCTGGTCTTGAACTCCTGACCTCAAGTGATCCGCCCTCCTTGGCCTCCCAAACTGCTGGGATTACAGGCGTGAGCTTCCGCGCCTGGCCTCAAAATATTCTTAATGAGTAAATACCCGTAAGCATTTGAATACAACCATTTATGTTTTTTGTTGTTTAGCAATTGTTTGAACTTCAATGTGCCTCATAAAAATGTTTCATTATAAAACATTTCACACATTTGAAAGACGCAGAGAATAATTTGAACAGCATTTGTGTACCCACCATCCAGTTGTATCAAATCGTAATGTTTTGCCAAATTAGTTATAAATTACGTATGTGACTTGGGTACCCCTCTCCAATTATTTTGTTATTACATAAAAAATGACTTTATAACATGGGTCAATAGGAGACCTTTTTTCTTTTTTTTTTTTTTGAGACAGAGTCTTATTCTGTTGCCCAGGCTGGAGTTCAGTGCCACAATCTTGGCTCACTGCAACCTCTGCCTCCCAGGTTCAAGTGATTCTCCTGCCTCAGCCTCCTGAGTAGCTGGGATTACAGGCACACGGCACCACGCCCGGCTAATTTTTGTATTTTTAGTAGAGATGGGGTTTTGACATGTTGGCCAGGCTGGTCTTGAACTCCTGACCTCAAGTGATCCACCCTCCTCGGCCTCCCAAAGTGCTGGGATTACAGGTGTGAGCCTCCGTGCCTGGCCTCAAAATATTCTTAATGAGTAAATACCCGTAAGCATTTGAATACAACCATTTATCTTTTTCATTGTTTAGCAGTTGTTTGAACTTCAATGTGCCTTCTAAAAATGTTTCATTATAAAACATTTCACACATTTGAAAGACGCAGAGAATAATTTGAACAGCATTTGTGTACCCACCATCCAGTTGTATCAAATCATAATGTTTTGCTAAATTAGTTATAAATTATGTATGTGTCTTTGTGTGCCTGAGTGTACATGAAATAAGACATTTCAGAGACTATTGTGCTCTTGGGTACGCCTCTCCAATTATTTTGTTATTACATAAAAAATGACTTTATAACTTAGGTCAATAGGAGACATTTAAAATATTATTTTCCATGCATCTTTGTCCTTGTTTATTTTCTCTAGAAAAGAAAAATGTATTTCCCTGTTCTTATTTTCAATTCCCAAATGAAGCTTCAATGTAAAACTAATTTTCTGAGAATGTAGCATCGTTCTTTTTTTTTTTTCTTTTTTCTTTTTTTTTTTGAGACAGTCTTGCTCTATCTCCCAGGCTGGAGTGCAGTGGCACAAGCTTGGCTCACTGCATCCTCTGCCTCCCAGGTTCAAGCGATTCTCTTGCCTCAGCCTCCTGAGTTGCTGGGATTACAGGCACCTACCACCACGCGTGGCTAATTTTTGTATTTTTAGTAGAGACGGGATTTCACCATGTTGGTCAGGCTGGTCTTGAACTCCTGACTTTGTGATCCGCCCACCTCAGCCTCCCAAAGTGCTGGGATTATAGGTGTGAGCCACTGCGCCCGGCTAGCATCTCTCTGTATTTGCTGAAGCCATGTGTGCTGTGAAGATTGTAGTTTTAGCCATTGTGGTTCCTCTTGAAAGGGGGCCCTATATCTTCCTGATGGGGAATGGCTTAACTGAAGCCTGGGGAATGGCTGGTGTTCGTGAAATGGCTGCATTCAGATGAGAAACCGCACATACACATCCTCACAAAGTCTCAGAGTCAGCTTTCCAGGGGGCTGGGTTTTATTCCGGTGCAAAGGAGTGAGAATATTGTACACACGAATGATCCATGGTGGCTCCTGCCTGTAATCCCAGCACTTTTGGGAGGCCAAGGCGGGAGCATCACTTGAGCCCAGGAATTTGAGACTAGCCTGGGCAACATAGCAAGATCTCGTCTCTACAGGAAAAAAAAAAAAAATTATCCGGGTATGATGGCATATGCTTCTGGTCTCCCTCTCAAGATGCTGAGGCAGGAGGATTGCTTGAGCCCAGGAGGTGGAGGCTGCAGTGAGCTGTGACTGCTCCACTGCTCTTCAGCCTGGCTGATGGAATGAGACAGTGTCACAGAAAAAGAATGAGAAAAATAAGCCCAGGATGCAGCAAAGAATGCTATCCTTTATTTATTAACCCCCTACCCTGGTTGTATATTGATGGTCATTTAAATATTAGAGGGTATAAAAATACAATTTCCAAGAATTACCTGAACTATTTTCTTTTTCTTTTCTTTTCTTTTTTTTTTTGAGACTGAGTTTCGCTCTTGTTGCCCAGGCTGGAGTGCAGTGGCGTGGTCTCGGCTCACCGTAGCCTCCACCTCTGGGTTCAAGTAATTCTTCTGTGTCAGCCTCCCGAGTAGCTGGGATTACAGCCATGCCCAACCACTCCTGGCTAGTTTTGTATTTTTAGTAGAGATGGGGTTTTACTAGGTTGGCCAGGCTGGTCTCAAATTCCTGACCTCAGATGATCCACCTGCCTCGGCCTCCCAAAGTGCTGGGATTAAAGGTGTGTGCCACCACACCCGGCCTATTTTCTTAGAATTAATATTTTATCCTCTGCCATCAGCCGTCGTAGGGGTATGAGCAGTTTCCTGCCTATTGTAAGGGTTTAGAGAAGGGTTTGTGATAAATTGGCCGTGTGGTGAAGAGATTCCCATTCGGGAAAGACATTGGGCAGAGGGTAGGATGTCATGTGAAGACAGCATTCATTTCAGGCAGGGAGAGGGGGTTCATAGAACGCTAGTGTTCAGTGAACTGTTCCTAGAACTAGTTCATATGTATACATGTGCCATGGTGGTTTGCTACACCTATCAACCCGTCATCTAGGTTTTAAGCCCAGCATGCATTAGGTATTTGTCCTAATGCTCTCCCTCCCCTTGCCCCCCACCTCCCGACAGGCCCCGGTGTTCACAGAGCTCTAGTATCCACCCAAGGCTCACCAAAGGCAGTCACCCTTTGCTATGGTGGAGTATCCTGGGAGCCATAGGTATCCCTGAGCTACCTCAGGTTAAAGACTGCATACCTGTGAAAGCATGTGAGGATTTACCCATTTCTGTGTATTTTGAGGAAATCTCACTTCCATCTTCAGAGCTTGGTAGCCCCAAGGTAAAATTTTAAGAAGTAAAGAGATTGTAAGTTTGCATATTCTGGGAGGTGATATGAGGACAAGCTCTTAGGATGAACTCTCTAGGCATACAGGAGAAAGAAGTAAAGGTCAAAGCAAAGTGGCATCAAAAAGGCCAAAACCTGGCCAGGCACGGTGGCTCACACCTGTAATCCCAGCACTTTGGGAGGCCGAGATGGGTGGATCATTTGTGGTCAGGAGTTCGAGACCAGCCTGGCCAACATGGTGAAACCCTGCCTCTACTAAAAATACAAAAATCAGCCAGGCGTGGTGGTGGCTGCCTGTAGTCACAGCTACCAGGGAGGCTGAGGCAGGAGAATTTATTTAAGTTCCTTGTAGATTCTGGACATTAGACCTTTGTCAGATGAATAGATTGCAAAAATTTTCTCCCATTCTGTAGGTTACCTGTTTGCTCTGATGATAGTTTCTTTTGCTGTGCAGAAGCTCTTTAGTTTAATGAGATCTCATTTGTCAATTTTTGAGGCAGGCATTGTTATTACCCCAATTTCATAAATGAGGAAATGACAGACAGATAGATAGATAGATAGATATGCCAGTTGTCCCTGAGGAGGCGAAATTTTGCTCAGTTGAAAACCACTGTGATATAGATAGATGATGGATACATAGATAGATATTAGTTAGACAGAAAATAGCTAGATAGATAATAGCTAGATAGATAGTAATGGTCAATGATAGATTGTGATCAATGATAGGTAATAGATGACAGGTAGATAAATGATCGATGGTCAATAGATGATAGGTAGATGATAGACAGTAGATAGAGAGTAAACAGATGCTATATAATGATCAAAGATAGATAAATGATAGATAAATATGTACTTGATAGATAATAAATGGTAAATAGATAAATGATGGTAGATAAGTAGATGATAGATGATAAATGGTAAATAGATAAATGATGGTAGATAGATAAGTAGATGCTTGATTGTAAATGGTAAATAGATAAATGATAGACGGTAGATAAGTAGGTGATAGGTGGTAAATAGGTCGATAGATATTCTATAAATAGTTGATAGATAAATGGTAGGTGATAGATGATAGGAAGTGAGTTGGATGATAGGCACACAGACAAATGGATCACATATGCATACAATCTGTCATGCTAAGGCAGGCTTTGTCAACCTTGGCAGTATGTCCATCTGGAGCTGGATGATTCTCTGTGGTGAGGCCATGCTGTGGACTGTAGCGTGTTGAGCAGGATCCCTGGGCTCCACCCACTTGACATGGATGTACCCACTATACCCCCCACCGCAGTTATAACAACCAAAAATACCTCCAGACATTTCTATATGTTCCTGGGGGAGGGGGAAACAAAAAGGCCTCCAATGGAAAACCACTGATGTAGATCCCTACAGATGCCAGCCCAGTTCTGTGGGGATGTGCCTACTACCATTCAATGGCAGTAACCTGGACCTAAGACCAGTATGCTCTCTGAGGCTCTGGAAAGGGACTCCCAGCCTCGCATCTTGAGGAGAGCTTAGACATCCTACGTAGCATTATGATTCCCCTCCAAACATGGCTGTGCTGTGTGGATCAGGGGTCTCCTCCCTTATCTCCTCCATCCCACCCAGCCGTCTCCTTTCACCTCAGTCCCTGTGTGTTGAGTGTGGAAATATCTCTGTGCCCAGGATCCTGGGCCGGTTTTGTGGCGGGGATTCTTCTCCCACAGCTCCATCATGCATGTTCCCTCATCTCCTTCGATGCTGATGTGTTATTATTCGTAGAACAGTGATGAAATGGCAGCATGATACCATAGAACGGTGATAAAATGGCAGCATGATATCATAGAACGGTGATAAAATGGAAGCATGATACCATAGAACGGTGATAAAATGGAGGCATGATACCATAGAACGGTGATAAAATGGCAGCATGATACCATAGAACGGTGATAAAATGGCGGCATGATACCATAGAACAGTGATAAAATGGAGGCATGATACCATAGAACAGTGATGAAATGGCAGCATGATACCATAGAACAGTGATAAAATGGCGGCATGATATCATAGAACGGTGATAAAATGGAGGCATGATACCATAGAACGGTGATAAAATGGCGGCATGATACCATAGAACAGTGATAAAATGGAGGCATGTTACCATAGAACAGTGATAAAATGGCGGCATGATACCATAGAACAGTGATAAAATGGCGGCATGACACCATAGAACAGTGATAAAATGGAGGCATGATATAGAACAGTGATAAAATGGAGGCATGATACCATAGAACGGTGATAAAATGGCATGATACCATAGAACGGTGATAAAATGGCAGCATGATACCATAGAAAGGTGATAAAATGGCATGATACCATAGAACGGTGATAAAATGGCGGCATGATACCATAGAACGGTGATAAAATGGCGGCATGATACCATAGAACGGTGATAAAATGGCGGCATGATACCATAGAACGGTGATAAAATGGCGGCATGATACCATAGAACGGTGATAAAATGGCATGATACCATAGAACGGTGATAAAATGGCGGCATGATACCATAGAACGGTGATAAAATGGCGGCATGATATCATAGAACGGTGATAAAATGGCGGCATGATACCATAGAACGGTGATAAAATGGCATGATACCATAGAACGGTGATAAAATGGTGGCATGATACCATAGAACGGTGATAAAATGGCGGCATGATATCATAGAACGGTGATAAAATGGCGGCATGATACCATAGAACGGTGATAAAATGGAGGCATGATACCATAGAACGGTGATAAAATGGCGGCATGATACCATAGAACGGTGATAAAATGGCGGCATGATACCATAGAACGGTGATAAAATGGCGGCATGATCTCAAGGGTTGGGATTAGACACCCAGAAATGGGAGCACCTGTGGTTGGGTGGAGTTATTGATCCATCCTTCTCCAGTGTTCAACTCCTCCACCTATGCTCATATCACTTATAAGGCAGACCTGGCCAGGCATGGTGGCTTATGCCGGCAATCCTAGCACTTTGGGAGGCTGTGGTGGGCGGATCACGAGGTCAGGATTTCGAGGCCAGTCTGGCCAACATGGTGAAACCCCATCTCTACTAAAAATACAAAAATTAGTGGCATATGGTGGTGGGCGCCTGTAATCCCAGCTACTTGGGAGGCTGAGGCAGAAGAATTGCTTGAACCCGGGAGGCGGAGGTTGCAGTGAGCCAAGATCACACCACTGCATTCCAACCTGGTCAACAGAGTGAGACTCTGTGTTTCAAAAACAAACAAACAAAAACAAGGTAGACCTTATGGGTCTTTCCCTGGGAGCCTTCTACAGAGTGGTTGTTGCTACAGACAGCAGTGATATGAGACAAACCATCTAAGGCCCTGAAATATGAGTCTTGAAAATGGCTGTGGACAAGGAAAATCAATGAAATAACAGTGACACCAGCACCCCACTCTCTCTAGGGCTCTTAAAAGTTCTTAGCCTGTAGCCTCTTTTCCAATCCACTCCAGCCTTCCTTTTCTTTGAATTTGAAAATGAACTTTGAAATTTCTTTCAGTGACAAGAAAATGTCACTGTGTTACGTGTTGTATATCCATGTGTCTCCTTGGGAAGAAAATTAAAGGACTAATTGAAGAAAGAATTAGAAACACTGAATCCACAGAAACGCAGCCACACTCTGTAATTAATTTTTGAAGAAAAGAAAATGAAATGCTTGCCGATGGTGAACCTCTCCAGCATGTTCATTAGATATTTGCATTTTCTGCCTATTCCATTAAAAGTACCTCTAATCAGACAGTCAATCAAAAGTGCTTATCCAGACATCTTCTTTTTAGAATTTGAATCATGCCATGTTCTGTATAGGAGTGAGACCTTACCACATAAACAGGGTAGGGCTTGCTGTGTGCTCAGAAACGACACATTAACCAGGCTGAACTGATGGAACTCCAGCTCTCTGTATCCTTCTTTGTCCCTCTAATACTTGGGCAGATTCTGCCCCACCATTAAAAATTCAATCATTAATACCAAGAAGAAAATTGAGGGGTTTCAAAGAACCTCAATAAACCACAGATTTAGGTCTTTATAAGACCTTGGTAAGCAGTTGTGGATTCTATAGTTTGTACCTACCATAAGTTATGATGATCATTATAGCATTACTGATAACATTTTAAAAACTTTTATTGAGCTGGGTGCGGTAGCTCACACCTGTAATCCTGGCACTTTGGGAGGCTGAGGCAGGTGTATCACGAAGTCAGGAGTTTGAGACTAGCCTGACCAACATGGTGAAATCCCATCTCTACTAAAAATACAAAAATTGGGTGTGGTGGTGGGCGCCTGTAGTCCCAGCTACTCAGGAGGCTGAGGCAGGAGAATCGCTTGAACCCGGGAGGTGGAGGTTGCAGTGAGCCGAGATCGCACCACTGCACTCCAGCCTGGCGACAGAGTGAAAACTCCATCTCACAAACAAACTTTTATGATAATGTGTATGGAAAGTGTCTCCTCTTGAAATGTTCCATTTTCTCTAACCAAAGCCAACGCTCCAGCCAGCCAGTAGGTAGCAGCCAGTAGGAGCTGTCAGAACTGATTGCTCTTATCATCACTAAACACACAAAGAGGGAAAAGCCATTTCCTCATTCCCCAAATTCCAGCTCCATCCTTCCTCTGAAAGCATCATGCCATTTCTCGCTCCGGATATGTATTTGGTGTTTAGTCATTCAACCGTGACATATCTAACGTTGGCAGAGAGGGGGCAGAATTCGAAGTTCTTGCCATTCCAGGAAGAGGAAGCCATGTTCCCTGTCTAAGCATCTGCCCACATCGGGCCGTGTCTCGGTACCAACTCCACCAAGAGAGCAGTGAGTGACAAAGGCAAGGATGTTCTTACCAAACTTGGCGATAACCTGGCTCCATTACCATCCTAGATTAATAACCCTTCAGTCATTCCAGAGGTGGATGTTGATACCCAAGAAATGGTGGGTGATGTGTATTTTTTTGTTGTTGTTGTTGAAACAGAGTCTCACTCTGTTGCCCAGGCTGGAGTGCAGTGGCGCGATCTTGGCTCACTGCAATCTCCGCCTCCCGGGTTCAAGCGATTCTCCTGCCTCAGCCTCCCAAGTAGCTGGGATTACAGGCACGCACCACCACACCTGGCTCATTTTTGTATTTTTAGTAGAGACAGGGTTTCACCATGTTGGTCAGGCTGGTCTTGAACTCCTGCCCTCGTGATCCGCCCACCTTGGCCTCCCAAAGTGCTGGGATTACAGGCGTGAGCCACCACGCCTGGCCCCATTATAACCCTCTTGCATAGTCTATCCTTCACTCTTGCGAAATGTTTAATGAGATGTTGAATAAATGTTACTATGCTTTGTATCTTTTTTTTTGCTTCTATGTCACTTTTCTTTTTGCCGTGGGTGGCAATGGTGAGTTCTTTTGCACTCAGGGAAGCTTCATGCCTCATCACCCCAACCTTCTGGAAATTTTGATTCTTATAGTTCAAACTTCCATAATTTTTAAAAACCATTTTTAAGTTCAGGGATACAGGTGCAGGTTTGTTACATAGGTAAACTCGTGTCATGGGGGTTTGTTGTATGATTATTTCATCACCCAGGTATTAAGCCCAGTACCCATTAGTTATTTTCCTGATCCTGTCCCTCCTCCCACCTTCTGATAGGCCTCAATGAATGCTATTCCCCTCTCTGTGTCCATATGTTCTCATCATTTAGCTCTCACTTATAAGTGAGAACATGTAGTAATTTGGTTTTGCTGTTCCTACATAGTTTGCTGAGGATAATCGCCTCCAGCTCCATCCATGTTTCTGCAAAGGACATGATCTTGTTCTTATTTATGGCTGCATAGTATTCCATGGTGTCTATGTACCATATTTTCTTTTTCTTTCTTTCTTTTTTTTTGATATGGAGTCTCGCTGTGTCACCCAGGCTGCTGGAGTGCAGTACCCTTGAAAATTCCTCTGCCTCAGCTCACTGCACCCTTGAAAATTCCTCTGCCTCAGCCTCCCAAGTAGCTGGGATTACAGGTGCACGCCCCCACGCCCAGCTAATTTTTTTGTATTTTTAGTAGAGACGGGGTTTCACCATGTGTTGGCCAGACTGGTCTCGAACTCCTGACCTCGCGATCCACCCGCCTTGGCCTCCCAAAGTGCTGGAATTACAGGCGTGAGCCACCGCACCTGGCCTATGTACCATATTTTCTTTATTCTGTCTACCACTGATGGGCATTCAGATTGATCCCATGTCTTTGCTATTGTGAAAGGTGCTGCCACGAACATACACGTGCATGTGTCTTTATGACAGAATGATTGATGTTCCTTTGGGTATATACCCAGGCATGGGATTGCTGAGTGGAATGATATTTCTGTTTTTAGGTCTTTGAGGAATGGCCACACTGTCTTACACAATGTTGGAACTAATTTACACTCCCGCCAACAGTGTTTAGGTGTTCCTTTTTGTCTGCCACCTTGCCAGCATCTGTTGTTTTTTGATGTTTTAGTAATAGCCTTTATGACTGGTGTGAGATGGTATCTCATTCTGGTTTTGATTTGCGTGTCTCTAATGAGCAGTGATGTTGAATGTTTTTGCATAGGCTTGTCGGCTGGATGTATGTCTTTTTTTTTTTTTTTTCCGAGACAGAGTCTCACTCTGTCGCCCAGGCTGGAGTGCGGTGGCGCGATCTCGGCTCACTGCAACCTCTGCTCCCCGGGTTCACGCCATTCTCCTGCCTCAGCCTCGCAAGTAGCTTTGGTTTTTGACTTTAGTTACATGCACTTTTTCAGAAATCAAGGTATGCATAAGCAAAGCACATCTGTCTTTCCAAACTGGATTTAAATTCGCCATTTACTAACTAAGGAATATTGTGCAATTTAGTTAACTTCTCTAAGCCTCATTTTCCTCGTCTATGAAATGGGAAGAATAGTAAGATCTACCTCAAAAGAATGTTGTAAAGGTTAAACAAGGTAATCAAATTGTTTAGTAATATGCCTCCCACATATCAAGCCCTCAACCCCGCCACCATGCCTGGCTAATTTTTTTTGTATTCTTAGTAGAGGCAGGGTTTCACCGTGTTAGCCAGGATGGTCTTGATCTCCTGACCTTGTGATCCACCCGCCTCGGCCTCCCAAAGTGCTGGGATGACAGGTGTGAGCCACCGCGCCCGGCCAGCTGCATGTGTATCTTCTTTTGAAAAGTGTCTGTTCATGTCCTTTGCCTGACGTGGCAAAGGGTGTGCTTTCAATGGGATTTTTTTTGTTTTTATTTTTGTTTTGTTTTGTAAATTTGTTTAAGTTCCTTATAAATTCTGGATATTAAACCTTTATCAGATGCATAGTTGGCAGATACTTTCTCTCATTCTGTAGGTTGTCTGTTCACGCTGTTGATAGTTTCCTGGGCTGTGCAGAAGCTCTTTGAAACTTTCGTAACTTTAAACCAAGTGTTAGCTAACTCCGTTTCTCAACTGAGTAACTTCAGAAATTAAATTAGAACAACAGGTTCTGCCTTTTGAAGACAAAGTAGCATAACCCTAGCCATCCACCACATGCTATCACTTGATTCTGATTGCTGTTTTGAGGATTCTTTTTGTCCCAATCTCTAATTAGTTTTTTAAAATAAGCGTTTTGTAGAGAGGATGTTTTTCTCAAGAGTTACCCTGTTTTGACTATGGTAGCCACACCCCAGTGATGTACATGTGTTTCTCTATTTTCCATTTCATAACCACCGTTATGTAGGTGAATCCTTGATCTGACACACAGTGCCTGTCTTTCCCTATGAATGGCTTAGTGATTTGCCTGGAAATCTTAGCTTGCTGTAGTGTGTGTGTGTGTCTGGGCACAGTTTTAGAGAAACAAGCAATGATTCTTTTTTTTTTTTTTTTTTTTAATTTCCTGAGTCCCAAAGTGTTTGAGACAAATCTCGTTTTCCCATATCGGGTCTAGGGTTATTTGTTCAGATCCTTTGTCATTCAGGACTCTGTAGCTCTTTCTTTATTCCTTACTGAAATCTCACATTGACGAAGAGCTCTTTCCACCTGATTTGCTTTTCCATTGGCAGATGTCCTTTTTGTTCCTCCCTTGATGCTTTTAGGATTTTCTCTTGATCTTTAAAGCTCCACGGTTTCATCAGGATGAGGTTGATGGACATATGGGCATTTAAAAATAAATCGTATGGCTTACTATACATCTTATAATGGCAGATCTGGGTTTTTATCTCAGGGATTTTTTTTTTCTTTGCACGAAACCTTTCCATTTACAATTGACCCTTGAAAAACATGGGGGTTAGGGACACCAACCCCTCACACAGTCAAAAATCCATGTGTAACTTTTTTTTTCTTTTTCGAGACAGAGTTTCACTGTTACTGCCCAGGCCAGAGTGCAATGGTGTGATCTTAGCTCACTGCAATCTCCGCCTCCTGGGTTCAAGCGATTCTCCTGCCTCAGCCTCCTGAGTAGCTGGCATTACAGGCGCACGCCACCATGCCTGGCTAATTTTTGTATTTTCAGTAGAGACGGGGTTTTACCATCTTGGTCAGGCTGGTCTTGAACTTGTGACCTCAGGTGATCCACCCACTTTGGCCTCCCAAAGTGCTGGGATTACAGATGTGAGCCCCTACGCCTGGCCCATGTGCACCTTTTGATTCTCCAAAAACTTAATTATTAATAGCCTACTGTTTACAGGAACCCTTGCCAATAACATAAACAGGTGATTCACTCATTCATATTTTCTATGTTCTATGTATTGCATACTTTATGCTTAGACTAAAGTAAGCTAGAGAAAAGAAAACGTTACCAAGAGAATCATGAGAAAGAGAAACTACATTTACTATTCATCAAATGGAAAGGGATCATCCCCGAGGTCTTCATCCTCATCATCTTCACATGGAGGAGGCTGAGGAGGAGAAGGAGGAAGAGGGAGGTTGGTCTGGCTTTCTCAGGGGTGGCAGAGGCAGAAGAAAATCCACATATAACTGACCTGTACAGTCCAAACCTGTGAAGGATCAACTATGTTTCTGTGTCTCTTTCTCCCAGTTCTTGTCTTCAGAGATACCAACATTGGATGTTGCCTCTCAACTGGTTTCCTTCTCTTTCATGTTCTTTTCTCCAATCACTTCATGTCATCATCTTTTTCTTCTACATTCTACACGCTTCCACAAGCCTGCCCTCTGCACCCCTGACATGATTCTCCACATTCATTTTTTTTCTTTTTTTGAGACAGAGTCTTGCTTTGTCACCCAGGCTGGAGTGCAGTGGCACGATCACGGCTCACTGCAACCTCTGCCTCCTGGGTTGAAGCAATTCTCCTGCCTCAGCCTCGTGAGTAGCTGGGATTACAGGTGCCCACCACCACACCCAGCTGTATTTTGTATTTTTAGTATGACAGTGTTTCACCATGTTGGCCTGCCTGGTCTCGAACTCCCGACTTCAGTTGATCTGCCTGCCTCGGCCTCCCAAAGTGCTGGGATTACAGGTGCACACCACCAGACCCGGCTAATTATTGTATTTTTTTTTTTTTTTTTGAGACGGAGTCTCGCACTTGTTGCCCAGGGTGGAGTGCAATGGCGCAATCTCGGCTCACTGCAAACTCCACCTCCTGGGTTCAAGTGATTCTCCTGCCTTAGCCTCCCGAGTAGCTGGAACTACATATACCTGCCACCACACCTGGCTACATTTTGTATTTTTAGTAGAGATGGGGTTTTACCATGTTGGCCTGGGTGGTCTCAAACTCCCGACTTTAGATGATCTGCCCACCTCAACCTCCCAAAGTACTGGGATTACAGGGTGAGCCACCATACCCAGCTGAGTCTCCTCATTCTTGATTTTGATCTTCCCTCTGTCTACTATTGTCCGGGCTTCTCTAGGATGTGATGTTATATCTCCTACTCGTTTCCGGCACCCTTCTTATTATGTTACCGCATTAACCCTTTTGTTAAACGTTTAATATTTTTGTGCTCTGAATTTATTATTTTTTATCTGATATGAATATATTAGGTTGGTGCAAAAGTAATTGCTGTTTTTGCCATTAAAAGTAATGATAGTCTTTTTTTTTTTTTTTTTTTTTTTTTTTTTTTTTTAGATGGGGTCTCGCTCTTGTCACCCAGGCAGGAGTGCAGTGGCACCATCTTGGTTCACTGCAACCTTTGCGTCCCAGGCTGAAGACATCGTCCCACCTCAGCCTCCCGAGTAGCTGGGACTACAGGCATGCGCCACAACGCATAGCTAATTTTTGTATTTTTTGTAGAAACAGGCTCTCACTATGTTGCTCAGGCTAGTCTCAAACTCCTGAGCTCAAGCAATCCGTCGTCCTCGGCTTCGCAAAATGCAGGGATTCCAGGTGCGAGCCATTGTGCCCGGCCTGATAATATTTTGACTCTGACTTTCTTTTCGTTTCTATTTACCTTTAAATCTCTTTTATGTTCCACCTGAATTACTCCTCTGTGGGTATCTTTTATAGGCTGTATATTTGTGTTTTCCTTCCAACCTATTTCTTGCTATAATTGAGATAGTGAAGGATTAGTGGTCTCAGGTCCTTCTGCCTCGCCCCACATAAATCTTCATTTCAACTGATGCTCTTCATTTCTTTTTTATGGAATATTACTTTCCTGTTTTTTGTGTTTGCCTGTTTTTCCCATGAGTCCCAAGATGGATATTTTCCCTCCATACGGGCATTTATTTTAATGCCCAGTCTTCACCCCTGGAGGATGCGTGAGTTGGTTCTTTTTTCCTCCTTGCCCCGTGGACCTCAGACATGGACACACGTGTCTGTGGTTTTGAGGGCTTTGTTTTATCCGTTCAGTTCTTCAGCTGCTTAAGATGGACGGACAGAGGCCGAGCGCAGTGGCTTACACCTGTAGTCCCAGCACTTTGGGAGGCTGAGGCGGGCAGACCACAAGGTCAGGAGTTCGAGACCAGCCTGGCCAATATGGGGAAACCCCATCTCTACTAAAAATACAAAAGTTAGCCAGGCGTGGTGGTGGGTGCCTGTGGTCCCAGCTATTCGGGAGGCTGAGGCAGGAGAATGGTGTGAACCCGGGAGACAGAGGTTCCAGTGAGCCGAGATTGCGCCACTGCACTCCAGCCTGGCTGACAGAGCGAGATTCCATCTCAAAAACAAAAACAAAAAAGATGGATGGGCAGGGAGTGGAGGCTGTGGGTAGTGATTGCTGTCCATGACCCCTGTCTGTGAGCACCTGCTCTCTAAGCTGAGGGAATCCCTGGTGTCATCCCAGCAGTGGCGTGTTCCATGCTGCTGTAGGCCAGGAACATGGTGCAGCCGAAGTGGACGGCCATCCAGTGATGACTTGGCCCCAGTGGACAGCTGCCCAGTGATGGGACATCTGGAGTAGATGGCCGTCCAACAACAGTTCATTATTGTTGTGCTACGTCTGGTGTTTCCAGTGGCTGGAACCACTAGAGCTCCGCTCCATTGGGTTGGAGCCATTCCAGGGTGGGAATGGCCACCAGGAGACGATGCCTACCCTTCTCTTCTTGCACCAAGTCAGCACCCATACTCAGGCGAGGCCCTGTGTCTCCTCCTCCTCCCCAGCATAGTCTTGCTGGAGTCATGTAGAAAAGTCATGGAAAGGGGCTTGTGAAGGGATACGCTGCCTTCTTCCTGGGCTCTCCTGGTATCCCACTGGTACTCAGTCATTCTCCTTCCAAACTGAGGTGTGTGCATACATATAATTTGCTGGCCCTTAAAAACCACGTGTAGGCCTGGCTCCTGTAATCCCAGCAATTTGGGAGGCCAAGGCAGGAGGATCACCTGAGGTCAGGAGTTCGAGACCAGCCTGACCAACGTGGAGAGACCCCATCTCTACTAAAAAAAAACAAAATTAGCTGGGTGTGGTGGTGCATGCCTGTAGTCCCACCTACTCAGGGGGCTGAGGCAGGAGAATCGCTTGAACCCGGGAGGCGGAGATTGAGGTGAGCCGAGATCGCGCCATTGCACTCCAGCCTGGGCAACAAGAGTGAAACTCCATCTCAAAAAAAAAAAAAAAATGCAATCAGCTATAATCCTTCCCTAAACTACTGGTGTGACTGTCTTCTGACTCCTTCAACTATTACCCAAAAGATGAATGACTTCTTAGTGACCCTTTGTCCTAGGAATTATTTCATAGGCTTCTGTAGCAAATGGAACCTTGGGTCTCACTAGGATAATAAGCATGTTCTGAATTCCTGGACGCTTTTTTCTTTTTTTCCTGCACAACTTCATTTCGGGGTAAATGAGGACAGCACCTGAGTTCCCCACTCCCCTTTGGATTCTCTAGGGGGTTGAAGGTTTCTTCTACTGACATACACATGGCTTCAGGAAGATGGTGTTGGACGCTTTTTCTTTTTTTGAGACAGGGTCTGGCTCTGTCGCCCAGGCTGAAGTGTAATAGTGCAGTCTTGGCTCACTGCAATTTCTGCCTCCGGGCTCAAGCAATCTTCCCACCTCAGTCTCTCGAGTAGCTACGACTGTAGGCACGTGCTACCATGCCCTGCTAATATTTGTATTTTTTTTTGTAAAGATGAGGTTTTGCCATTTGTCCCAGGCTGGTCTCAAACTCCCGAGCTCAAGCCATCTTGCCTGCCATGGCTTCCCAAAGTTCTGGGACTACAGGCAGGAGCCACTGCGTCCAGCCTGGTTTTGGACTCTTGGTCTTGGGTTTGGCCAAAACTTTGGTGGTTCAGATGGACTCTTGTAGATTTTAAGGAGAATTGAAGTTTTGTGGCTTAAGCTGAACTGCTGTTCTCAATGCCCGTGCTGGTCCGAATGCCCATGCTGGTCCCTATAGCCCTTCATCTACTGTGGCTGGTCTTGTAGGTCTGTTTTATTTGCTGTAGGAGCCTTTGCCTGTGCTTGTAGCTATCACCGTAGCATTCAACACACCTCTGCTGTATCCCCTGAAGACGCCGAAACGTGGTATTCTCACCCCAAAGAGTTTCCACCCTGATAAGTTCCAGCAAGGCAGCCCAGCAGCTACGCCTGCAGACACTTGTTGGTAGGAAGAAGTGTCAGATGATCTGTAACACTGTGCGTTGATCCTGCATGTCTGAAGAACTTCACAGAATTGTCGCATGGTGAGCAGTGATACTAAGCAAAGCTGAGTCACCCGTAAGCTCCCAGGCCCTCAGCCCGGCAAGTAGGACGGTATTTTCACACCTCTGTTGATGAAGCACCTCAGATAGCTCAAGTTTTTGGAGACAGCCTCGTAGGAGTTTTAGTTTAACCATAATCTGCTTGCGGATCACTGATGTTTCCATGAGTCATTCCCTGAGATTGTAGTGAAGAAAACAGATACTATCCCATTCGCTTCTTTGCAAAATACCCACAAAGCCACATGCATTTTCATACTGAACATCTTGGGATACCATTTATTTTCCTGCAGGATTATATCATAGTTTAGGGTTGAGTGTGCCTCCAGGAGTCATCAGCTAAGCTTCCTGTTTTGTGGATAGAGAATACGGGAGGACATCTGATCCCCTATGACTGCCAGCATCAGGCCTGGGATTGTGGTTGTCCAATGGTGCTTTTAGGGGGCAAAAATGCACAGCTGTTTATTGAAACAACAAATGTTCCAGGCTGGGCACGGTGACTCACGCCTGTAACCCCAGCACTTTGGGAGGCCGAGGCGGGTGGATCACCTGAGGTCAGGAGTTTGAGACCAGCCTGGCTGTTATGGTGGAACCCTGTCTCTACTAAAAATACAAAAATTAGCCGGGTGTAGTGTTGGGCATCTGTAATTCCAGCTACTCAGGAGGCTGAGGCTGGAGAATCGCTTGAATCGAGGAGGTGGAGGTTGCAGTGAGTTGGGATTGCGCCACTGCACTCCAGCCTGGGCGACAGAGTAAGGGCAGGGAGGGCTCTCAGTCTGGTAGTCTCACCCAGGTGGTCCAGGGTTCCAGCACTGAGAGCCAGGATGCCAACTCCCAATGCATCATCAGCCTCCTCTTCAGCCATGCAGGAAGTCAGGGCTGGTCCCAGTGGTTAATCCAGACACCAGAGTGCATAGCATGGCCCTCCCCATGTCCAGCACACTGGCCTTTCACTGTACCATGTCCTCTTTCTCCCATTGGGTGGCCTGTGTTGCTTTCTCAATCTCCAAGTCTGTGTCAGCAAGGAAGTGTTCCATCCTTTACTGAGTCATGACCTGTCTGAGGCTGACAAGTGCCAGAGCTCATGTTATTCAGGCATATTTATAAGCAGGTGTTTTTATTTAAAGACTTAGTCCACATATTACAAGTATTCTGATGGACTCATCAAAGCAGATAGGGAAAGTTGGCCAGTCTCATTTTGAATGTTACGATGTAGCCGAACATTTACAAAACTGTCTTTGACTTTCTTTCTTTTTAATTTTACTCTAAGTTCTGGGATACATGTGCAGAACGTGCAGGTTCGTTACATAGGTGTGCGTGTGCCATGGTGGTTTGCTGCGCCTATCAACCAATCTTCTACGTTTTAAGCCCTGCATGCATTAAGTATTTGCCCTGATGCCCTCCCTCCCCTTGCCCCCAGCTCCCTGACAGGCCCCGGTGTGTGATGTTCCCTTCCCTGTGTCCATGTGTTCTCATTGTTCAACTCCCACTTATGAGTGAAAACAGGCAGTGTTTGGTTTTCTGTTCCTCTGTTAGTTTGCTGAGAATAACAGTTTCCAGCTTCATCCATGTCCCTGCAGAGGAGATGAACTCATCCTTTTTTATGGCTGCATAGTATTCCATAGTGTCTACATACCACATTTTCTTTATCCAGTCTTATCATTGATGGACATTTGGGTTGGTTCCAAGTCTTTGCTGTTATAAATAGTATTGCAATAAACATACGTGTTGAAATTTTTATTTTATCACGGTCAAACGCTTACCATGAGAGCCACCCTCTTGACAAAGTGTTACATGTATAATACGGTCTTGTTAACTCTAGGCACAACTGCTGTGGTGTGCACAGTTGTACCCAGACTGCAGAACTGATTCATGTTATATACCAAAACCTTATACTTGTGGAACAGCATCTCCCTACGTCCCTCTCTCCTCATCTTCTGAAAACCATCATTCTACTGTCTGCTTCTGTGAATTTGACTATTTTAGATTCTACATGTCAGTGACATCATGCGGTATTTGTCTCTCTGTGTCTGGTGTATTTCACGTTAACATCCCCCAGGTTCATCCATGTTGTGGCAAATGACAGAATTCCCTTCTTTTTAAGGCTGCGTGGTATTCCATTGTCTGTATGTACTGCATTTTCTTTCTTTTTTTGAGATGGAGTCTTGCTCTGTCACCCAGGCTGCAGTGCAGTGGCGTGATCTCGGCTCACTGCAACCTCCGCCTCCCAAGTTCAAATGATTCTCCTGCCTCAGCCTCTGGAGTAGCTGAGACTACAGGCACCCGCCACCATGCCCGGCTAATTTTTGTACTTCTTAGTAGAGACGGTGTTTCCCCATGTTGGCCAGGCTGGTCTCAAACTCCTAACTAACTGCAAGTGATCTGCCTGCCTCAGCCTCCCAAAGTGCTGGGATACCAGGCGTGGGCCACTGCACCTGGCCAATTACGTTCTTTTTTTATTTTTTTTCTTGAGACAGAGTCTCTGTCGCCCAGGCTGGAGTGCAGTGGCGCGATCTCGGCTTACTGCAAGCTCCACCTCCCAGGTTCACGCCATTCTCCTGCTTCAGCCTCCTGAGTAGCTGGGACTGCAGGCGCCTGCCACCACGCCTGGCTAATTTTTTTGTATTTTTAGTGGAAACGGGGTTTCACCCTGTTAGCCAGGATGGTCTCGATCTGACCTCGTGATCCGCCCGCCTCGGCCTCCCAAAGTGCTGGAATTACAGGCGTGAGCCACCTTGCTCAGCCCAATTACCTTCCGTTTAAGGCTGTAAAGTATCCCATTGTGTGTATTTACAGCATTTTCTTTATTTCTTTCTTTGAGACTGAGTGTCACTCTGTCGCCCAGTCTGGAGTGCAGTGGCGTGATCTCAGCTCACTGCAACCTCCGCCTCCCAAGTTCAAGTGATTCTCTTGCCTCAGCCTCCCAAGTAGCTGAGATTACAGGTGCCTGCCACCATGCCCGGCTAATTTTTGTACTTCTTAGTGGACACGGGGTTTCACCATGTTGGCTGGGCTGGTCTCAAACTCCTAACTAACTGCAAGTGATCCACCCGCCTCAGTCTCCCAAGGTGCTGGGATTCCAGGCACCGCGCCTGGCCCAACTACCTTCTTTTGAAGGCTGCATAGTATCCCATTGTGTGCGTGTACCGCATTTTCTTTTTTTTTTGTTTGAGACGGAGTGTCAGTCTGTCGCCAGGCCTGAGCCACCGCACCCAGCTGTACCGCATTTTCTTCATCCATTCATCTATTGAACGCTTGGGTTCATTCCATATCTTGGTGATTGTGAATACTGCTGCCATAAACATGGGGGTGCAAATGTCTCTCATAGACCGATTTATCTTTTGGATAAATACCTAGAAGCATGCTTGCTGGATCATCGAGTAGTTCTATTTTTAATTTTTTTGAGGAACGTCCGTACCATTTACTGTATTCACCCATTTCTGCAGGAAACAGTGGCAGAGGAACACAAGTTTTCTTCTTCCCTGTCCCAGCTGTGCAAAAAGAGACCCACAGCCGGGCGCGGTGGCTCATGCTTGTAATCCCAGCACTTTGGGAGGCTGAGGCAAGCGGAGCACCTGAGGTCAGGAGTTTGAGACCAGCTTGGCCAACGTGGTGAAATGTCGTCTCTACTAAAAATACAAAAATTAGCTGAGTGTGGTCGTGGGTGCCTGAAATCCCAGTTACGTGGGAGGCTGAGGAGGGAGAATACCTTGAACCTGGGAGGCGGAGGTTGCCGTGAGCCGAGATCGTGCCACTGCACTCCAGCCTGGGCAACAGGCTCTCTCAACAAAACAAAATAAAAAAAAAAAAAATAAAAATAAGAGACCCACAAGGGCTTTGGACCTCCTTTCTTTGCAAAACAAGAAAATAATATAGCAGACATTGGGCAGTTTTTCATTCTGACTTTCCAGTTTCATTTTTGCTTCTTCCTGTATGGTTGCTGCCTGGACCTCTTTCTTATTGCTGGGAGGTCTTTCCCCTGCCCCCATCCTTTTGAGCCTTTCTATCTACTTTTCTTTTGAAAGAAAGTAAATAAAACCCCACACATCCAGACAATAGGAGCGCACGCCTCAGAATTCTGGCTGCGAGGGACTGACCCCATCCAGAGAGAACGAACAAATGCATCAAAACCCTGGCTGCAAGCGACTGACCCCAGCTTGATCCACTTAAGCCAGAAGAGCCTTTGCTTCTATGTTTAATCTGCACCAAGCTTAGTGATCACTTTCTTCTCAGAGGCCAGAACACAGAGTCCAACCTTTCCAGGATGCCAGCTTCCTATCTCTGGGGTCTCCTCTTCCTGCAGAGAAGCTTTAGTCTCTTACCCGAGCTGCTTCTCTATTCTCTTTTGCCTTGCTTTGCCTATAATACTAACACACTGTCTTTTTCTTATGTTACGTTGGACTATCCCAAGGCAGGGACCCAATTGGCCTGGCTTGGGTTCCCTGCCTGACTGTGGGTTTGGCTGAGGAGTGGGCAGCAATTTCCAGCCGTTGGCACTGCCAGAACGCATGGGTGTATGGGGTTTCTGGAGGCAGCAGCTCTATAGTGAAGCAGATATGTAGGGGGTGTTCATTACCAAGACAGCAGTGATTGTCCACGAGCAGGGTGGTTCCAACAGGGAGCCTACAGTCTAACTGCAGATGGATGCTACCATTTTACATGTCCCATGTATGACATCCATGTACCGTATGTTGCTGGACACCGCATTATGGCAACTGAAAAACAAAAAGGCATTAAATGCCTGGGAAAATGTACAGCTCATTACATCTCATATGGTTTGGCTCTGTCCCCACTCAAATCTTATTTATTTATTTAGAGACAGAGTCTCGCTCACTCAGGCTGGAGTGCCGTGGCATGATCTCGGCTCACTACAGCCTCCACCTCCTGGGTTCCAGCGATTCTCCTGCCTCAGCCTTTTAATTAGCTGGGATTACAGGTGCCCGCCACCATGCACGGCTAATTTTTGTGTTTTTACTAGAGACGGGCTTTTGCCAAATTGGCCAAGCTGGTCTTGAACTCCTGAGCTCAGGTGATCCACCTGTGTTGGCCTCCCAAAGTGCTGGGATTACAGGCGTGAGCCACCGCGCCCGGCCCCAAATCTCATCTTGTATTCCCACCTGTTGTGGGAGGGACCCAGTGGGAGGTAACCGAATCATGGGGGCAGGTCTTTGCCCTGCTGTTCTCATGATAGTGAGTAAGTTTTATGAGATCTGATGGTTATTATAAAGGGGAGTTTCCTGCACATGCTCTCTTCTCTTGTCTGTCACAATGTGAGACGTGCCTTTCACCTTTTGCTTTCCACCATGATTGTGAGGCTTCCCCAGCCACGTGGAACTGTAAGTCCAGTTAAACCTTTCTTTTCTAAATTGCCCATTCTCAGATATGTCTTTATCTACAGCATGAAAACATACTTATACTTTATTTATCCATCCTTATCTATATCAAATACTATTTGACCATAGATTGTGTAAAGACAATATGGCACAGAGACACCATGGAATACTATGCAGCCATAAAAAAGAATGAGTTCATGTCCTTTGCAGGGACATGGATGAAGCTGGAAACCATCATTCTCAGCAAACTATCACAAGGACAGAAAACCAAACACCTCATGTTCTCACTCATAAGTGGGAGTTGAACAATGAGAACACATGGACACAGGGAGGGGAACATCACACACTGGGGCCTGTCGGGGAGTAGGGGACTGGGGGAGGGATAGCATTAGGAGAAATACCTAATGTAGATGACGGGTTGATAGGTGCAGCAAACCACCATGGCACATGGATACCTATGTAACCTGCATGTTCTGCACATGTACCCCAGGACTTAAAGTATTAAACAACAACAACAAAAAAAAAACCAGACTCATACAACATCCCTACAAACAGGAAAAATGGGGAGGGGAACATGGGAGTCACCTTGTAGTTTACTTAGATTTGCTGTGAGAAGAAGCTATGGGAGGCTTTCCAAAGGCTGCGGGAAGGATTTGGGCTATCTTCAGGAGATTGAGCTTGACAGCAGCTTCAAGGCGCCTTGTGGGAGGGGAGGCTGGGGGCAGGAAAATCAGGTGGGTGAAAAATACACTGATTTGCAGAGAAATGGTGCCAGCCTGGACTGTGAAAACAGAGACGAGAAAAACCACACTCGGCAATATTTGAGCACGTATTAAATCCTGGATGGCACATTGCATTTTTATGGATGTCATTCCTAAGAGATTCACAGTCAGGGGAAGATGGTACATAACAACTCGGGCATGTCAGATGCACCTCTGTAGCTGCGTGTCCAGATGCCATGGAGTGAGATGCCTGGTTTTGCTCATAGAGTTAGAAACATTATCAGAAAATACATGTATTTGAGTTAAATTTTAGAGAGTGAGTAGAAATTCATCGGGTCTACAAGGAGGCAAAGAGCTTTCCTGGATGAAATTCCTCCTTGGCGTTCACCTAAAACTTACTAATTTCTTACAGAACAAGGATACCACGGGAGGTGGGTGCCGCAGAACCAGGGAACTGTGTGTCTGAGTCAAGATACTGCAGAGAAATAGAACCAATATGATGTGTGTACTGATAGAAAGCACATTTATTTTAAGGAATTTTGCTCATATGGTGATGGAGGCTGGCAAGTCTCAAGATGTATGGGGTAGACCAGCCAGCTGGAGACCCAGGGAGGAGCTGATGATGTAGTTGGAGTCCAAAGTCCATCTGTTGGCAGAATCCCTTCTGGCTCAGGTAACATTAGTCTTCTGTTCTAGTCAGACCTTCAACTGATTGGACCAGGCCCACCCACCATAGGAAGGACAAATTGCTTTACTCAAAGTGTACTGATTTAGATTTTTTTTTTTTTTTTTTTGAGACAGAGTTTCACTCTTGTTGCCCAGGCTGGGGTACGATGCGATCTCGGTGCGATCTTGGCTCAATGCAACTTCTATCTCCCAGGTTTGAGCAATTCTTCTGCCTCATCCTCCCGAGTAGTTGTGATTATAGGCACACACCACCACGCCCAGCTAATTTATTTTTATTTTTTTGGTAGAGACAAGGTTTCACCATGTTGGCCAGGCTGATCTCAAACTCCTGACCTCAGATGATCCACCTGCCTCAGCTGCCCAAAGTGCTGGGATTATAGGTGTGAGCCACTGCACCCAGCCCAGTCTTTTGTTCTATTATGACCTTCAACTGATTAGACCAGGCCTACCCACCAATTCCTTTACTCAAAGTCTCCTGATTTCGATATTTATCTCATTTAAAGCAACCTCAAAGAAACACCCAGAAGAACATTTAATCACATATGTGGGCACCATGGCTCAGCCAAGTGGACTTATAAAATCAAGGATCAAGGGTGCCTCAGAACAAGAGTACCCAGACAGAACACAAGTTGGGCAGTATTTCAAGAGGCAGGGGAAGCCATGGAAGCTGCTCTGAGGGGACTTGTGATCAGGTGTGTATGTTAGGGAGGTCACTGTGGCAGCAGGGTATAGGGTAGACTGCAGGGGTCTTGTGGCCTCTGTCTCTGTCACAGGCCAAGTCATATTCAAATTTATAAAATTCAAAATTTTTACATCATTAATTTGAAATTTTATTAAATAAATACAGTATATATATATATATATATATATATATATATATATATATATATGCTTCTTTTTATATACTTTAAGTTCTGGGGTACATGTGCAGAACGTGCAGGTTTGTTACATAGGTATACATGTGCCATGGTGGGTTGCTGCACCCATCAACCCATCATCTACATTAGGTATTTCTCCTAATGCTATACCTCCACTAGCCCCTGACCCCCTGACAGACCCTGGTGTGTGATGTTCCCCACCCTGTGTCCATGTGTTCTCATTGTTCAACTCTCACTTATGAGTGAGAACATGTGGTGTTTGCTTTTCTGTTCTTGTGTTAGTTTGCTGAGAATGATGGTTTCCAGCTTCATCCATGTCCCTGCAAAGGACATGAACCCATCCTTTTTATGGCTGCATAGTATTCCATGGTGTGTCTGTGTACCACATTTTCTTTATCCAGTCTGTGGTCGTATAGTATTTCTGGTTCTGGATTCTTGAGGAATCGCCACACTGTCTTCCACAATGGTTGAACTAATTTACACTCTCAATAACAGTGTAAAAGCGTTCCTATTTCTCCACATCCTCTCCAGCATCTCTCGTTTCCTGACTTTTTTAGTGATCGCCATTCTAACTGGCATAAGTTGGTATTTCATTGTGGTTTTGATTTGCATTTCTCTAATGACCCGTGATGATGGGCTAAAAATTCAGAGAAAATGTAATAAAATGTTTAATCTAGCTCAAGTATCCTTCCTTTGTTGAATCAGTTTTCACCTTTTCTGTCTTTCCTGCTGGCTGGCTTGCTGGAGCCCGCTCTCATGAGTGGTGCAAGGTCAGAGATAGAAAACCAGGCCCATGTATGGTTGTGTCTTTTCACAAGTTCAGCCTTTTATTGATGCTATTTCAGTTTACAGAAGCCCCAAGATGCACGGAGTTTTCAAGGAGGCAATTCTCCTTAGGACTTCCCATTTAGTACTGAAATGGCTTGAGCCCTTGGAGTACTGGAGCCTGTGTGCCGGCAGCATTTAGTCAGAGCTACAGGCGCACAGGCTCCTGCTGTGACCCAAGTCAGTCAGTATTGCAACCTATACATACTAATACACTTCACCAATATATGCATGTTATAGATTAAACATTCTACATCAAACAACGTAACATTTATCATCAAGAGAAAAGGGGTAGGAAAAAGCTTAACAAAGGAGCACAGGGATATTGATGTGGACAAAAAAAAGTCTCCTGGCCTGGCCCTGGAGGGCCATCAGTGGTCGCCATCTTGCAAGGAAGAGCCTTTGATATCAGTGGGGCAGAGCCTTTTGCGGTGGATGCTGCGTAATGATTACAAGTGACAGCAAGATGGCATCTGTTAAGGTAGCCATTTGGAGCTGCTGAAGCCCTGTTCTTTCATGACCACAGAGTCCTCTGGTGAGGATTGACAATGGAAGAGGGTGTTTGGTTGTGTCCTTAACTGTTTGGATGTGGTCTTTATTGATCAGGTGAACATCTGGCTCCTGTAGGCATGATGCCTTTTGAATGAAATGTAACATGGAATCTTTTTCTAAGGTGGAGTCACTTATGTCAAGCGTGCTCTACACACTCACTGTAAGAATTAAAGAGGAAAGAAGCATGAAATGTCACTTGACAGTTAAACACAGGTTTATTTTAGAGAAACCTGAGAGGGGCTTCTGGCTGAGTTAGGTCAGAGCTCTTCTCTCTTATAGACTAAGCACATTTAAGGGTTTTGGAAGGGGGTGCTTATCATAGGTTCAGAATGTTTGTATGTGAGGGAGAGTTTATTGCAGGGTTGAATATCTCTGGTCAGAGGGGAGGCTGTCTCAGGGTTGGTATGTTTTTGGTCGGAGACGGGTTTATCTTAGGGTTGGAATGTTTCTGGTTATGCTGACATGAGTCATGAGGCTGATGTTTTCGGGCTGGATTTAGGCGGTTTTTAATCAAGGGGAGCCTAGAATGGTGGTGTTTGTTCAAGATGGCCATGCTCCCGCTCTGTCACCCACAACCTGAAGACCGTTATCATATTGATTTTGTATCTCCTGTGCGTACCTGATGGAGAATGACTGAATGTTTGAATTAAAAGACTCAGGGAGAAGGCAAAGTTGTGTTTAAGTTGCAAGTTGAAAAAAACAATCCATTGGCTCTGTTAGCAGCTATTAGAGAGGTTGGGGCGGGAGCAGAGTCTGTAGCTTAACTTTGCTTTTGTTATGTCGATGCTATGAGCGTGGGAATCATGGAAACTGTGAATAAATGGAAGAGAGTCTGTCAGTGACCTACTGCTGCATCTTGGGCCAGCCCAGGCATCCGTGAGTGTTCAGGGAGACCTCGGGAGAGTTCTCAGGCAGAAACTAGCCACTCACATGCTTGTCATCTGCGGGGTTGACATGGTGGGCTATTTTTATGCTCAGACACTTGGGAGAAAGGGCAGGCTGTACCCAAAGGCAGATAAGTGCTGGCCAGATGGGCTTGCTGGGCACCGTCGAACTCATGGTCACCGTCCTGCCCAGGAGCTAGAAATAGAACTAGCCCCGGGACAATCCGTGAGGTATCAGGTGAGTATGGCCCGATACATGTGACTCAGAGACACAAGGAGTGAGGGTGTGTGCTCTGTCTCAATGAGAGAAGAGAGAAGTCAGGGCTTGCTTTGGCAACACCAAATGCAGATATCAGACTCCTATTCAGAAACCAGAATTCTCATCTCAGCATTTATTTTCTGGATATGTGGCCGACAGATAGGCATCTCTGTTTATAATGCCTTTAATTTTGATCTTGACAAGGACTAGAGGAAGCTCTTACTGAACCTTCACGCCCACAAACAAAAGCTTCTAAATCGGCCGGGCGAGGTGGCTCACGCCTGTAATCCCAGCACATTGGGAGGCCGAGGCGGACAGATCACCTGAGGTCAGGGGTTTGAAACCAGCCTGGCCAACATGGTGAAACCCCATGTCTACTAAAAATACAAAAAATTAGCCGGGAGTGGTAGCGGGCATCTGTAGTCCCAGATACTTGGGAGGCTAAGGCAGGAGAGTTACTTGAACCCAGGAGGTAGAGGTTGCGGTGAGCTGACATCACGCCATTGCGCTCCAGCCTGGGCAGTAAGAGTGAAACTCCATTTAAAAACAAAACAAAACAAACAAAAAAACTTCTAAATCACATTCAGGAAGCATTTTGTAATATTTTATTTCTTATCAGGGAGCATTTTGTAATATTTTATTTCTTCTCAACCCCTGTAGTGGATTGAATGGTGCCTCTATTTTACCCCCACCCCCACCAAAAAAAAAAAAAAGACAAGTTCACCTTGAATCTGTACATGTGATTTTTTATTTGGAAATAAGGTCTTTGCAGATGTAAAAAAGGATCTGGAGATGAGATCATCCTGGATTGCAGTGGATCCTAAATCTAATGACAGGTGTCCTTGTAAGAGACGGAAGAGGAGACACAGACACAGAGGAGAAGGCCACGTGGAGACGGAGGCAGAGACTGGAGTGATGCGGCCATAAGCCCAGGGATGCCTGGAGCCCCCAGGAGCTGGGAGAGGCAGGAAGAATTCTTCCCTAGAGCAGGGAGCATGTCCCTGTAGGCACCTCGATTTCACAGATGTAGTCTCCAGGACTGGGAGAGGTTAAATGGCTGCTTTTGTAAGCTCCCTAGTTTGGGGTCATGGGTTACAGTGGTCCCATCCCAACCTGTAAGCTCTGGAGAACATGAGTCTGGAATGCAAGCGTGTGCGGTGATTCAGCTTGATGCCTGTGGTGGGAAAAGAGCCCCTTGTATTATGGCTTCCTGCTGTGTGTAAGTAAAACCAGTCCTCTGAGGAAATCAAAGCCCAGTAAACCCGTGCACCCTAACTTCCCAGGATCGCAAACTGGAGAGAGAGCGGCAGCCATTTTCTCCCCCTGCCTTGATTTGCTGAACCTGCCACCCGTGCAGCATTTCCCAGGAGGCTAACCTGGTGATATTGTCCATTCTTGGTCCTCCGCAATGCAGGCAATATTCGTTGCTCAGCTCAAATGCTTGCGTCTCCTCTTTCTTCTCTCCACCTGCAAAACATCTTTTCATAGGTCCCATTGGGAACACCAGCTCGTTGGCTGGTATTTCCACACTCTTTTTCCTTCCTTTTGTTGCTTCATCTACCTCTGATTTGCCAGTTGTCTGATGTCTCCTCTCACGAGCCTATCTTTCTCCCAAGCCTAGTAGACACGAACCATTGAAAGCATCCTTGAATGACAAAAGTCCAAATATCAATTTGCAAGGTGAAGACTGTGGCTTTTATTATTTGTTCTCAATGGCGGGTGTCTGGCGGGGAGTCCAGTCGCCTGACGTTGAATGCAGTCATTTCCTAGGTGTGGGTCAAGATTCTGATGTCCACAGGCAATAATGTCCGTGAACGTGTGTATGTACCTTGATGGACATTACTGACTGTGGACTCCAGAACATTGGACATTGTATATATTGATGGACATCATATATATATATACACACACACACACAGACAGACGCACACACACACCATGGAATACTACACAGCCACAAAAAAGAATGAATTAACAGCATTTGCAGTGACCTGGATGAGACTGGAGACTATTACTTTTTTTATTATTATACTTTAAGTTCTGGGGTACATGTGCAGGACGTGCAGTTTTTGTTACATAGGTATACATGTGCCATGGTGGTTTGCTGCACCCCTCAACCCGTCATCTACATTAGATACTTGTCCTAATACTATCACTCCCCTAGCCCCCCACCCCTCGACAGGCCCCAGTGTGTGATGTTCCCCTCCCCGTGTCCATGTGTTCTTATTGTTCAGCTCCCACTTATGAGTGAGAACATGTGGTGTTTGGTTTTCTGTTCTTGTGTTAGTTTGCTGAGAAGAATGGTTTCCAGCTTTATTAAAAGTCAGGAAACAACAGATGCTAGAGAGGATGTGGAGAAATAGGAATGGTTTTACACTGTTGGTGGGAGTGTAAATTAGTTCAACCATTGTGGAAGACAGTGTGGGGATTCCTCAAGGATCTAGAACCAGAAATACCATTTGACCCAGTAATCACATGACTGAGTATATACCCAAAGGATTATAAATCATTCTACTATAAAGACACATGCACACGTATGTTTATTGTGGCACTATTCACATAGCAAAGACTTGGAACCAACCCAAATGCCCATCAATGATAGAATGTATAAAGAAAATGTGGCACATAGACACCATGGAATACTATGCAGCCATAAAAAAGGACAAGTTCATGTCCTTTGGAGACTATTACTCTAAGTGAAGTAACTCAGGAATGGAAAACCAAACATCGTCTGTTGTCACTGATACGTGGAAGCTAAGCTATGAGGACACAAAGGCATGAGAATGATACAATGGACTTTGGGGACTTGGGGAGAGCTTGGGAGGGGGCAGCGAGGGATAAAAGACTACAAATAGTGTGGAATGTGTACTGCTTGGGTAATGGGTGCACCAAAATCTCACAAATCACCACTAAAGAACTTACTCGTGATCGGATGTGGTGGCTCACACCTGTAATCCCAACAGTTTGGGAGGCTGAGGCGAGCGGATTACCTTAAGTCAGGAGTTCAAGACCAGCCTGGCCAACATGGTGAAACCCTGTCTATACTAAAAATACAAAAGGAATTAGCCAGGCCTGGTGGCACACACCTGTAATCCCAGCTGCTTGGGAGGCTGAGGTAGGAGAATTGCTTGAGCGTGGGAGGTGGAGGTTGCAGTGAGCCGAGATCATGCCACTGCGCTCCAGCCTGGCTGACAGAGCGAGACTCTGTCTCAGAAAAAAATAAAAAGAACTTACTTATATAACCAGATACTGCCTGTAACCCAATAAGTTATGGAAAATTAAAGAAAAACACACAAAAAGAGTATATTCAGGATCACTTAAGTAAGCATGATACTACATCACATCTCGTTGCGGAAATTATATGGATTATCATTCCATGAGTGTACCAGCTTCCGGAAGTTTCTGAGCTCATATGGGGAGTGGGAAGTAGGTGGTCTCGTGGGAACTGCAGGGCTGGCCCCTTGTCAGGACGGTCATCACTAGTGACATAAATACCCCATGGTAGAGAGAGCTGGGGTGTCTTCGTCGGTTTTGTGTCACTAGAAAGGAACACTGGAGGCTGGATAATTTATAGAGGAAAGAGGTTTATTTGGGTTATGATTCTGCAGGCTGTACAAGAAGCACAGGGCCAGCATCTGTCTCTGCTGAGGACCTCAGGAGGCTTCCACTCATGGTGGAACGGGAAGGGGAGCTGGTATGTGTACAGAGACCACACGAAGAGACAGGAGGGAAGACAGACGGGAGACGCCAGGCTCTATTTAACAACCAGCCTGTGGAGAACTCATAGAGTAAAAACTCACTCATGCTTCAAGAAAGGACATTGATCTCTTCAGGAAGAATCCATCGTCCGTTGCTCAAACCCCTCCCATTCGACCTCCCATCCAGCACTGAGGCTTACATTTTAACCTGAGTTTGGGAGAGGAGGAATTTTAAAGCAGAGCCTGTAGATTCTAAAGCAAAATATTCTGGGTCTCCTGCTTGTAGAATGGTTGTGAGTGTGACTTCCTTTTTCTATTTTTATTTTATTTTTTTGAAACAGAGTCTCGCTCTGTTGCACAGGCTGGAGTGCAATGGCACTGTCTCGGCTCGCCGCAACCTTCATCTCCCAGGTTCAAGCGATTCTCCTGCCTCAGCCTCCCAAGTAGCTGGGATTACAGGCGCGCACCACCATGCCTGGCTAATTTTTGCATTTTTAGTAGAGACGGGGTTTCACCATGTTGACCAGGCTGGTCTTGAACTCCTGACCTCGGGTGATCTGCTGGCCTCGGCCTCCCAAAATGTTGGGATTACAGGCATGAGCCACCATGCCTGGCCTGGGATTGTTATTTCTAAATGATTCCAGCTTTTTTTTTTTTTTTGTCTCAGCTGAGGCACAGCGGTGGAACTTGTCGTCTTATCATTGACTTGTTATGTTCATGAAGGACTTGGAAAACCAACGCTGATCCTCAGAGTAACAGCATAGATCCTCACAAGACAGTCTATGAAGCTGGAGCCCCCTGGGTTGTAAAATGCCTCCGCACCCCGTCTCTGTTTCTGAAGAAGGAAGCTCTGCTGAGCAGCTAAACATGACGTGCTTGTTAAGTGTGCATTGGTTAAAGAACAGATGAAGGTACAGGCTCAGTCTCCAAAACTTCATTATACAATCTCACAGATGAGTAGCACCGTTCAGCATTGAGTGACACCTACTTTCCCGTCTCCAGGTGGTTAGATATCATCATCTCCAATTTAAGGCCCATCTAAGAGGTGCACCTTTTCTCGATCCTGAGGCTCAAGTGTCTAAACAGCAACTGTAAATTTTCTCCAATCAGTGTTTCTCCCCTGTGTGGAAATAAATTCGCATCCTTGAAGTTCAGCTCTCTCCTTCATTTTACAAAAAAACAAAAAACAAAAAAACTTGTTTTAAGCAAGATTAAAAGTGAATTTTCTATTAGCAGTAATTTTATATCACTCCCTGTCTTGCTTCTTTTGCACTCACTGAATTGAAGAGAACGATATGAAATTGCCTGGAAATAAAAATGAAAGTGCTTCTCAGAGCCAAACAACACTACTCGTGTGAAAGAATATAGAATGAAAGTTTGAAGTGTCCATCAGTCCTGAACCTGGGATGATCCTGTCCTGATATCCTTAACGAGAATGCATCTACCAAGACCCTATTCGCAAATCAGTTCACATTCACGGTGTTTGGGGGTTAGGACTTGGGCATGTCATTACGGGAAATAGCTTTGTTGGCTTTTCTGGTTTTACATAGAAAGAGCAATAAAGGTCAGCCGCGGTGGCTCACGCCTGTAATCCCAGCACTTTGGGAGGCCGAGGTGGGTGGATCATGATGTCAGGAGTTCAAGACCAGCCTGGCCAACATGGCGAAACCCCATTTCTAATGCAAGCAGGGCTTAAAACCTAGATGACGGGTTGATGGGTGCAGGAAACCAGCATGGCACATGTATACCTATGTAACAAACCTGCATGTTCTGCATATGTATCTTGCAACTTAAAGTAAAATAAATCTATCTATCTATATCTATCTATCTATCTTAGGGCTGCTGTAATAAACGACCACACACTTGGAAGTCTTAAAGCCACAACAAGTTTATTCTTTTCCAGTCCTGGAGACCAGAAGTCTGAAATAACGATGTGGGCAGTACTGTGCTTCCTCTGGAGGCTCACTTGAACCTGGGAGGCAGAGGTTGCAGTGAGCCAAGATCATGCCTTTGCACTCCAGCCTGGGCAACAACAGCAAAACTCCGTCTCAAAAAAAAAAAACAAAACAAAAAACAAAATACCGTGAATATGTTCTCTAAATTAATCTCACAGCATGGGAGAAGGTGAACAGGATACCCCAGTACTGATGACAAGTATTATGGGATGGAAAAGAGAACTGGCATTCTTCTTTGCTGGCAACACAACCTGTTTTTGTTGATGTGAAGGCAGTTAACCTTGTTGCTAGATAAATGTTACTGCAGATGTCTGACGTAATGAGAATGCGTTATCCACAGCAAAATGCTTTTGAAAAAGAAACTGCAGGGAACTTCACAGTGAGTGACTAAGACTCACTACTGCAGTCTGGCGTGGTGGCTCACGCCTGTAATCCCAGCATTCTGGGAGGGTGAGGCAGGCGGATCATGAGGTCAGTAGATCGAGACCATCCTGGGCAACAGGGTGAAACCCCGTCTCTACTAAAAGTACAAAAAAACTAGCTGGGCATGGTGGCGGGCGCCTGTAGTCCCAGCTACTTGGGAGGCTGAGGCAGGAGAATGGCTTGAAATTGAGAGGCGGAGGTTGCAGTGAGCCGAGATCACGCCACTGCACTCCCTGGTACCAGAGCAAGACTCTGTCTCAACGACAACAAAAAAACAAAAACAAAAACAAAAGCATGATATTAAAGACACTGTGCTCCATGACTCAGAAGTTGAAAGAGCTACTTTGAATCTGCAAATGATACCTCCATGGATGTCGCCTAAGTTCATGAAAGATGGAAGCATAGTGACAGTAACAATAATTTAAGAAGGTTTGAAAGGAAAATCTTGGGGTCCCCAAATCACTAAGCTCAAGGGAAAAGTCAAGCTGGGAACTTCTCAGAGCAAACTTGCCTCCCGTTTTATTCAAAGTTACTCCTGGCCAGGTGCGGTGGCTCACGCCTGTAATCCCAGCACTTTGGGAGGCCAGGGCAGGCAGAACACGAGGTAAAGAGATCAAGACCATCCTGGCCTATATGATGAAGCCCCATCTCTACTAAAAATATTTTAAAAACTAGCTGGGCATGGTGGCGGGCACCTGTAGTCCCGGCTACTCGGGAGGCTGAGGCAGGAGAATGGCTTGAACCTGGGAGGCTGAGGTTGCAGTGAGCCGAGGTCGCGCCACTGCACTCCAGCCTGGTGCCAGAGCAATACTCTGTCTAAACACACACACACACACACCCCAAAAAAATAATGAATGCAACCATTTGTCTCTTATCCACCTATGACCTGGAAGCCCCCTCCCCACTTCGAGTCGTCCCCGTGTTTCTGGATGGAACCAGTGTACCTCTCAACATATATTGATTGATGTCTCATGTCTGCCTAAAATGTATAAAACCAGCGTGTGCCCTGACCACCTTGGGAACATGTCGTCAGGACCACCTGAGGCTGTGTCATGGGTGCGTCCTCAACTGTGGCAAAATAAATTTTTCTTTTTTTTTTTTTTTGAGATGGAGTCCTACTCTGTTGTCCAGGCTGGAGTGCAGTGGTACGATCTCGGCTCACTGCAACCTCCACCTCCCTGGTTCCAGCGATTCCCCTGCCTCAGCCTCCTCAATAGCTGGGATTACAGGTGCCCGCCACCATGTCCAGCTAAAGTTTTTTTTGCATTTTTAGTAGAGACGGAGTTTCACCATGTTGGCCAGACTTGTCTTGAGCTCCTGACCTCAGACAATCCGCCCGCCTCGACCTCCCAAAGTGCTGGGATTACAGGCGTGAGCCACCACGCCCGGACTTAACTTTCTAAATTAACTGACACCATCTCAGATATTCAGGGTTCACAAAGGCTTGGAGGGGCCTGCAAATATATACAATTATAGAATTAAATAGTGATGGATAGAGTCCCTTATTCAAAAATACTGTTATAAATTAAGTTAAAATATTAAAGTCAAAGAAACTTCACACCCATAATCGCAATGCTTTCAGAAGATGGAGGATTATTTTGAGCTCAGGACTTTGAGAGCAGCTTGGGCAACACAGCAAGATGCCATTTCTACAAAAATTTTTCAAAAATAGCTGGGCATGGTGGTGTGTACATGTGGTCCCAGCTACTGGGGAGGTTGAGGCGGGAGGATCACTTGAGCCCAGGAGTTTGAGGCTGCAGTGAGATGTGCTCAAATCACTGCACTCCAGCCTGGCTGAGAGACCAAGACCTTATCTCTTAAAGAAAGAAAATAGGCGGCTGGGTCCGGTGACTCACGCCTGTAATCCCAGCCAGGGCACGCGAATCACCTGAGGTCAGGAGTTCGAGACCAGTCTAGCGAACATGGTGAAACTCCGTCTCTACTAAAAATACCAATATTAGCCAGGCATGGTGGCAGGTGCCTAGAATTCCAGCTACTTGGGAGGCTAAGGCAGGGAGAATCACTTGAACCTAGGAGGTGGAGGTTGCAGTGAGCCAAGATCATGCCATTGCACTCCAGCCTGGGTGACAGAGTAAGACTGTGTCTCAAAAAAAAAAAGCATACTTTTGAGTTAAAACAACAGAATTACCATTCAACCCAGCAACCATTCCTGGGTACATACCTAAAGAAATACCAATTATTCTACCGTAAAGACACTTTTGCACATGAATGTTCATTGCAGCATTATTTGCAATAGCAAAGACATGGGAATTAAGCTAGATACCCATCAGTGGTAGACTGGGTAAAGAAAATGTGGTACATGTACGTCGTGGAATACTGTGCAGCTGTAAAAAAGAACAAGATCTTATTATTTTTTGCAGGAACATGGATGGAGCTGGAGATCATTGTCCTTAGCAAACTAATACAAGAACATAAAAGCAAATATCGCATGTTCTCACTTATAATTGGAAGTTCAACATTGAGTAAAGGTGGCCTCAAAGAAAGGAACAACAGACATTGGGGTCTGCTTGAGGGTGAAGGGTGGGAGGAGAGGGAGGATTAAAAAGCTGCCTATTGGCCGGGCGCAGTGGCTCACACCTGTAATCCCAGCACTTTGGGAGGCCGAGGTGGGCAGATCACGAGGTCAGGAGTTCGAGACCAGCCTGGCCAAGATGGTGAAACCCTGTCTCTACTAAAAATACAAAAATTAGCCAGGCAGAGTAGCAGGCATCTGTAATCCCAGCTACTCGGGAGGCTGAGGCACAAGAATCACTTGAACCCATGAGGCGGAGGTTGCAGTGAGCCGGGATCGCACCATTGCACTCAAGCCTGGGCGGCAGAGTGGCACTCTGTCTCTACTGCATATCAGATATTGTGCTGATTATGTGGGTGACAAAATAATCTGTACACCAAACTCCCATGTCACGTAATTTGCCTGTGCAACAAACCTGCACATGGACTCCTCCCGAATCTAACATACAAGTTTAAAAAAATACATGTTTGTACAGCTGCACCACGTGTGTATGTGTTTTAAGCTATGTGTTATGATGACTCAAAAACGTTCAAAAAATTAAAAGGTGTTAAAGTTATAAAAAAGAATAAAATGCATCACACTTTTCAAATCATGAAATACCTTTTTTTACCCATCGTGAATGTAAACATTGACACCAATGGGAAGCTTGAGTATTGTGTCCATTTTACAGGGCAAGAAAACAGGGGAATGGGTAAATAGCAAAACGAGCAAAGAAATGAGTAGGCAAAGGCCCATCACCTATTTCTTTGTGGATGTCTTTGTTGAACTTTTTTTCAACAAAATGAAACCAAGCCCCCTGATTGTTAGTTACCTCACGCCCATAGTCTTGGCCAGTGAGTCTTTTCGTAAAATGGTACTCACCGCAGAGTACATTCTGAATACACGTTAGACAACGATGACCAGGAAAATTCCTGAGTTTTTGATCGATCACATTCCTGGCCAAATCAGATGGATATTTAAGACCTCAGTGTGCCCTTTGCAATCTTGCAACTCCTGCTTTGGTTCTCTGGAAGAAATCTTCTTGTCGAAGATTCTTACTAAAACTCAATGGGTTAAAATGCAAAGATCTTATTTGTTGCATAGAATCAAGACTCTGGGTCAATACCTGGCAGAGTGACTGGAGGCTGCATTGGGGTGGACTGTTTTTAGACGGCAGGTCAGGCCCCAGAGAGAGGTAGTTGGGTGGGAAACATAAGTCCTATTTCTAATGCACAGTTGTTGTGCCTCCTCTGGATATCCAAATGTTTGGCACAATCTGTTTTCCTAGAATCCCAGCTGACATAGAGCAGCTAATGCTCACATACTGTCATCCAGCCAGTGGCTCATTTAGCCAATTAACACGCTGATTTCAAAAGCATTGTGAAAATATCACTGCACACACTAACTAGCTTCTGACCATCCCTTCCCTTCCCTTCCTGGCATATTTCTCCAGCGTAATCTCTGCTCATAGCCTTTCTTACGAGCTACCCACACCCTTGAGCTTCACAGGACCCATTCAGTCTGTTTGTGTTTTCTCCCCGACCTTTCAGCAATGTCACCATGATCTTTTCAAGAATCTTTTTCTTTGCTTCTCCTGACAAATGCATCATCCTTCTGAGCAATAAACAGAGGAATTGGCAAAGTTAATAATGTCGTTATTGAGCACTTAGTGAATGGTGAGCATTATGCTAAGACTGTTTTGTGGTGTATCCATACACCATTCCAACGATATATATTTTTTAATTTAAGCATACTTTATTGGTAAACAATACTAACAATTATCTGAACATTTCGCGAGTCAAAACCTTATTGCTGGTGGAGAGTCTTGCCTCAATGTTGCTGGCTGTGGACTGATCAGGGTGGTGGTTGCTGAGGGTAGAGGGTGCTTTGGCAATTTCTTAAAATAGACAACAGTGATGTTTGTCACATCAGTTGACCCTTTCTGTCATGAAAGATTTTTCTGTATCAAGCGATGCTGTTTGATAGGGTTTTACCCAGAGTAGAACTTTTTTCAAAATTCGAGTCAGGGCCGGGCGTGGTGGCTCACGCCTGTAATCCCAGCACTTTGAGAGGCCAAGGCAGGTGGATCACCTGAGGTCAGGAGTTTGAGACCAGTCTGACCAACATGGTGAAACCCCATCTCTACTAAAACTACAAAAAAATTAGCTGGGCATGGTGGCGGGCACCTGTAATCCCAGCTACTCGGCAGGCTGAGGCAGGAGAATCGCTTGAACCTGGGAGGTGGAGGTTGCAGTGAGCCAAGATCGCGCTATGGCACTCCAGCCTGGGCAACAAGAGCAAAACTCCGTCTCAAAAAAAAAAAAAAAAAAAAAAAAAAAACCAAAAAACCTTCCTGAAAGGATTCCTCATTCTGAATGCCATTTAGAACCTTGGTGATTCATGGCAGGAAGTTAAGATATCCACATTAACAGAAATCGGGAAAAAGTGAATTCCAATATTCATGAATGACATTGAGGGGGTTCAAGACTTCAGTGGAGGAAGTCACTTCTGCTATGGTGAAAATAGCAGAAGTAAAGGTGCAGGTTGAAGATGGGGCTGAACTCCTGTAATCTCATGATAAAACTGGAATGGAAGAGGAGTTTCTTCTCATGAAGGAGCAGAGAAAATGGTTTCTTGAGATAGATACTATTCTTGGGCCCATTTCACTGATGAGAAAACTGAGGCCTCTCCAGGTTGAAGGGTACAACTACCAAGTGTGGGAGTCTGGGCTCTACCCCATTACTGGACATCTCCAGAGCCTGTTCTCCCTTCTGCTAAGTTTGCGGGTCGCTCAACATTGTCTCCTTGGACGTGTGATAAGTCTTCCTGCTCCTCCTTCATCAGTCTTTAACATTTGAGAGACATTTAGAGTGGCCTGGACCAGGCTCTTTGCTCATTCTCTTTTCTTCTACTGAGGCCTCTTTCACAAGTAGGTTTTCTCATCTCTCTCTTCTTTCATTTATTCTCTCCTTCATTCTCTCTTTCTCATTCTCTTATTCTCTCTCCCTGTCTTCTTTCCTCTTCTCTTCCCTCCTCTTCCCCTCCTACTTCTTCCTTCCCCTCCTTCTCCTGCCCCTCATCTCCTCCTACTTCTCCTCCTCCTTCTCCTTCTTCTCCTTCATCTTCTTTCGTTTCTTCTCCTTCCCTTTCTCTCCTCCTCCTTCTCCTTCTCCCTTTCCTTCCCTTCCCCTCTCTTCCCCTCCCCTTCCCTCCCCTCCCCTCCCTTCCCTTCCCTTTTCTTTTCTTTTTTTTTTTCTTTCACGGAGTCTCACTCTGTTGCCAGGCTGGAGTGCCGTGGCGCGATCTCAGCTCACTGCAACCTCTGCCTCCCCGGTTCAAGCGATTCTTCTGCCTCAGCCTCCTGAGTAGCTGGGATTACAGGCATGCACCACCCTGCCCAGCTAATTTTTGTATTTTTAGTAGAGATGGGGTTTCACCATGTTGGCCAGGATGATCTCAGTCTCCTGACCTCGTGATCCACCTGCCTCAGCCTCCCAAAGTGCTAGGATTACAGGCATGAGACACCGCACCTGGCCCCTTCTACTTTTTTTTTCCCTTCTCCTTCACCTCCTCTTCCCCCTCCTCCTGCTTCTCCTCCTCCTCTTTCACCTCCTCCTCCTTCCTTTCTCCTCCTCCTCCTTCCTTTCTCTCTGTCTCTCTCTCTCTCTCTCTCTCCCTCCCTCCCCCCCCCCCCCCCCCCCCCGCCGTCTCTCTGCTTCTCTCTCATTCACTCTCATTGACGTCCATATCCAAATTTTTGGAATCGCAGTGCTGCCCTCTTAGTTCTTTGTCATGAACCATCTGTTGCCCTTGGATTGTTTTACCTTTTGTATCCTTGGCAGCTTGACATACCCATGGTCTAAGCAAGAGTGTTTTCTCTGAAAGTGCAGGCATGAGCTGATACTTGTGTGTTTCATCCATTATCAGCACTGTTTTATGCATGTAAGGAGGGTGTGTGGCATTTGCTTCGTGGGTTGTAGGAAGGGACACCCAGGAAACAAACAACTAAAGTGAAGCTTTCCTGCGGGCTAGGATTTGAAGGTCATACTAATGTCCTTCGAGAGAGTTAATGTCAAGAATTGGTGTGACCAAACAGTGGTGGATGTCATAGTGTTTTCCTCTTTTCATAGGTTCACTTTTCAAATGAGACAGTAGCCATGAGGGACCATCCATGCAGGCTGAGACTAGTCTTCAGGAAAATATCTATGCCTAGTAGTTTCAGAAAGGTTAGGGTTGCATAGATGTACCCACCTGTCCATCCTGATCCTTACTCTAAATTCGACCTCTTCTATCATTGCTTTCACCATCACTGTCTTGTTGGTGATGGGCCCAGCTTCGAGAAACTCAGATCTGCCTCAGTGCTGCTGGAGCTGGAGAGCTGGAAGAAAACCAATATGGCGTTTGAACCGCACAATCCAAAAGTATTGTAGCAGCACTGATTCATAGGTTCCTTCTCAGTAGAACCTCTTTTGAATTCCTCCAAACAAAGCCTTCTATTTGAGCCATGGCCCTTGAGTAGACCGATGTCATGGACTATTAGAGTATGCTATTGGTGCTCCAGCTACCCATGGCCAACCACCAGGCATTACTTAGGTAGAGCCCCACTGCCTGGCCTATGCACCAGGCATCAACATGAGGTTTCATAAATACCTGGGAGTACAAGTGCAGAATCTCTGTTGAAAGAATGCAATACTCTTTTTATTTCTTCACCGAATAATTAAATAATTTTTATTTCTTCATTAAAGGGCAATTGAAGAGAAGACAACATGTCTCTCTTAGTAGGTACCATCCCCGAGTAGAACTCATCCTCCTCTGTGCAAAGATTCCCATTGTTCAGATCACTCTAATGCTTTGAGGAAAACCTCCCCACAGTGTAACATACAGAACACTCTTCCGGGGGTTATGGCAGATGCTGGAGTCTCTTCTACCACCACCTAAAGATGCTGGGGTACTCTGCAACACCACCTGAGGAAAGGAACAGGATGAAACACCTGTTGTATTAGTCACCTAGGGCTGCCATGACAAAATACTACAGGCTGGGCCGCTTAAACAGCAGACTTTTATTTTCCCACAGTTCTGAAGGCTGGAAGTCTGTGAGATCAAAGTGTGGGCAGGGCTGGTTCTTCCTGAGGCCTCTCTGCTGGGCTTGTAGACACCGTCTTCTCCCTGTGTCCTCATAGGGTCGCCCCTCTGTGTGTGTCTGTGTCCTCATCTCCTCTTATGAGGTGTCTTAGTCCATCTCAGGCTGCTATCACAGAATACCATAGACTGGGTGACTTATAAACAACAGACATTGATTCTCTCACAGTCCTGGAGGCTGGAAGTCTGAGATCCAGGTATGGGCAGGGCTGGTTCCTCCTGAGGCCTCTCTCCTGGGCTTGGAGACGCCATCTTCTCCCTGTGTCCTCACAGGGTTGTCCCAATGTGTGTGTCTGTGTCCTCATCTCCTTTTCTTATGAGGTGTCTTAGTCCATTTCAGGCTGCTATCACAGAATACCATAGACTGGGTGGCTTGTAAACAACAGACGTTTATTCTCCCACAATCCTGGAGGCTGTAAGTCCAAGATCAAGGTGTAGGCAGGGCTGGTTCCTCCTGAGGCCTCTCTTGTAGGCTTGTAGATGCCATCTTCTCACTGTGTCCTCGCAGGGTCGTCACTCTGTGTGTCTGTGTCCTCATCTCCTCCTCTTTTTTTTTTTGAGACGGAGTCTCGCTCTGTCGCCCAGGCTGGAGTGCAGTGGCGGGATCTCGGCTCACTGCAAGCTCCACCTCCCAGGTTCAAGCGATTTTCCTGCCTCAGCCTCCCAAGTAGCTGGAACTACAGGTGCGTGCCACCATGCCTAGCTAATTTTTTCTATTTTTAGTAGAGATGGAGTTTCACCGTGTTAGCCAGGATGGTCTCGATCACCTGACCTCGTGATCCACCCACCTCAGCCTCCCAAAGTACTGGGATTACAGGCGTGAGCCACCACACCCGGCCTCATCTCCTCTTCTTATAAGCATCCCAGTCTTCTCGGATTAGGGGCCTCCCTGGTGACTTTGTTTTACCTTAATCACCTCTTTAAAGACTATCTCCAAATATGGTGACATTCTGAGGTCCTGGGCGTTAGGGCTTTAACATAGGGATTTGGGAGAAGGAATCAGCCCATCACAGCTGTGCATTCTAAGACTCCAGTGACTTTGTGCTGACAATGGCTTTTCCTTGGGTAGCTCTAACCAGATGGTCTGGCTGGGTCTATCTTGAGTCTAGTGACTCCCACCACGAGGCCAACTGAGCAGGGTGGCCAGGAAAGCCTGTGGCCTTACAACAAGGTGATGCTCACCTGCAGCACACAGGCCATCACTGTAGCTCTGCTGGCTTTATTCTTGGGTTTATAGTGATGGCTTCTTTCTGCCTCTGCCTCCCTTGAGGCATCTCGTTTCTGTGGTTGGAGTACTGTGAGCCTAAGAGACAGAGAGCATGTCCACAGTCAGGCTTCCCTTACTTGCTTCAGTAGCATCTCATGAGTGTTTCCAATGCATTCAGGGAGACTCTTCTTCACTGAAGGAGTCAGATCCATTTTGCAGCTTTGCTGCTTGGAACCTTGATGGAATGGCTGAGTACATGGCCGCCAGCGTCACTCATGCACGAAAAGTGTTGTTGAAAGCTAATAGAAACTGAAATCTGGTCGGGCACGGTGGCTCACGCCTGTAATCCCAGCACCTTGGGAGGCTGAGGCGGGTGGATCACCTGAGGTCAGGAGTGCGAGACCAGCCTGGCCAACATGGCGAAACCCCATCTCTACTAAAAATACGAAAAATTAGCCGGGCATGGTGGCAGGCACCTGTCATCCCAGCTACTCAGGAGGCTGAGGCAGGAGAATCGCTTGAACCCTGGAGGTGGAGGTTTCAGTGAGCCGAGATTGCGCCATTATACTCCAGCTTGGGCAACAAGAGTGAAAATCTGCCTGGAAAGAAAAAAAAAAAAAAGAAAAACTGAAATAGAAGATTTCCCTTCCCCCAGTTCACTTTGACTGCGCTAAAGTAATTTCCTTTGAGGGCAGAGAGGACACGGATTGCTTTGGGCATACTTCAAAATGCTACTGTCTCCCTAGGAATATTGCAAAGTGGTTACTTTCCCCCAATAACACACAACTGGATATTTCTTTGATCTTCACCCTGGGAACCTGGTGGAGCTCCCGGAGGTAAAATTTGTGAAAGTACAAGGTCCCCTCTAAGATGGGCCCCCAGAAGTTTTTCTGTTGTTGTTGTTTTTTGAGACAGAGTCTCGCTCTGTCACTCAGGCTGGAGTGCAGTGGTGCGATCTGGGCTCACTACAACCTCCACCTCCCAGGGTCAAGCAATTCTCCTGCCTCAGCCTCCCGAGTAGCTGGGATTACAGGTGCCTGCCACCACGCCCGGCTAATTTTTGTATTTTTAGTAGAGACGGGGTTTCACTATGTTGGCCAGGCTGGTCTCGAACTCCTGACCTCAGGTGATCTGCCCGCCTTGGCCTCCCAAAGTGCTGGGATTACAGGTGCGAGCCACCATGCCTGGCCAGGAGTTTTTAACTTACTTAGGCTTGTCCACTGTCAGCCTGCAGCTGTTTAATAATTACCCTGCAAATGTGTCCATCAGGTGCTGGCTCCAGCAGGAACTCCTAGACAAGCACAATTCCACTTGCCACCTGTCTGTCCAGTCTTCAGGCAGCATTTCGTCTTGTGATCTCTATTTTCTGATGGATCGCAGAGTTGCTGATTTTCAGTATGTTCTGCTCTTTGCCTATTGTGAGGATAGGAATTAAAATGCGCAAGCTCTCTACATGTTAGTGAAGTGGCTACGTTGTCTGGGGTATATACCCTGGGGTTCGTCATTGGGCATCAGGAAAATTTAGGACAAAGACACACACGAGGAGTTTAGGAGTGGAAGTTTAATCAGGAGAAGAGAAAGAGAAATGGTTTTCTCTATAGAGAAAGGGGTCTCCGAGCGGAAAGGACCAGCTGGCACCAAATGTGATGGATTTTATAGTCCAGTTTGAGGAGGCGGTGTCTCATTTACATAGAGCTCAGAGATTGGTTCCATCAAGCATGGCATTTACATAGCCCACAGGAAAGGCTGGTTGCCCACCCTAATCGTTTATGCAAATGGGCTTTGTAGTTGGTCGGGGCTCTCCGAGAGATTGGTTCCATCAAGCATGACATTTACATAGCCCACAGGAAAGGCTGGTTGCCCACCCTAATCGGTTATGCAAATGGGCTTTGTAGTTGGTCGGGGCTCTCGGTCCTGTTTTTCTTACTTTACATGTGGCTGACAAAGAGGAGGGAAGATGGAGCCACTGTCTTGAACGTGTCTAGTCTCTAGTTCCTGCTGGGAAGATGGAGCCGCCGTTTTGAATGTGTCTAGTCCCTAGTTCCTGCCGGGAAGATGGAACCGCCATCTTGAACGTGTCTAGTCCCTAGTTCCTGCCGGGAAGATGGAGCCGCCATCTTGAACGTGTCTAGTCCCTAGTTCCTGCCCGGAAGATGGAGCCGCCATCTTGAACGTGTCTAGTCGTTAGTTCCTCCCGGGAAGATGGAGCCGCCATCTTGAACGTGTCTAGTCCCTAGGTCCTCCCGACATTCACCCGTACAAGCTCCCAGCTGGCTTGTGTATGTCTGCAGCTCGACTTGACAGGCTGTTCATTGTTAGAAAATGACTTGGGGCTGCTTTTCGTTAAAGAGAAAAGCTGCCGGGCGCAGTGGCTCACACCTGTCATCCCAGCACTTTTGGAGGCTGAGGCGGGTGGATCATTAGGTCAGGGGTTCGAGACGAGCCTGACCAGTGAAACCGCGTCTCTACTAAAAAAAAAAAAAACAAAACAAAAATTAGCCGGGCTTGGTGGTGCGTACCTATAATGCCAGCTACTTAGGAGGCTGAGGCAGGCGAATTGCTTGAACCCGGGAGGCGGAGGTTGCAATGAGCGAACATCACGCCACTACACTCCAGCCTGGGCGACAGAGCGGGACTCCATCTCAAAAAAAAAAAAAAAAAGAAAAGAAAAAAGCCTTGCCGAGGACTCCCATACCCTTACTGTCTGCCTAAGTGATTTCTTCTTAACTCCTGTATCACTGGCAGACTCTGAGTTGCCTGTTGGGTGGAGTACTATATTGCCGAGTATCATGACTGTATTAGATGTGAGGGAGACAGTGTGAATAGGACATGGTCCCTGAAGAGCACAGAGCTTTCACCTGGGGCTGGGCGGAGCTTCTGTCCTATCCAGTGTTATGGAACCCTTGCAAGCACAGGTCAAGCAGCTCAAGGGCTGGAAGACGTGCACACAAAATCCAAGGGCAACGTTGGAAAGAGGTTTAGTGTTTCTTAGAAAAATGCCAGAAGGCTGAAGAAGTGGGGGCCCCGAGCAGCTCTGAAGGGTGTGTATGCAATTAAACTGAAGCCAAAGGCTGAGAGAGAGGAGTGAGAGCCGCCTACGGAGCTCTGTGCAGCTTCATCATAAACTCACAGACAGGCTTCATGCAGCGCCGTCTCAGTGCATTCAATGTTTGGATTCCACATGCATGCGTCCTCAACCCCCTTGCAATGCTGTTCTCCTTGGAGGGAAATGGGTCCTTCTTACCCTATCACATGCAGGTATCTGGTCTACCAGATAAATGTGTGAGAAATCACCAACAAAGCAGAAATTACTTTTAATTACAAAGCAGAGTCATCGTAAAACTTTGTGCAAAATCTTTTTTTTTTTTTTTTTCCAGACAGGGTCTCCATCTGTTACCCAGGCTGGAGTGCAGTGGTGTGATCATGGCTCACTGCAACTTCAACTTCCGAGGCTCAGGTGATCCTCACATCTCAGCCTCCCAAGTAGCTGGGATGACAGGTGTGCACCACCACACCCAGCTAATTTTTACTATCTGCTTAAGTCATTTCTTCTTAACCCCTGTATCATTAGAGGAGAAACCGGAAGCCCCTATTTTTGAAATTAGTAACCACCTATCACCTAAAATTCCTCTCATTACTGTGACGATAATGATGATTTTTTCGAGACCGGATCTCACTCTGTCACCCAGGCTGGAGTGCAGTGGTGTGACTGTGGCTCACGACAGCTTCAGCCTCCCGGGCTCGAGTGATCTTCCCACCACAGTGTCTAAAGTAGCTGGGGCTGTAGGTACGCATCATCATTCCCAGCTATGTATATATTTTAAATATTTTGTAGAGATGGGATCTTCCTCTGTTGCTCAGGCTGGTCTTAAACTCCTGGCCTCCAGCAGTCTTCTCACCTGGGCCTCTTAAAGTGCTGGGATTACAGGCGTGTACCACCGTGTCTGGCCAAAAAACATATCTATTCTGGGGTTCATAGTGATGCTTGTTTCTGCCTTGGCCTGTCTTGAGGCATCTCACTCCTGTAGTTGGAGTACTCTGAGTGTAACAGATGGAGAGTATGTCCACACCCACTCTTCCCTCACGTGTTTCTGTAGCATCCCGTAGGAGTTTTCAAATGCATTTGGAGATGTATTCACCCTGTGACAGATTCAATGCATCTCTACAAGGCAGAATAGCTCTACCATGGTGTGGCTATGGCGCTTGGCTACCTGAGTCTTTATTCTGCCTTCCAGGTGCTTGTTGGTTGGATAACTTTGGGTAGGTTCTTGTACCTCTTTGAGCTTCAAGACTGTCTTAGTCAGCTCTGGCTGTTGCAAGAAAATACAGTTGACCTTGATACAAAAATTAGCTGGGTGTGGCGCCTGTAATCCCAGATACTCAGGAGGCTGAGGCAGGAGAATCGCTTGAACCTGGGAGGCGGAGATTGCAGGGAGCCAAGATCACACCATTGCACTCCAGCCTGGGCGACAGAGCAAGATTCCATCTCAAAAACAACAACAACAACAACAAAAAACTAGAGTTGACCCTTGAACAATGTGGGAGTTAGGGGCGTCACACACGTCCCTGGCACAGTTGAAAATCCAAAGATAACTTTTGACTCACCCAAAACTTATGAATATCCTATTGTTGAGCAGAAGCCTTATCAATACCATAAAGTCGATTAACATATATTTTGTATGTTTTATGTATTGTATACTGTATTATTAAAGTATGCTAGAGAAAAGAAAATGCTGTTTGTTTTTTTTTAGCCGGGCGTGGTGGCGCACGCCTGTAATCCCAGCTACTCAGGAGGCTGAGGCAGGAGAATCGCCTTATAAGGAACTTTGAGAATCAAAAATCATAAGGAACTTTCATTCTTTTTTTTTTTTTTTTGAGATGGAGTTTCACTCTGTTGCCCTGGAGTCAGGCTGGAGTTCAGTGGTGTGATCTCTGCTCAGTACAGCCTACGCCTCCCACGTTCAAGTGATTCTCCTGCCTCAGCCTCCCGAGTAGCTGGCACTAAAGGTGCACGCCACCACGCCCAGCTAATTTTTGTATTTTTAGTAGAGACAGGGTTTCACCACGTTGGTCAGGCTGGTCTTGAACTCCTGACCTTAGGTGACCTACCCGCCTTGGCGTCCCAAAGTGTGGAGATTACAGGCTTGAGCCACCACGCCTGATAAGGAACTTTTATTCTAAGTGAAGTAACTCAGGGATGAAAAACCAACATCGTATGTTCTCAGTGTTACGTGGGAGCTAAGCTATGAGGACACAAAGGCATAAGAATGATAAAATGGAATTTGGGGTCTTGGGGGGGAAGAGTGGGAGGGGGGTGAGGGATAAACACTACAAATAGGGTGCAGTATATACTGTTCGGGTGATGGGTGTACCAAAATCTCACAGATCACCACTAAAGAACTTAGGTAACCAAATACCACCAGTACCCCAATCACTTATGGAAAGATAATTAAAAACAAAAAAGGACACCAAACTAAATTTTTAAAAATCATAGAGAAGAGAAAATATATTTACTATTTCTGAAGTGGGAGTGGATCGTCATGAAGGTCTTCATCCTTATCGTCTTCACCTTGAGTAGCCTAAGATGAGAGCGGACAGGAGGGATTGGTCTTGCTGGCTCCGGGGTGGCAGAGGTAGAAGAAAATGCCCGTAGAAGTGGACCCGTGCAATTCAAACCTGTGTTGTTTAAGGGTTAACTGGACCATAGATGGGGTGGCATAAATAACAGAAATTTATTTCTCTATAGTACTGGAGGCAGAAATGTTTACATCCAGGTGGCACCATGGTTGGGTACTTGAGAGGTTCCTCTTCTTGGTTTACAGATGGTCTCGCAGGGCAGAGAGAGAGGGGGGTGGAGCACGAGGGAGCATGTGTGCCCTGGTGTCTCTTCTTACAAGGGCACGAATCCCAACATAAGGATCCCACCTTCACGACCTGATGTAAACATCATCATCTCCCAAAGGCTCCGTCTCCAAATACCATCCCCTTTGGCATTAGGGTTTCCACACATGAGATTCGGGGTGACACCATTCATTCCATAGCAGGAGCCCTCCTTGGCAGACTGGGACACCAACGCCTCTTCCCTCTTGGGCTGACACGAGCTGTAAATGTCAGTGGACATTTAAATACTGCGTTACACATTCGATGTCCTGTCTGCAATGGAGCCGGGTTCTGTAAACATAAGCTGCCATGGCGAAATCGGATCATCATCGCCCATCAAGCTCTTTGGCAGCAGTGCTGTAATCAGTGCAAACATTTATTTATATAAATGCTCCCATCCCCTCGGCATGAAGATATACTTAGGCTCTCTCAATGGACAGCCACGCCACAAGCCCAGGAATGAGAGCTTGTCAGATACTGAGGCTGTTTTCAGAGCCAGTGTTCGGCTGAAGTGGCACAGAAGCTATCATTGTTTGCAAATCTCTGCTGCTTGTCAAGCCACAGGGTTAAGTAACCCCGGATGTTGCGAACACTCTGAAGTGCTGACCTGCAGTGTCTTTTTGGATCACTGAGCCCTCAGGCAGACAGGCTGTACGTGGACCGACACGTCATGGCTGCTGTCTTGCACTTAACCCTCTTTATCTTTAGACCTTGATTGTGCACCTGTTTCTCATTGGAAGCTAATGACAATCCACGAAGCGGCTTGGCAGTGACTGTCTCTGATTGTGTAAGGAGGGGTTGCCACATTCACCCATGTTGTTGACTTTCAACTGTACACTTGAAAACGTCAAAAGTCAGAGTAAGCATTGCCTCATGTCTCCGAGTGTAGCAATTCTAGGAAAACTCTTCCGAATGGGTTTAAAGTCAAACAAATCCAATCAAAACAGACTTGCAGGGCCAGGCACGGTGGCTCATGCCTGCAATCCCAGCACTTTGGGAAGCCAAGGTGGGCAGATCACTTGAGGTCAGGAGTTGGAGACCAACCTGGCCAACATGGCGAAACCCCGCCTCCACTAAAAATACAAAAAGTTAGCCAGGTGTAGTGGTGCGTGTCTGTAATCCCAGCTACTCAGGAGGATTAGGGAGGAGAATCTCTTGAACCTGGGAGGTGGAGGTTGCAGTGAGCTGAGATCACCCCACTGCAGTCCAGCCTGGGTGACAGAGCAAGATCCCATCTCAAAAAAAAAAAAAAGAAAAGAAAAGTCCACATAGGGAAATATGTGAAGCTCTTTGGGTCATATGATCGCTACCACAACAGCGCAATATGTAAATGAATGGGCAAGTTCTGTGTTCTAAGAATCTTGAGGGACACTGAGATGTAAATGTATATATTTATCACGTGGCACAAAATACAGTTGACCCGGCCGGGCACAGTGGCTCACAACTGTCATCCCAGCACTTTGGGAGGCCGAGGCGGGTGGATCACCTGAGGTCGGGAGTTCAAGACCAGCCTGACCAACATGGTGAAACCCGTCTCTACTAAAAATACAAAAAATTAGCTGGGAATGGTGGTGCGTGCCTGTAATCCCAGCTACTCATGACGCTGAGGCAGGAGAATCGCTTGAATTCGGGAGGTGGAGATTGCAGTGAGCTGAGATCACGCCATCGCACTCCAGCCTGGGCAACAAGAGGGAAACTCCACCTCGAAAAAATATGTATATACAGCTGACCCTTGAACAACACGGGGGTTAGGGGTACTGACCTCTATGCAGTTGAAAATCTATGTATAGGTTCTGACTCCCCCAAAAGTTAAATACTGGTAGTGTACTCTTGACCGGAAGCTTTATTCATAACATAGAGTCGATTAGTACATAGTTTGTATGTTATGTATATTATAAAGTCAGCTAGAAAAAAAATGCTAAGGAAGAGAAGAGAAAATATTTTACTACTTACTAAATGGAAGTAGATCATCATAAAGGTCTTCGTTCTCTTTTTTTTTTTTTTTTTTGAGATGGAGTCTCACTCTGTCACCGAGGCTGGAGTGCAGTGGCACGATCTCGGCTCACTGCAACCTCCGTCTCCTGGGTTCAAGCACTTCTTCTGCCTCAGCCTCCCAAGTAACTGGGATTACAGGCACACGCCACCACACCTGGCTAATTTTTGTATTTTTAGTAGAGACGGGGTTTCACCATATTGGCCAGGCTGGTCTTCAACTCCTGACCTCGTGATCTACCCGCCTCGGCCTCCCAAACTGCTGGGATTATAGGCGTGAGTCACTGCACTCTGCAGGAGTAGGGAGAGGAGGGGGAGGGGAGGAGGAGAAGGGAGGGGGGGAGGAGGGGGGACGAAGAGGGAGGAGGAGTCATCTCGGGTGAAAGTCCAAATGGGTGAATCTGCTCAGTTCAGATGTATGTTGTCCAACAGTCAACTGTGTTATCCTTCTTTTGATTTTTTTTAACCCACTGTTTAAAAGATGTGGAAATAGTTTTTTGGTTTACAAGGTGCACAAAAATAGGCAAGGGGCTGGATTTTGCTAGAGGGCTGCAGTTGACCAACCCCGGGTTAGACCATTACCATTGTCAGTGGGCACACAAAGTAATGAAATTATTATAGAAAACATGAGGCGTTGTTTACTGGAAAGGGGTCTTGATCCTGACCCCAAGAGAGGGTTCTTGGATCTTGTGCAAGAAAGAATTTGGGGTGAGTCCATAGAGTAAAGTGAAAGCAAGTTGATTAAGAAAGTAAAGGAATAAAGAGTGGCCACTCCATTGGCAGAGCAGCACCGAGGGCTGCCAGTTGGTGATTTTTATGGTTATTTCTTGATTCTGTGCGAAACAAGGGAAAGATTATTCGTGAGTTTTCTGGGAAGCCGGTGGGCGGTTCTGGGAACTGAGGGTTCCTCCCCTTTTTAGACCCTATAGGGTAACTTCCTGACATTGCCATGACATCTGTAAACTGCCATGAGGCTGATGGAAGTGTCTTTTAGCAGCGAATGCATTAGAGTTAGCGTATAATGAACAGTGAGGAAGACCAGAGGTCAGTCTCGTCGCCATCTTGGTTTGCATGGGGTTTGGCCAGCTTCTTTACCACAACCTGTTTTATCAACAAGGTCCTTAGGACCTGTATCTTAATGCCGACCTCCTCTCATGCCAGTGGTCATGTGCATTCATCTGGCTGGAAGGGTATCTTTTTTTTTTTTTGAGATTGGGTTGTCACTGTGTTGCCCAGGCTGGAGTGCAGTGGCACAGCCTTGACCTTCTCAGCTCAAGTGATCCTCCCACCTCAGCCTCCCAAGTAGCTGGGACTACAGGCATGCACCACCATCACCACACCCAGCTGCTTTTTTTTTTTTTTTTTTCTGTATTTTTGGTAGACACGAGGTTTCACCATGTTGCCCAGGCTGGTCTCGAACTGCTAGGCTCAAGCAATCCTCCTGCCTCAGCCTCCCAAAGCTCTGGTATTACAGGCATGAGCCACTGCACCTGGCCTTCAGGACTATCTTCAGACACTTGTTGTAGCCTCTTCATTTCTGCACATCCCTCCCCAGCGGAGATGCTCTCACAAATTGCTCATAAGGAAATTTCTTGTGGGCTCCAAAATCTTTCCCCTAAAACAGAGTTCTGTTGAATTTCTCCCTGACAATGTAAATTAACAACTTGTCTTCACAAGTGTGGGACAAAGATAAGACTAGAAATGATCTCTCCGCCCACCCTGAGACAAATGCATGTTTGACATCTTCCTCTTCTGTATGTTGACTTTGTCTTATGCAAAAGTGGATTTACTGTGCATGAAATGAACGCGTGATTGACTGTTCCTCTACCCGCACTTTGCCATGTAAAATGTGTATTCAGAGAGTGCCAATCAAAGACTCACAAGAATGTAATCATTTGCCTCTTTTATCTACTCTCCTTCTTTTTTTTTTCTTTCCTCTTTCCCTCCTGCCTGCTTTTTTCCCTTTCTATACCAAAGCCCTCAAAACCATCCTTGGAAAAAGCACAGGGCCGCACGCAGTGGCTCACGCCTGTAATCCCAGCACTTTGGGAGGCCGAGGCAGGTGGATCACCTGAGGTCAGGAGTTCAAGACCAGCCTGCCAACATGGCAAAACCCCGTCTGTACTGAAAAATAAAAAAAATAGCAGGGCGTGGCGTTGCATGCCTGTAATCCCAGCTACTTGGGACAGTGAGGCAGAAGAATCATCTGAGCCCGGGAGGTGGAGGCTGCAGTGAGCTGAGACTGCGCCACTGCACTCTAGCCTGGGCCACACAGCAAGACTCTGTCTCAAAAAAAAAAAAAGCCAGGCGCGGTGGCTCACGCCTGTAATCCCAGCACTTTGGGAAGCCGAGGCGGGTGGATCACCTGAGGTCAGGAGTTTGAGACCAGCCTGACAAACGTGGTGAAAGCCCATCTCTAGTAAAAATACAAAAATTAGCCGGGCGTGGTGACGTGCACTTGTAATCCCAGCTACTCAGGAAGCTGAGGCAGGAGAATCACTTGAACCCGGGAGGCGAAGGGTGCAGTGAGCCGAGATGGCGCCATTGCACTCCAGCCTGGGCGACAGAGGGAGACTCCGTCTCAAAAAGAAAAGAAAAAGCACGGAGCACAGGTCCTATGGTGACTGGCGTCTGTTTTTCCTGGACTGGGGCACATTCTCAACCGTGGCAAAATTAACCTCTAAACTAATGGAGGCTTGCCTCACTCATCTTCTTTGATTCAAAACTTTGAGTTAATCCATTTATGCCTGAAGTTGCAAGTTTTTGAATTTTTGCCATCAGATCTTGGCGATGACCTTGAGCAGTAGGATATAAATAACTCCACATGCTTAGCATTCCAATAATGGAACACTAGGCATACGTGGGTTTAATCAAAGGAGAGATCATCTGTGCTGGACCTGCCTCAAAGAGGGTGAGATGAATGAGTAATTCTTCTTCTTCAAATAAACTTGAGATGGTCTCAGAGATCCTTTTCCTGGTTTTTGTTGTTATTATTGTTGTTGTTTTTGAGGCAGAGTCTTGCTCTATCACCCAGGCTGGAGTGCAGTGGTGCAATCTCGGCTCACTGCAACCTCCACCTCCCAGGTTCAAGCGATTCTCCTGCCCCAGCCTCCCAAGTAGCTGGGATTACAGGCGCCCACTACCATGCCTGGCTAATTTTTGTATTTTTCGTAGAGACAGGGTTTCACCCTTTTGGCCAGGCTGGTCTCGAACTCCTGAGCTCAGGTGATCTTCCCCACCTCAGCCTATCACAGTGCTGGAATTACAGGCGTGAGCCACCGCAGCCGGCCCTTTTTGCTGGTTTTGAAGAAGCAGACTCCCATATGACAAGTTGCTGAGGGTGTCACAGCAAGCAGAGAGCCACCATTGTCTGACAGCCAAAATGAAAATGAGACTTGGCCGGGCGCGGTGGCTCACGCCTGTTATCCCAGCACTTTTGGAGGCCAAGGCCGGTGGATCACCTGAGATCAGGAGTTTGAGACCACTCTTTCCAACAAGGAGAAAACCCGTCTCTACTAAAAAGACAAAAATTAGCTGGGTGTGGTGGCAGGCACCTGTAATCCCAGCTACTGGGGAGGCTGAGGCAAGAGAATCACTTGATCTTGGGAGGCGGAGGTTGCAGTGAGCTGAGATCGCGAAACTGCACTCCAGCCTAGGCAACAGAGTGAGACTCTGTCTCAAAGAAAAGAGAGAAAATGTGACTCAATCTCACAACCACAAGAAGCTGAATTTTGCCTCCCAATTCAGCATGCCTGGAAGAGCATCCTAAGCTACAGATGTCATCTCAGCTTTGTCTGACACCTTAATTCCAGCCTTGTGAGACTCTAAATGGAGACATCCTGTTAATCTAAACCCAATCTTCTGACTTACAGAACTGTGAGATCATAAAGGGGTGTTGTTTTTTAAACTACTACGTTTGGGGCGTTTTGTTACGCAGCAGAGCTAGCTAAGATGGATGGCTCCTTAAGCAGCTCATTTGAGGGCAGAGGGAGGCAACTTCTGCAGACAGATGGGCATCTATATTCGCTAGGTTCAAGCTGTTAATGCTGCTATGTATACCCAAATGACCTCACTACCTTCTCACCAGGCAGCAAGAAACAGGATCCTCAGACGAACAGAAGTCCAACACCTTAGTCTAAGTCTGTTTATGTTCTCCTGATAGGAAATCTTTTCATCTCATAAAAAGCTGCTGATGTAGGCCTTTCTCACCCTGTACCCCACGTTACTGATGCCTGTTTTGTTGCCAAACTGGACTGGTGTCCACTTGCCTGGTGCACTTAGGTCAAACCTCCACAATGAGGCTTTGCAGCAAGAGAAAGGATAGTGTTTATTTGGACAGCACCAAGCCAGGAGACTCAGGCAGCTCACGCTTAAGACCTAACGTTTTTTTTTTTTTTATTGAAACGGAGTTTCACTCTTGCTGCCCAGGCTGGAGTGCTATGGCGTGATCTCAGCTCACCGCAACCTCCACCTCCCGGGTTCAGGCAATTCTCCTGCCTCAGCCTGCTGAGTGGCTGGGATTACAGGCATGCGCCACCACGCCTGGCTAGTTTTGTACTTTTAGTAGAGACAGCATTTCTCCATGTTGGTCAGGCTGGTCTCTTAACTCCCGACCTCAGGTGATTCCCTCGCTTTGGCATCCCAAGGTGCTGAGATTGCAGGCGTGAGCCACCGCACCTGGCCTAAGACCCAATCTTTTCAATGACTTCCGAGCCATAGTGTTTCAAGTCGGGTAAATTTCAGGACAGAAGCTGCTCCAGGCAAAATCATGAGGACGAAGTTCTGATTTTTTTATCTTGCCCAAATTCCTATCTAAAGGGTCTAGGGAGTCATTCTTTACAAACCATGAGTTCTCATTAGATGGGTTTTATTTAACCCTATATATCGTAACTTACTTTCCAATGTGACTCTGGCATAACATAATGAGACAAGGAAAAACAATGTATTTAACCCCAAAATATATTTCCTTGCCATACCTTGAAATTGCCCTGAGAAGTCTCTTGTGGGAAAAATCCACATTCTATAGAGAATAGCCTTTCCTCCCTCCCTCCCTTACCTCCTTTACCTCCCTTCCTTCCTTCCTTCCTTCTCCCCTTCCTTCCTCCCTTCTCCCCTTCCTTCCTCCCTTCTCCCCTTCCTTCCTTCCCTCCCTTCTTTCCCTTCCTTCCTTCCCTCCATTCCTTTCCCTCTCTCCCTTCTTTCCCTCCCTCCCTCCTTTCCCTCCCTCCCTCCTTCCCTCCCTGCCTCCCTCCTTCCCTCCCTCATTCCCTCCTTCCCTCCCTCATTCCCTCCTTCATTCCCTCCTTCCCTCCCTTCCTTCCCTCCCTCCCTTCCTTCCCTCCTTCCCTCCCTCTCTTCCTTCCCTCCTTCCCTCCTTCCTTCCGTCCCTCCCTTTGTTCCTTTGTTCCTTCCCAGATCTGGGACATAATCAACTGAGAGCCAGGCCCCCTTTTAGGTCTGATAAGAAACATTTTACAACCTGTTCTCTCTGAAGTCTGCTATCTGAGAGCTTCCTGTGCAAAATAAAACTTGGTTCCCACAATCCTTTATCTCCACCTGGACATTTCCTTTCTGTTGATTCCAGGTCTTCAGATAAACTCAACCAGTTGTCAACCAGAAAATATTTAAACTTACCTATAGCCTGGCAGCCCCCAGGTTGAGTTGTCCCACCTTTCTGAACCAAACCAATGTATTTCTGAAATGTATTTGATTGATGTCTCATGCCTTCCTAAAATATATAAAATCAAGCTGCACCCCGACCACCTGGGGTACATGTTCTCGGGATCTCCTGAGGGCTGTGTCACGGGCCGTGGTCACTCATATTTCGCTCAGAATAAATCTCTTCAAATATTTTACAGAGTTTGACTCTTTTCATCAACAATTATAAATCACGGCTGGGCGTCGTGGCTCATGCCTGTAATTCTAGCACTTTGGGAGGCCGAGGTGGGCAGATCACGAGGTCATGAGATCGAGACCATCCTGGCCAACATGGTGAAACCCTGTCTCTACTAAAAATACAAAAATTAGCTGGGCATGGTGGCGCTTGCCTGTAGTCCCAGCTATTTGGGAGGCTGAGGCAGGAGAATCGCTTGAACCTGGGAGGCGGAGGTTGCAGTGAGCCGAGATGGCACCACTGCACTCCAGCCTGGGCGACAGAGCGAGACTACATCTCAAAAATAATAAGTAAAAAAAAAATCATAAATCAATACATGGAAGCTATACGTTGGTTTGGCCTAAAAAGGGATATCTTGGGCCAGGTACGGTGGCTCATGCCTGTAATCCCAGCACATTTGTAGGCTGAGGCAGGCAGATCACCTGAGGTCTACTAGTAGTTCAAGACCAGCCTGGCCAACATGGTGAAACCCCGTCTTGACTAAAAATACAAAAAATTACCCAGGTGTGGTGGCAAGTGCCTGTAATTCCAGCTACTTGGGAGGCTGAGGCAAGAGAATCGCTTGAACCTGGGAGGCAGAGGTTGCAGCGAGCCAAGATCATGCCACTGCACTCCAGCCTGGGCAACAAGAGCGAAACTCCATCTCAAAAAAAAAAAAATATATATCTTGAAGCTGGGCCCGAGGGTGGGGTTGCTTACAGGAACAAGGTGGATTCAAAGACTTTTGGACTTGCAATTGGTTAAGGAAGTGGAGCTTTGTCTAAGACTTGCGGTCAGCAGTAAAAGCACATTGGATCTGGCCCATGGGCAGGACCTCCTCCAGGACCCTCAGGAAGAAATTTAAAACAAGGAACAGGGATCAGAGTTCAGTCCCTAGCTCTCCCACGTCTGAGGTCTTCATGCCAGAGGATTCCATAGGGTAGAGGTGTGAGTTTCTTTTATTTTTTTTAATTATACTTTAACTTCTGGGGTACATGTGCAGAATATGCAGGTTTGTTACTAGGTATACACGTGCCATGGTAGTTTGCTGCCATCCATCATCTACATTAGGTATTTGTCCTAATGCTCTCCCTCCCCTAGTCCCCCAGTCCCCGAAAGACCCCTGTGTGTGATGTTCCCCTCCCTGTGTCCATGTGTTCTCATTGTTCAACTCCCCCTTATGAGTGAAAACATGCAGTGTTTGGTTTTCTGTTCCTGTGATAGTTTCCTGAGAATGATGGTTTCCAGCTTCATCCATGTCCCTGCAAAGGACATGAACTCATCCTTTTTTATGGCTGCATAGTATTCCATGGTGTCTACGTGCCACATTTTCTTTATTAGTTGCTCTAGGGAAGCGAACATCCCTGACTCTAATTTCCTTGGTTGTTATTTTAAGCTACTGTGACTTTCTTCTTCATCAAGTTGCTCATTAACTTCTCCCAGCCAGCGAAGTGCCTGGAGTTTCCTTCCTGGAAGGAACTCAAGATTTCTCTTGATTTCCATGCTTGGTCGGGGGTGGAGAGAGTTTCCTGGTTTGCCCCTAAGAGGGGTCCCTGCCAGGTCTCAGTTCCTCAAGCTTTCTCTTTAGCACCTTTAGCAGACAGATACTATCACAGCTTACAGTGCTTGCAGCATGGGTGGTGGCGTGGGGATTTTGATGCCGTTGGATTTTCCCCACTTTTTCCATTTTGTGCCCAGAAGCATTACTCTTGAAGCATTTAAATTTGAACACAGTGGGAAACAGCTTCTTAGGAATTAAGTTTTAACTGGTTTCCAGTGTATCTAAACAGCAGACAGGTAGACCCTTGGTAACTTCTTTTTGATGTATAAACAACTCAGACCATTAAATCGACGCTCATTAGCAACCTATGCTGCTCATCCAAGCTACCCTGAAGTTTACTTTTAGCCCAGTCCTGTGGGTGGATAATGGTTTCAACGCATTCCCAGGAGGACGATTTACCTCCTTGGAGACAGAATTGTTCTTGAAAGCTCTTCACAAGTCCGCGTTTCCACGGCAACATCAAGATTGACTTCTCGCCCTTGGGTAGTGCCTTGTCTTCGAAAGCCTTTCTTTCCTCTTTACTTACACAAGCTCTTTGGGGCATCTGCTCTTTGCCTCGCGGGTGGGTCAATGGTGCTTTCATTTTAATCTTCTTTTCTAGACTAGACCTGGGAGTCAGAGGACAACTTTAATTATCTGAACACTTTACCATTCTGACAACAATATTTACAGAGTTTATCCTGAAGGTGGTTTCTGAGGACAGCTGTGTATCCGAGGAGCATTGTTTTAACTTGAGTTCTCTCGTAGTGATGTATCTCAAGTGCTCAAGAGGGAGAGGAGGGCCATCGTAGTAAACACAATGAAAACAAAGGCGTCACCCACTTATTTATCCCACCATGCCAGGCAGCTCTCTCCCCATCTCTCTCTTTCTCTCTCTGTATGTCTCTCTCTCTTTCTCTCCCTCTCTGTGTCACAACCTCTGTCTCTCTCATTCTATTCCTCTCTGTCCCTCTCTGTCACTTTCTCTGTGTCTCTCCTCTTTCTCTCTCTCTGTCTCTCGCTTATTCTCTCTGTCTCTCAGTTTCTGTGTCTCTCTCCTTCTGTCTCTCTTTTTTTTTTTTTTTGACACAGAGTGTTGTTCTTCTCATTCAGTCTGGGGTGCAATGGAGTGATCTCGGCTCACTACAACCTCCGCCTCCCGGATTCAAGCGATTCTCCTGCCTCAGCCTCCCGAGTAGCTGGGATTACAGGTGCCCGCCACCACGCTCAGCTAGTTTTTATATTTTTAGTAGAGACGGGGTTTCACCATGTTGGCCAGGCTGGTCTCGAACTCCTGACATCAGGCGATCCACCCGCCTCGGCCTCCCAAACTATTGGGATTACAGGTGTGAGCCTGTATCTGTCTCTCTGTGTCTCTCTGGCACACTCTCTGTCTCTTTCAAGCTCTCTTTCTGTGCTTCTATTTCTGTGTCACAATCTTTCTCTCTGTCTCTTTCCTCCCTCTGTCTCTCTCTTTCTCTCCCATTCTCACCCTCTCTTTCTCCATAACTTTCTCTGTGTTTTGTTCTTTTTTCTTCCTCTCTCTTGCTTATTTTCTCTCTCTCTCCCTCTCTCTCTCTCTCTCACACACACACACACACATATACACACACACACAGAATAATCTCGCTGCAGCGTCTTTCACAGTAGGTCTTAGGGGCAGATGGATAGCTGCCTCATACAAAGAAAATAGGATTTCAGGTCTCCAGAGAGGCGCTCCATACCTGCATAACGACTAAGAGATACTGGTATTTCACCTTTATTTTTAAATTGATAAATATATAGAAATGAGAGACGCAGGGGGTGACAACCAATCTGCCCTCCTTCTTGGCAAATTCCGGCAGTTCGGGCACCTGGGTTCCTTCCCTCCTGAATGAAGAGAGGCCAGAAGCCATCATGAGCTTCGTCCCTGCTCAAGACTTTGCAGGCTGTGGTCGCATCAGCTCTTGGCTCCAAGAACTGGGCTTTTTGGGTAGCAGGACGGCTGTTGCTACCCACAAGTGCGGGAAGAACTGTCCTCTGGCTGCCTGGATCCCGGAGGTTCTGGCTTACCAAGACACTCGTGAATTTATTAGGATGCGTAGGGACGGGGCAGGTGCAGACGGATTCAGGGGCTGTGTTGGCTGTTGGTAGATGCTTGAAAGCTGTTGCTGCTCTGAGCTGAACGCCTTCTCCACAAGCGCTGCCTCCTGGTCTAAATGATGGGTTTTTATTTTATATTATTTTGAGACAGGGTCTTGCTCTGTTTTCTAAGCTGGAGTGCAGAGGTGCAGAGGCATAATCATAGCTCACTGCAGCCTCAACCTCCTATGCTCAAGCAGTCCTGCCACCTCAGCCTCCCACGTAGCTGGGATTGCAGACATGCACCACCACACTCAGATAATTTTTTATGACTTCCTTTTGTAGAGGTAGGGTCTTGCTATGTTGCCCAGGCTGCTCTTGAACTGGCCTCAAGCAATCCTCCCACCTCGGCCTCTCAAAATGCTACAGTGACAGGGTGAGCCACCACACCTGGCCATGATGATTTTCAAATTAGCCCAGTTGGGTTACAAGGTTGACTAAGATCTGATTTTCAGGTAGTGGTTATGGACACACTTATCACATTTATTCTAGGAGCTCTTTAATAATATTTCAGAATGGACAGCATTTCTGGAAATTTTTTTCTTAGTATTAAATACATTTGCTTTTGTATGTCTCAGTGGAAGACTTCTTTAAGTTTACATTTTTATGATTTTTTTCTTCTGTATATATAAATGTTACTCATCAAGCAATTCCTGCCCTCCTAGCAAATTTCTTCTGCTATGCTTTTTTCAGAATTTCTATCAGAACAGCATAAATTTCACAAAACAAACCACCTCAGACTCTTTTTGTCCAACCAGTCAGTATCAGGGCACTTATCTGTTCTTTGAAAGTCTAGAAGAATTTTCTAAAATACCCTCTGCACTCATCTACCCTTTCTTCATGCCATTCTTTCATTATTCTTCTCTATTTTTCTTATAGCTATTGGTCTGATTAGACCTAATTTCCTTGATTGAATTGGGATAATTAGTATCTCTGAGAAAATTATTTCCTCGAGATTTTCACATTTTACTTACAAATGTAACATATTATCAGGATACTAAGAAACAGAAACCTATCATTTTAAAGCTTTTTTCATACAGTACAGTGTTTCCTATTTGTAAGTTTGCATTTCCTGCCTCATTAAATATATTATTGACAGTATTTTCTGGGACCTTGTTTCTCCTTCTTCCTTCCTTCCCCGTTTCCACCCATCCTTTCCTCCTTCCCTTTCTTCCCTCCTTTCTCCCTCCCTCCCTTTCTTTCTTCCCTCCTTCCATTCATTCTTGCTTCCCTCCCCTCCCCTCCCCTTCCCTCTTTCCACCCATCCTTTCCTCCTTCCCCCACAATGTTGATTTTGTTCATTTCTCCCTGCCTACCTAGGAATTCTTGAAAAATATACTTGGATATTGTGTTATTCTGAAGAAAATGCTGTGAAAATGGCACATTATAGCTTCATCTCAATTCAGCATTTGGTTTATGATTTTCAAGTTAGCCCTGTTGGGTTACAAGGTTGGTTACACAGATCCAAACCATGCCTTCATAGGCGATGATCCTCCTTGTTCCATTAACGTTTTAGACTTCAATCATTGCTGTCTTGTGTGACTAGGGCCATTTCTACTTGGTTTTTGCTTGTTTGGCTGATAAATGTGAACGTTTTAACAATTGTTGAACAATTGTTAAAACAATTGTCGAACAATTGTCGAACAGTTGTTTTAACAATTGTAATTCCTCCTTTTTAATACTCTGTATCTTTACCATCAAGATACAGACATCACCTTTTTCACAGGCTCTGAGTGTAGGAGGCCACCATTTTGGCTTTATATCATGACCAGTAACTGGGAGCGCCCTCGTTGGCTGAAGCTGTACTTCCTGCTTCTTTTCTGTTCTTGCCACATGGATAACTGGTATACTCCATCTTATTCCATGAGCTACGTGGCAGACACTCATTTTGTAGCTCCTAGGAGTGCGTTAAATACTCCCAAACACTCTAACTTTCATTTCTCTAAATTATCTAAATAGAATGAAGGTATCGTTGAAGGTACTCCAGGTGGAATGAAAAAACCTATCTCAAGTCTTCCGGAGATCCTCCTGTGTTCGGTTCCCTGGTCCCTCTCATGGTGCCCTGGGAAAGGGACGCAGCTCCTACATGGGTTAGGTTCCAGGTGAACGCAGCCACTGAGCTCCTAGCAAGTACGATTTCCTGTGTCCTATGCGCAGATCACCCTGGTGTCTTGGTCCAGTGGGCTTGAAGCCTCATACTCTTTTGTTTTTCCTTGTTTTTTATTTTATTTTTTTTATTTTTATTACTTTTTTTTTTTTTTGAGAGGGAGTCTTGCTCTGTCGCCCAGGCTGGAGTGCAGTGGCACAATCTCGGCTCACTGCAAGCTCCGCCTCCCAGGTTCATGCCATTCTCCTGCCTCAGCCTCCTGAGTAGCTGGGACTACAGGCGCCCGCCACCACGCCTGGCTAATTTTTTGTAGTTTTAGTAGAGACAGGGTTTCACCATGTTAGCCAGGATGGTCTCGATCTCCTGACCCCTCGTGATCCACCCGCCTCGGCCTCCCAAAGTGCTGGGATTACAGGCGTGAGCCACCCACCCCCCGGCCTTGTTTGTTTTCTTTTAAAAAAAATTTCATGAGGTACACGTGCAGCTTTGTTGTAAGATACATTGTGTAGTGCTGCGGTTCACGCTTCAGTTGAACCTGTCACTCAAACGGTGAACAAAATACCTCATAGGTAGAGTTTTAGCCTTTACACCCCTCTCCCTCCCCTGCTCTTGGAATGCGCAGGTGTGCCAGCTTCCCATTTTTATGCCTGATTATTCAATGTTTAGCTCCTATGTATAATTGAGAACAAGTGGTATTTAATTTTCCGTTTCTGTGTTAATTCACTTAGGATAATGGCCTCCAGCTGCATCTGTGTTGCTGCTAAAAACATGATTTCATTCTTTTTTATGGCTCTATACTATTCTACGGTATATATGCAGCAACTACATTTTCTTCATCCAACACATAATTGATGGACACCTGGGCTGATTCCCTCATGCCTCCCAAGATTGAATCAGGAAGAAATCAGATCCAGAACAGACTCATTTCATGACAAGTTATGAAATTGAATCAGTAATTTACAAAAACCTATCAATCAAAAAAAAAAAAAAAAGCCCCAAGACCAGACAAATTCACAGCTGAATTCGACCAGATGTACAAAGAAGAGCTGGTTCCAATCTGACTGAAACGATTCTAAAAAATTGAGGCGGAGGGATTCCTCCCTAACTTATTCTACAAAACCTGTATCATCTTGATACCAAAATCTGACAAGGACACGACAAAAATAGAAAACTACAGGCCAATATCCCAGATGAAGATAGACGCACAAATGCTCAACCACATACTAGCAAACAGAATCCAGCAGTGCGTCAAAAAGATGACTGATCATCGAAACCTTGTCTCTACTACAAATACAAAAATTAGCCAGGCGTGGTGGTGCGCGTCTGTAATCCCAGCTACTTGGGAGGCTGAATCGCTTGAACCTGGCGGGTGGAGGTTGCAGTGAGCCAAGATCGCACCACTGCGCTCCAGCCTGGGCAACAGAGCAAGACTCTGCCTCAAAAAAAAAAAAAAAAGATAATTGATCGCAATCTTAATTGTGGGCTTCATTCCTGCTCTGCTCTTTGTCCAAAGAGATTTTTCTGAATGTCAGGGGTGAAGTTCAAGTTCTAGCACCCAGTGAGCATTCTGCCTTCCCCTGCTGCAGGGCTTGATGTATCGGCTCATCTTCCCCTAGTGATGCCAGCCATACCCTGTTCCCCTTACCCTTCCTACCAGTGTTTCTCTTGGTGCGAGGTAGCTCCTGAATGGATGCAAAAAAAAAAAGATGCTGATTGCAAGAATGAGCAAAGCCCGTTGGTTGCCTGTATTACTCCGTTCTCACACTGCTCTGAAGAAATACCTGAGACTGGGTAATTTTTAAAAATTTTAAGTTCCGGGTACATATGCAGGATTGTACATAGATAAACATGTGCCGTGGTGGTTTGCTGCACCTATCAACCCATCACTTAAGTATTAAAGCCCAGCATGAGTTAGCTATTCTTTTTATTATTGTACTTTAAGTTCTGGGGTACATGTGCAGAACATGCAGGTTTGTTATATAGGTATAGACGTGCCATGGTGGTTTGCTGCACCCATCAACTCGTTATCTACATTAGGTATTTCTTTTAAAGCTATCTCTCCCCTTGCCCCCCACCCCCCAACAGGCCCCAGTGTGTGATGTTCCCCTCCCTGTGTCCCTGTGTTCTCATTGCTCAACTCCCACTTAAGAGTGAGAACATGTGGTGTTTAGTTTTCTGTTCTTGTGTTAGTTTGCTGAGAATGATGGTTTCCAGATTCATCCGTGTCCCTGCAAAGCACATGAACTCATCCTTTTTAATGTCTGCATAGTAGTCCATGGTGTCTATGTGCCACATTTTCTTTATTCAGTCTATCAATGACGGGCATTTGCGTTGGTTCCAAGTCTTTAATATTGTGAACAGTGCTGCAGTAAACACACATGTGCATGTGTCTTTATAGTAGGATGATTTATAATCCTTTGGGTATATACCCAGTCATGGGATTGCTGGGTCAAATGGTATTTCTGGTTCTAGATCCTTGAGGAATCGCCACAGTGTCTTCCACAATGGTTGAACTAACTTCCACTCTCACCAACAGTGTAAAAGCATTCCTGTTTCTCCACATCCTCTCCAGCATCTGTTGTTTCCTGATTTTTTAATGATCGCCCTTCTAACTGATGTGAGGTGGTATCTCATTGTGGTTTTGATTTGTACTTCACTACTGAGCAGGCATTAGCTATTTTTCCTGATGCTCTCCCCCTCCCTGACCCCCACCCACAACACGCCCCAGTGTGTGTTGTTCCCCTCCCTGTATCCATGTGTTCTCATTGTTAAGCACCCACTTATGAGTGAGAGTGTACAGTGTTTGGTTTTCTGTTCCTGCATTAGTTTGCCAAGAATAATGGCTTCTAGCTCCATCCATGTCCCTGCAAAGGACATGATCTCGTTCCTTTTTATGGCTGCATAGTATTCCACGGTGTATATGTACCATTTTTTTTAATCCAGTCTATCATTCTTGGGCATTTGAGTTGATTCCACATCCTTGCTATTGTGAATAGTGCTGCAATGAACATATGTGTGCCTGTATCTTTATAATAGAATGATTTCTATTTATTTGGATATATACCTAGTAATGGGATTGCTGGGTCAAATGGTGTTTCTGGTTCTAGGTCTTTGAGGAATTGCTACACTGAGACTGGGTAATTTATAAAGAAAAGAAGTTTAATTGGCTCATGGATCTGCAGGCTGTACGGGAAGCAGAGCAGCTTCTGCTTCTAGGGAGGCATGAGGAAATGCATAATCATAGTGGAAAGTGAAGGAAAGCAGGTGTCTTACATGGCCCTAGCAAGAGAAGGAGAGACAGAGGTGCAGTTGGGGTGGGCTGGGGAGATGCTACACACTTTTCAACAACCAGATGCCACGAGAACTCATTCACTATTGCAAGCACAGCACCCAGGGGATGGCACTAAACTATTCCTGAGACATCCACCCCCGTGACCCAATCTCCCCCTACAAGGGTCCACCTCCAGCACTGGGGATTCCAATTCAACTTGAGATTTGAATGAGGACACAGATCCAAACCATATCACTACCCATCTATCAATTCATCCATCCATCTATCCATCCATCCATCCATCCATCAGTTCATCCATCCATCCATCCATCCATTCATCCATCCATCCATCCACCCACCCACCCACCCATCCATCCACCCACCCACCCATCCATCCATCCATTTATCCATCCATCCATCCATCCATCCATCCATCCATCCATTTATCCATCCATCCATCCATCCATCCATCCATCAGTTCATCCATCCATCCATCCATCCATCCATTCATCCATCCATCCATTTATCCATCCATCCATCTATCCATCCATCAATCCACCCACCCACCCATCCATCCATCCACCCATCCATCCATCCATCCATCCATCCATCCATCCATCCATCAGTTCATCCATCCGTCCATCCATCAATTCATCCATCCATCCACTCACCCATCCTCTCATGTATCCATCCATCAATCCATCGATCCACCCACCCACCCATCCATCCATCCATCCATCCATCCATTTATCCATCCATCCATCCATCCACCCATCCACCCATCCACCCATCCACCCATCCATCCATCCATCCATCCACCCACCCATCCACCCACCCATCCACCCACCCACCCACCCATCCATCCATCCATCCATTTATCCATCCATCTATCCAATCCATCCATCCATCCACCTATCCATCCATCTACCCATCCTTCCACCCATCCATCAATTCATCCGTCCATCCGTCCATGCATGCATCCATCTGTATTAGTCTGTTCTTGCATTGCTATAAAGAAGTACCTGAGATTGGATGATTTATAAAGAAAAGAGGTTTAATTGGCTCATGGTTCTGCAAGCTGTACAGGAAGCAGAGCAGCTTCTGCTTCTGGGGAGGCCTCAGGCAACTTACAATCATGATGGAAGGTGAAGTGGAAGCCAGCACGTCTTAATGGCTAGAGCAGGAGCAAGAGTGGAGGGGAGGTGCTGTGCACTTTTAAACAACCAGATCTTGTGGGAACTCATTCATGGTCACAAGAACATCACCAAGGGGATGGCGCTAACCCATTCGTGAGAAATCCACCTCCATGATCCCATCACCTCTCCCCAGGCCACTCCTCCAACACTGCGGATTACAATTCAACATGAGATTTGGGTGGGGACACAGATCTAAACTATATCACCACCTCGCAAGCCAGTGATCTCAATAGAATGCTGATGTTCATGTTGCTAGTGGCTATAAGCCTTTTTTCTCAAGGAGCAAGAAAAATGCATCTTCTAGTTTTTTTAAAAAAAATCCATTCACACTGCTGTTTTTGGAAGCTCAGCTTGTGCTTTTACCCATCCTTTGATCACTGGTTCCAATTATTAGCAGTAGTATGGGTTTTCCTCTTTCTTACATCCCCACAAGTGTTTTTGTGGAAAATTACAGCAGTACCTCAGGAGTTTCTATCCAGATGACACTGTGCTCAGAATCAGCGCTTTTAAACTCTCCATGGCAAAACTGCCTCTCCCCTAATCTGCAGCAGATTGATAACTGCCGTAGATACAATAAAAATGAATTACTAAAAAAAATGCATTTAAGAAACATGGAAACTAGAAGCTCTCAGTGTGTTTTTTTTAAGTCATTGGATTGAACAAAGCTTAAATGACTGTCATTATTTTTTAAGTTTCTAAACATTTACTTTCAATTTCTGAACATGTCTCACCACAGACAGCTTGCAGTAACAGTTCACAGAGTGGCAGCCGTCTGATTCAGGAGTGTGTGTACCATCATACCATCCAATATATTACTTTATTTATTTATTTATTTATTTTTTGAGACAGTCTGGCTCTGTCACCCAGGCTGGAGTGCAGTGGTGCGATCTCAGCTCACTGCAACCTCCACCTCCCGGGTTTAAGCAATTCTCCTGCCTCAGCCATCCAAGTAGCTGGGATTTCAGGTGCCTGACCCCATGCCCGGCTAGTTTTTGTATTTTTAGTAGAGATGCAGTTTCACCGTGTTGGCCAGGCTGGTCTTGAGCTCCTGACCTCAAGCGATCCGCCCGCTTTGGCCTCCCAAAGTGCTGGGATAACAGGTGTGAGCCACTGCACCTGCCCACCCAACTGTATTTCTCTAAGGAAAATATTGAAAGTACTTATTTCCTTTTCCTTGATGGCCTGGTGACTTGGTACAGATGGGCTTCATTCTCCATGATGAGGAAGCTGTTATATTATCTTAAAACATGCCTTCCAAGAGAAGGTTAAAGTATATATTTCAGATCACAAGGTCAGGAGCACTTTTGGCTGCCACGTTTGGCTGACTCTTGGATGTTGTGTTATTTAAAGTGTCCTAGATCAGCCACAATAAAACAAAACCTAATCACTGTGTCTCAACCTCAGGTGTGTGCTGCAGGAAGCGCCAGTTCTTGTGATATCGGAGCCATGTCCACCTCTGTTCTGGGGACCCGGGACCCCACGGGTTGGTCTGAGTATGTCATCAAGAGCTAGATGAGGCCGGGTGAGGTGCTTCACACCTGTAATCCCAGCACTTTGGGAGGCCGAGGCGGGCAGATCACAAGGTCCGGAGTTCAAGAACAGCCTGGGCAACATGGTGAAACCCTGTCTCTACTAAAACACAAAAATTAGCCAGGCGTGGTGGCGGGTGCCTGTAGTCCCAGCTACTCAGGAGGCTGAGGCAGGAGAATTGGTTGAATCCAGGAGGTGGAGGTTGCAGTGAGCCGAGATCGCACCACCGCACTTCAGCCTGAGCTACAGGGTGAAACTCCATCTCAAACAACAACAACAAAGAACTAGGTGAAAAGACCTGGCGTGCTCCTGCAGCGCAACCAGCCGTGATCATACAAAGACCAGAATGCTGCAGGATGGCATGTCATGGCCCATCCCTCTCATCTCTGCTCCACGCAGCAATAAGACCAAAGCTAACCTGCTTCCAGAGACACCTCGTGGAAATGTGCAAGGCTCAGCAAAGAAAGGCTAATATCTAATGATTCATGTATTTACACAGCTTTTTTTTTGAGATGGAGTCTGGCACTGTCACCAGGCTGGAGTGCAGTGGCATGGTCTCGGCTCACTGCAACCTCCGCCTCCCAGGTTCAAGCGATTCCCCTGCCTCAGTCTCCCAAGTAGCTGGGATTACAGGCAATGCACCACCATGCCCAGCTAAGTTTTATATTTTTAGTAGAGACAGGGTTTTGCCATGTTGGCCAGGCTGGTCTCGAATTCCTGAACTCAGGTGATCGCCCGCCTCAGCCTCCCAAAGTCCTGGGATTACAGGCGTAAGCCACTGCGCCCGGCCTGCTTTTTTATTTCTTACTAGCACGAGAACTTAGAGTGATACAAATCTTCTGAATATTTTGGCTGCATTCTGCAGACGGTGACACCTTCTGTTTCCGTGGATATTATTTATAAAACATTTTTGTCACCTGCTATGAATTGTTACCCTGTCCACATGCTTTAAAAGGGCAGTTTTTGAAATCAACATGAGTTTGGGCACTGGGAAATTGCATACTTAATAAAATTAAACATTAAAAAGGGGCTCTTTCTGCTTTCCTATCAACTCAGGCAGCAGGGTGATAGATATAGGGGGTGAGGGATGCACCCTGTGTTGGCCAGGGTTCTCTAGAGGGATATAACTAACAGGATAAATAGCTATATATAAAGGGGGGTTTATTCAGTATTAACTCACAGGATCACAAGGTCCTACAATAAGCTGTCTGCGAGCTGAGGAGCAAGGAAGCCAGCCCGAGTGCTAAAGCTGAAGAACTTGGAGTCCAATTTTTGAGGGCAGGAAGCATCCAGCACGGGAGAAAGCTGTAGCATGGGAGGCTAGGCCAGTCTAACCTTTTCACATTCTTTTGCCTGCTTTTTGAATGTGCTGTGCTGGCAGCTGATTAGATGGTGCCCACCCCGATTAAGGGTGGGTCTGCCTTTCCCACCCCACTAACTCAAATGTTAAACTTGTTTGGCCACACCCTCACAGACACACCCAGGATCAATACTTTGCATCCTTCAATCCAATCAGGTTGACACTCGGCATTAACCATCACACCTGGTGTGTGTTTCTCTGATTATAAGGACACCAGTCCTACTGGACGAGGGCCTCACCCTTTTGAGCTCCTACAGGCCCTGTCTGCAAATAAAGTCACATTGGAGTTTAAGGGTTCTGATGATGAGTGAGGGAGGGCACGGCTCAGTCTATAACGATGTCCTATATCTATTGCAAAGAAAAAATGAAGGCACTATTCAATTCCTCCAAATTAGGAGGTTTGCCAGAGCCTCAGACAAAAGGATTTTTTAGGGAGGTACAGTTCATTCCATAATGATGTTCTCTATCGCAAAGAAGAAGGGGTAATTCAGTTCCTCCAAACCAGGCGATTTGCCAGAACTCCAAACAAAAGGAATTTTTTTTTCTTCTTGATCCCTATTTATCAACACATGCCTCTGTGTCTTTCCAGTTGACTTCATCTCTTGGGCAGCATTAATTTCAGAAATCTGTATTTCTGACTTGCCCTCAGGAAACCCCTTTAGATGTTAGAAATTCTTCTGTGGATGAAGTTATCTTTTTTTTTTTTTGAGACATAGTCTTGCTCTGTCGCCCAGGCTGGAGTGCAGTGGTGTGATCTCGGCTTACTGCAACCTCCACCTCCCAGGTTCAAACGATTGTCCTGCCTCAGCCTCCCGAGTATCTGGGATTACAGGCGTGCACCACCACACCTGGCTAATTTTTGTATTTTTAGTAGAGACCGGATTTCACCATGTTGGCCAGGCTGGTCTCGAACTCCTGACCTCAGGTGATCCACCCATCTCAGCCTCCCAAAGTGCTGGGGTTATAGGCATGAGCCACCACACCCGGCCAGATGAGGTTATCTTCTTGAGTCTCAGGGTTTACTGTCTGTCACTGAGTTGCAAATAAAAGAAAAGTTGGATGAGTTATTGGCAGCCTCAAGAGCAACAGTGAGAATTGTAGACTCACTTTCTGCATTGGAGGGTGTGGTGTGTGGGCTACGGGAAGCGTGGACATCATTCACCATGCTAGGTGCCGAGAGGGGCATCAGACACAGCAGGTGCGTGAATCTCCTGTCTTCATATGATACTGTCTCACTGTCAGAATCACAGTGACAGAAGGCATTTGTTACTGTGGATTCACACTCCGTTAGGGTTAAGATTTTTATTCTGTGTGAGTTCCTTAGGGTTACTGTGAAAAGCACATCTTATCTTCTCTCGATAATTTTTAAGTGACATTTAAAAATATTCAAGCATGTGACTTGACCGAATTGCTTAGCATTTGAGTTGTTGCATTAAATGGAGCATCTCGTCACTTTCAAGTATTTGATACTGGCAGTTGCTAAGAGTTAAAAGGCAGCTGGATTTGTCGCAGACAATGAGTTAAGGAATCCTTCCACATTTTTCCCATTTTTTTTTTTTTTTTTTTTTTTTTTTTTGAGACAGAGTTTCACTCTTGTTGCCCAGGCTGGAGTGCAATGGCACGAGCTCGGCTCACCGCAACCTCTGCCTCCCAGGTTCAAGTGATTCTCCTGCCTTAGCCTCCCTGGTAGCTGGGATTACAGGCATGTGCCACCACACCCGGCTAATTTTGTATTTTTAGTAGAGACGGGGTTTCTCCATGTTGGCCAGGCTGGTCTTGAACTCCCGACCTCAGGTGATCCGCCCGCCTCGGCCTCCCAAAGTGCTGGGAATACAGGCGTGAGCTGCCGCGCCCGGCCCGTTTTTCCCAACTTTAAAAGTAAGGGTTCTCAGGACCCTGTGTAGAGCAGTGAAAATAAGACCTCGTGTGTGTGTGTGTGTGTGTGTGTGTGTGTGTGTGTACACACGCGCCTGCAGGAGAACTGCTGTTCCACTTAGGTGAGAGGATGGGCTGTGTGCTTCAGACCAGGAAATGTGTCATCTTGCCAAGCAACCTGGCTGAGTGTGCTGGAGTCAGGATCTTGAACAGAAACTTCCTTTTCTGGTGTTGTTCACTACAGAGCTAAAATGGCCAAATATATACTGTGAAAATTGTTTTTTTTTTTTTTAACAAAAGACCAGATCCCTCCTTCAGCTGTATACATTTTTGAATAAAATCATATTGAACTAACAAAAAAAAAAAAAACACCAAAACTGGGGAACTTGCACAATAGAAATATATCCTCTCCCAGGTCTGGAGGACAAGACTTTAAATCCAAGGTGTCTCAGGGCTGAGCTCCATCCAGACGCTCTAGGGGAGGATCCTTTTGGCCTCCCCCAGCTCCTGGGGGCTCCAGGCATCCCACGGCTTGTGGCTGTATCACTCCAGTCTCTGCCTCTGTCTTCACATCATCATTTTCTCTCATCTGTCTCAAGCATGCCTGTTCCTCCTCCTTATAAAAACCCCAGGCTAGGCGTGGTAGCTCATGCCTGTCATCCCAGCACTTTGGGAGGCCGAGGCGGGCAGATCACCTGAGGTCAGGAGTTTGAGACCAGCCCGGCCAACATGGTGAAACCCCATCTTTACTAAAAATACAAAAATAAGCCGGGCGTGGTGGCGGGTGCCTGTAATCCCAGCTACTTGGGAGACTGAGGAAGGGAGGATCACTTGAACTCGGGAAGTGGAGGTTGCAGTCAGCCAAGATCTGTCCGCTGTATTCCAGCCTGGGTGACAGAGCAAGACTTTGTCAAAAAAAAAAAACTCAAAAAGACAAAACAAAAAAAACTCCGCACTCCTGTCATCCTAGCATTTTGGGCAGCAGTATGATAACAAGGCCAGGAGTTTGAGACCTACCTTGGCAACATAGAGAGACCCCTGTCTCTATAAAAGCTAACAAACAAAAAACAAAAATCTTTGTCATTATATTTAGGCTAATACAGGATAATTTCCTCATTTGAAAACCTTTAATGTCTAAACACCCTATTTTCATACAAGGTAATCTTTTCACAGGTTCTAGAGATTAGGACCAGGAGATTTTTAGGGACGGAGTGGAGGATACCGTCATTTAGCCTACCACATTCTTACTACCTTAGGAAAGGATGGCCAGGCAAGGTGGCTCACGACGGTAATCCCAGCACTTTGAGAGGCCAAGGCGGGCGGATCGCTTGAGCCCAGGAGTTCGAGTCCAGCTTGGGCAATATTGCAAAATCCGATCTCTACAACAACTACAAAAAGTAGCCAGGCGTGGTGCTGCGCACCTGTGGTCCCAGCTACTCAGGAGGCTAAGGAGGGAGAATCGCTTGAATTCGGGAGGTGGAGGCTGCAGTGAGCCCAGATCACACCTTTGCACTCCAGCCTGGGTGACAGAACGAGACCCTGTCTCAATAAATGCATAAATAATTTTAAAAAGGAAAGTAATTCAGCACAAACATTTGCATATTCCCAAGATGATGCTCACAGCTTGCAGTGCCTGCCTGGGTCCTATTCCTATCTGCCTGGGTCTATCTGCCTGGGTCCTATTCCTATCTGCCTGGGTCCTATTCCTGTCTGCCTGGGGTCTATCTGCCTGGGTCCTATTCCTATCTGCCTGGGTCCTATTCCTATCTGCCTGGGGTCTATCTGCCTGGGTCCTATTCCTATCTGCCTGGGTCCTATTCCTGTCTGCCTGGGGTCTATCTGCCTGGGTCCTATTCCTATCTGCCTGGGTCCTATTCCTATCTGCCTGGGTCCTATTCCTATCTGCCTGGGGTCTATCTGCCTGGGTCCTATTCCTATCTGCCTGGGTCCTATTCCTGTCTGCCTGGGGTCTATCTGCCTGGGTCCTATTCCTATCTGCCTGGGTCCTATTCCTATCTGCCTGGGGTCTATCTGCCTGGGTCCTATTCCTATCTGCCTGGGTCCTATTCCTATCTGCCTGGGGTCTATCTGCCTGGGTCCTATTCCTATCTGCCTGGGTCCTATTCCTATCTGCCTGGGGTCTATCTGCCTGGGTCCTATTCCTGTCTGCCTGGGTCTATCTGCCTGGGTCCTATTCCTATCTGCCTGGGTCCTATTCCTGTCTGCCTCGGGTCTATGCATTTCCTTTTTGTCTGAGGACACATTTTTGCTTCATGCTGATATTTTTCACTTCACCTTTCTCCCCTTTTCTTCTTTTCTCTTTTTCCCTCTCCTTCCCTCCCCTCCCTCTGGGGCAGAAGCTGGCATGCGGCAGAGCGCCAGCAGAGGACGTGGCCCAAGCTCCCATACATCTTCCCTTTACCTCTTCCGCTGACTTTTTTCTGGGTGTGCCCAGAGAGCCTAGCTCTGGACACTCAAAGATGCATCATTTCAATGTATGTTCCAAAGTTACGTAGCATCCAAGGCATATGAGACATGCTTAAAAACATACTGGTCATGCAAGTGAGGAGGTGCAATGATGGGTACTGTCGTTGCGATTGCGGAAGCCAGATCTAGAGATGCCCGGCGTGGCTTGGGGTTCAGGAAAACTTCCTGAAGGAGGTGACACATTTGCGTTTACGATCCCCAAGTGAGGCACACAAGCATCTCTCGGCGAGAACCCCACAGTCCATCCCAGAAAAGGAAAGTCAAGAGAATGGGCTACGTATGGGAGGAAGGGAACTATTTATGGTCTTCGATGAGAAAATAAATGTGCGTATGCGCCCCAGCTTTGTGCTTCGGTATTGCCACATGCCGGAACCGCGTGAAAATACAAGCCGTCAATACAAGCAAGTGCTAGCCCTCTTTTATTATTCTACTGCAGAAGAAGGAAGTCCTTGCTTCTGAGTCATTTTGTGTATTAGTTACACATGCCGTGTAACAAAATAACACAGACTCAGCAGCGTGTCCTAACAGCCTGGTAATATTTTATCCAGAATGACGTGTTTTAGAAAGTTATGTCCTGTCAAAGTAATCCAGATACCATTTCCTTTTCTTCTTGTTTTTTTGGTATTATTATACTTTAAGTTCTGGATACATGTACAGAACGTGCAAGTTTGTTACATAGGTATACACGTGCCATGGTGGTTTGCTGCACCCATCGACCCGTCATCTACATTAGGTATTTGTCCTAAAGCTATCCCTTCCCTAACCCTCCACCCCCCAGCAAGCCCTGGTGTGTGATGTTCCCCTCCCTGTGTCCATGTGTTCTCATTGTTCAACTTCCACTGATGAGTGAGAACATGCAGTGTTTGGTTTTCTGTTCCTGTGATAGTTTGCTGAGAATGATGGTTTCCAGCTTCATCCATGTCCCTGCAAAGGACATGAACTCATCCTTTTTTTATGGCTGCATAGTATTCCATGGTGTCTATGTGCCACATTTTCTTTATCCAGTCTATCATTGATGGGCATTTGGGTTGGTTTCAAGTTTTTGCTATTGTTAATAGTTCCGCAATAAACGTATGTGTGCATGTGTCTTTATAGTAGAATGATTTATAAACCTTTGGTATATACCCAGTAACGGGATTGATGGGTCAAATGGTATTTCTGGTTCTAGATCCTTGAGGAATCGCCACACTGTCTTCCACAATGGTTGAACTAATTTACACTCCTACCAACGGTGTAAAAATGTTCCTATTTCTCCAAATCCTCTCCATTTCCTTTTCTTCTCCTTATACAGTAAGGAATATGAAACTAACACACACTTTCTCTCATTTCATTCTCTTTCTTTTTCTGTCTGCTCTCTTTGTCTTTCTCCCTCTCTCTCTCCCTCTCTTTTTCCTCTCTCTCTCTCCCTCTCTTTTTCCTCTCTCTCTCTCTCTTTCTCTGTCTCTCTCTTTGTCTTCTTTTCTCTATTTCTCTCTGTCTCTCAGTGTTTGTCACGCTCTCTCTCTTTGCCTCTTTCTGTCTCTTTTTTTTTTTTTGAGACAGAGTCTTGCTCTGTCACCCAGGCTGGAGTGCAGTGGCGCGACCTCGGCTTACTGCAACCTCCACCTCCCAGGTTCATGCGATTCTCCTGCCTTAGCCTCCCAAGTAGCTGGGATTACAGGCGTGCACCACCACAGTCGCCTAATTTTTGTATTTTTAGTAGAGATGGAGTTTGACCACAATGGCCAGGCTGGTCTCGAACTCCTGACCTCTGCCCACCTTCCAAAGTGCTGAGATTACAGGTGTGCACCACCACAGCTGGCTAATTTTTGTATTTTTAGTAGAGACGAGGTTTCAACATGTTAGCCAAGCTGGTCTCAAAGTCCTGACCTCACGTGATCTGCCTGCCTTCGCCTCCTAAAGTGCTGGGATTACAGGCATGAGCCATCGTGCCCGGCCTCTTTCTTTGTATCTCTCTGTCTGCCTTTCTCTCTTTGTCCCTTTTACTGTCTCCCGTCCCTCTCTCTCTTTCTGTTTCTCTCTCTCACTGTGTCTCTTTGTCTTTATCTCTGTGTGTTTTTTCTCTCTTCCCCTTTTCCTCCCCCTCCTTTTTTCTCTTTCTCTCTTAGCCTTTCTTTCTTTCTCTCTTTCTCTCTCTCTCTGCTTCTATCTTTCTATCTCTCTCTTTCTCATTCTTACACTCCATCTCTGTCTCTTCTCTCTCTCTGATGGTGAGTGGAGAGTCATTTCGTTTTGGAATGATGATGAGCATTCCAGTAATAGTTTTGGAGAGTAAGGCTCATAGAGCTTATTAAGCAAGGTGTGTCTGTCATAAAATTGATTGCTGGCATTTTACACATCAGTGCAGACATGGGGGGCACAGGCAGACCCCTCCCCCCACCACACACACACACTGCTTATCCTCTGAAAGCTATGTGGCCTTCATAAAAATATTAACAGTTCTTTTACAGTAATGATTTTCCCCTATGAGGCTCCCCAGTGAGGAGGCTGTAAATGACACTGACCACCAGCAGCCCTGCAGATCAAGGCTGTTCTCTTCTCGGCCAGCCCAGAACCAGCCTCTGCTCGCTCCCTCCCTGAGGACTCCTGTCTCTGACCTCTGCACACATGCTGTGATTTGCTCTTCCACCTCACACCATTCCCCATCCTCACCTTTCAGAACTCACTGGCAGTGTCCCCCAATACCTTCCACCTCTCTCCAGAAATTACCTTCCCATCTCAATGTAAGGGAACTTGCTTCTTCCCTCAGAGATCTGCTGTCTCTGCTGCAAGTAATAGCTAGTTTTCATGCATTTTGTTCTGTCTGACTTTAGGTTGTTGCATTGTTCTCCCAACCTCCTTGAACCCATGGACCTGGAGGCAGAATTATATACCTGTGAATTTGCTTTTCTTTCTAGTTCCTCTCCCTCCAAAACCTCAGTCCTTCTGGGAAAAAAAAAAAAAAAACAGCTTTAACACAATCAAACACATCACTTTTAGCGATGGAGACCCACTGGGAATTTAGAGAGAAAGAGTGAAGTTGATATACTGAATACAATAGACATAAGTCTACCTCTCTACCTATGTGATGTTATAAAGCTGTCCCTGAGTCATTCACTCTCTAAAAATGTCATCTTTGGCTGGACACAGCTGCTCACGCCTGTAATCCAACACTTTGGGAGGCTGATGTGGGAGGCTCACTTGAGCTTAGGAGTTCGAGACCAGCCATGGGGACATAGTGAGACCCTGTCTCCAAAAACATAAATGTAATAAAAAATAAAATGCTTTCTTTTATTATTCTTCTGCAGAAGAAGGAAGTCCTTGCTTCTGAGTCATTTTGTGTATTAGTTACATATACTGTGTAACAAAATAACAGACTGAGCAGCGTGGAAGAGCTCATACTTACTATCTGTAGCAAGGGATCCATAAATGGCGTCCTTTTTTATTATTATATAAAATTCTATATTCTCCTGTGGAAGAAGGAAGTCCTTGCTTCTGAGCCATTTTGTGTATTAGTTACATATGCCCTGTAACAAAATAACACAGATTCAGCAACGTGGAAGGGCTCGTACTTCTTACTATCTGTAGCAGGGGATGCATAAATTGCTTCCTGTTTGATTATTATATAAAATTCTATATTCTATATTCCTCTACTGCAGAAGAAGGAAGTCCTTGCTTCTGAGTCATTTTGTGTATCAGTTACATATGCTGTGTAACAAAATAACCCACAGACTCAGCAGCGTGGAAGGGCTCATACTTACTATCCCACAGCTGCTGCGGGTCAGGAATCTGGGCAGGTGTAACTGCATTCTCTCTTCGGGGTCTCACTGGGCTATAACCAAAGTGTCATCTGGCCTGAGGTCCTCTCTGGAGCTCAGGATCTTCGAAATTCACATGGTTATACGCAGAATCCAATTCCTGGAAGCTGCAGATCTGGGGATCTGAGTATCTTGCTGGCTTTTGGCCAGGGGCTGCTGTCAGCTCCTAGAGAGGCCATGCCCAGGTTCTGGCCCCAAGGCGCTCTCACAAAACATCAGCTCACATCAAGGTCAGGAGGAGAATGACAGGTCCCACACAGACTCAAGGAAAGGGGACTATACAAGGATGGGACTCATTGATCTCCCTAGAGTATGAGCTCCTCATTGTACCCTACTGACATGTCCAATTCAGTGTTACTTCCTGGACAGGCGTGGTGGCTCACGCCTGTAATCCCAGCACTTTGGGAGGCTGAGGCGGGCGGATCACCTGAGGTCAAGAGTTTGAGACCAGCCTGGCCAACATGGTGAAACATTGTCTCTACTAAAAAAAAAAAAAAAAAAAAAAATACAAAAATACAAAAATTAGCTGGGCCTGGTGGCATGTGCCTGTAATCCCAGCTACCTGGGAGGCTGAGGCAGGAGAATCACTGGAACCCAGGAAGCAGAGGCTGCAGTGAGCTGAGATCCTGCCACAGCACTCCAGCCCGGTCAACAGAGCGAGACTCCATCTCAAAAAGAGCAGAAAAAAAAAAAGTGTTACTTCCTAGATGAAATTGAGTTTGACCTGTTTAGAAATTTTCTTAATCTCTGAAATAGGTTGGGAGATAACCAGGTATTTTTTGTTGTTGTCCTTTTCCAGTGGAATTTTTATACTGTGACTTGGCTTCCATGACTTCCATCCGGCAGTTTGTGCAGAAGTTCAAGATGAAGAAGATTCCTCTCCATGTCCTGATCAACAATGGTGAGTCCTGGTGAAATTGCAGCAAGCCAGGGGTTAATTTGAATGCAAACAGGAACTCTAGCTTTCATGCGGGAGAAGTGTCTCAGCAAAACAGGATATCCATGGGAATTATTGAACATACCTGCTATTTCTAGTCAGTGCTTCATTTCACGGATAGCTTTGGAAGAGCATCATTCTTGTTAGCATGTTACTTTGAAATAATGGTAAACGCGATAACATGTTGTATGGAGTTGACACGTTGACTTGTCCACTTGGACTAAAGGGTATGAGGCACATGCTAAGGGTTGGTGTTTTCCCAAATGTTATCTTACAAAACCATCACCACATTCCCCTGAGAGTCATTATTTGGGCACTAGAAGCTCATTACCATTTATCTCTTGATTTTACCCCCTGTTCAACATTCTCACCCAGATAGGTGGAGTCAATATCTCCCCTTCCCCACCTTCAATCTGCCCATCTGCCAATCTTCAACACAAACTACCCTTGACCTTGAGCCCTTCTTTGAGCCTCGCTGAGTGCTTAAGGTCATTGCAACGCTTACTGTTGACCTTGAGCCCTTCTTTGGGCCACGCTGAGCGCTTAAGATCATTGCAACACTTAATGTTTCTCCTCGTAACACTGATGCCCATTACTCTCATCCCCTGCTGCAGTCCATTTTATTTTTTATAAAAGTTAACCTGAACCCTCCACACTGAGGAGGTACAGTTATTGACATCTCCAAACTAAGTAAATACATAGAACTAAAGGTCTCAGAAATACACCAACAAACATGTGTGCTAGTAGAATTTAACGCATCACTTTCACAGATGGAGACCAAATGCAAATTCAGAGAGGAAATAAATAGTGACATTAATACAGTGGATAGAACAGACGTACGTCAAACAGTGAGCCCATAAAGACAGCACATTCCTTTCAAATACATGAAATATTTATCAAGTTATTGACACTTCAGATTGCAGACAAAAAAATCAGCAAAAGGATCTTGTGATTACCCAATGTAATTACTCCATTACCCACCTAGACCATTAAAGATTCTTAATTCTGCAAAACCCCTTGTGCTACCTAACGTACCATTTTCATAAATTCTGGAGATTAGGATATGGACATGTCTGTAAGGAGGGAGAAAGCATTATTCTTTGTACTAAAGTTGTAATACCTGTCTGTTTCCAGCTGCCAAGATGTGGTAGCTTCTATCTAATTTTTTTTTCTTTTTGTCTTGATGTGTTTCGTGTTTTTGTATAACATTAATGGGATTGGAGGATAGGAAAGTGGATGAGATACCCACGGTTCCCCCTCAACCCACTTGTTTAATTGGAAATTATTATGCTAGAGTTTAAAGGAGAAGCATGGGATATAAAACTATACATAGAGTGTGATGCCAATTTATGCATAAAAATTTGTACAGACATAGCTATGTGTGAGTGCATATGTATTTGTATATGTATTTGATGTATGATGTATATGTATTTATGCATAAAAATACGTGCAGACATAGCTATGATGTGTGAGTGCCACTCAAATAGCTACAGACAACACCATTTCCATGTACTTAGCCTGGTAAGAAACATCGTATTATCAGTGCTAGTGGCTCCTGTTGGAAGGTCCGGAATGATTTTAACTTTGTGTGTCTTCTTTGGAGATCAATAACACTTTTCAGATTTGCCATCCTGGTGGGATCTGAAGTTTCTACGCAGGCATAAATGATTTCCCAGTCAGCAGCCATTTGGAATCTTCTGTCTCAGCACTGGGTGTGGACTTCCTTTGCTGAAGACCTATCAGTATTAGAAGTGATTAGAATTATAGCATTATAAGTCACCAAATGTGGAGACCACTTAGAGGCACTGTGGAGATCCTACACGACCCGACGTCTCATTTCCTCGTTCTGTGTAACACCCTTACTCATTAGTAATGGGAGCACTTTATCACAGAGCAGTTGGAGATGGAAATACATACATGACATGGTGCCCTTGCACAGAGACACACAAAACAGAACTGTCCATCCTCTTAGGACTTTTGTGCGACTACTTCCATCCATTTGGTATGGGCTTGCATCCACCAGTAAGCAGAAAAAATTAGGAATCTCAGGCCGGGCGCGGTGGCTCACCCCTGTAATCCCAACACTTTGGGAGGCTGAGGTGAGTGGATCACCTGAGGTCAGGGGTTCCAGACCAGCCTGACCAATATGGTGAAACCCTGTCTCTACTAAAAATACAAATATTAGCCAGGCGTGGTGGCGGGCATCTGTAGTCCCAGCTACTCAGGAGGCTGAGGCAGGAGAATCGCTTGAACCTGGGAGGTGGAGGCTGCAGTGAGCCGAGACCACACCATTGCACTCCAGCCTGAGCAACAGAGCAAGACTGTTTCAAAAAAAAAAAAAAATTAGGAATGTCAGATATGATATGTTTCTCCAGCAGAATCTTACTGTGTTCTGGGGGGAGCAGAATTTTACTGAGCAATGTGTATATGAACCACATCTGTGACAGTGGATACAGGCTAACACCAGTTGACACAGGCTAACCAGCGTATACTCCATCACTCAACCACCACGTTTACCTTTTGAAATGGCTATTGCATTCCTAGGATTCTCCTCTGTTCCTTTTCTCAACAGATTTTAAACAAGGCACACAGGGCTCTCAGAAACAAACAAAAATATTCTGGAAACTGGGACAGGGTTGAATTTGAATCAAAAGGGTCTTGTTGTTGGATTGTCTCTGTACCCTATCTCTTCTGTAGAAAATCTCATGCACATATTGGGTTTACTTCTTCCTAGACTTATCTAGACCTTTCTTCCATGCTAAGACCTTTTACCTTCGCTCAATGCCTCAGAGGCACCTCAAGCCAGTAAGTCCAGTGTGAAATTCCTGAGTCTATGGCTGACACTGGTTCTAGAGGAGAGTATTTCCTTCCCCAGTTTTTAGAAGACTGTCAGCGTTTCTTCACCCATGGCCTCCAACCCGGCCTTAAAGCCAGCAATGATAGTGGCTCACGCCTGTAACCTCAGCACTTTGGGAGGCCGAGGCAGGTGGATTACGTGAGGTCAGGAGTTCGAGACCAACGTGGACAACATTGTGAAACCCTGTCTCTACTAAAAATACAAAATTAGCTGGGCATGGTGGCGCATGCCTGTAATCCCAGCTACTCGGGAGGCTGAGGCAGGAGAATTGCTTGAACCCGGGAGGCAGAGGTTGCAGTAAGCTGAGATCACACCACTGCACTCCAGTCTGGGCAACAAGAGCAAAACTCCATCTCAAAACAACAAAAACAACAACAAAGCCAGCAATGAGACACCTTTGAATCTCTCTTTCTTGTTCTCTCTCTCTCCCTCTCTTCCCTTCTCTCTCTTTCTCTCTCTCATCTTGCCTTCTCTTTTTTTTTATCTCCTTCACTTACTTTTGTTCTTCTGCCTGCCTTGTAGAAGAACCATTGTGATTATTTGGGGCCCACCAGGATCATCTCAGATAATCACCTCATCTCAAGATCTTCCACTAATTCACATCTACAAAGGCCCTTTTGCCGTGAAAGTCACATTTTCATGTGTTCCAGAGATGAGGACATGGACATTTTTTCATCTTTTGAGTTATTACTCTTCCAAATTGGGAATAGGTTGTGGGCATCTCTGGGGTCATTATTGTGTCGACCACATGAGAATTAGTCTGTGGACATCTTTAGAGCCATTATTCAGTCTTCCACATGAGGATTAGGATGTGGACATCTTTGGGGCCATTATTCTGTTTCCCACATGAGGATTAGAATGTGAACATCTTTGGGGCTATTATTCTATCTACCACATGGGAATTAACATATGGACATCTTTGGGGCCATTGTTCGGCTTCCACATGGGGATTAGGATGTGGACATCTTTGGGGCCATTATTCTGTCTTCCACATGGGGATTTGGATATGGACATCTTCGGGGCCATTATTCTGTCTCCCACATGGGGATTCGGATATGGACATCTTCGGGGCCATTATTCTGTGTACCACATGGGGATTGGGATGTGGACATCTTTGGGGCCATTATTCTGTCTACCACATGGGGATTAGGATGTGGACATCTTCAGGGCCATTATTTTGTCTTCCACATGAGGATTGGGATGTGGACATCTTTGGGTCATTATTCTGTCTTCCACATGAGGATTAGGATGTGGACATTTTTGGGGCCATTATTCTGTCTTCCACCTGAGGATTAGGATGTGGACATCTTTGGGGCCATTATTGTGTCTCCCACATGGGGATTACAGTGTGGGCATTTTTGGGGTCATGATTCTGTCTCCCACATGAATAATGTGGACCTGGACATCTTGAGTTGTGCATTATTTAACCTGCCATACCTACCTACTCTGCCCTTCACATACTTCGCTTGCAGGAAAAATAAAATAATAAGCAAGATTCTTGACCTCATAGAAATCATACTTTAGCAACGGAAACAAACATTGGACCAATAATCATTCTGTGAAATGTTCTGCCTTAGAAAACACACCTCTTGCAATGTGACAACACAGTCTTGTAAAGTACAGAGAAGATTGCACCCCAAGTCACACGCCTCCCTGGAATTCCCCAGCCTGTGCTGCTCAGAACACCATTTCCAGGAGGTGATAATGAGAATCCATTTGTTACAAGATGATGGCTTGAAATAACACTTTGCACTTTCTTCCTTTTATCTTTTTGTTCTACATCTTTCAAGAGGTTGCTCAGGCTGTGGCTTTCCTGGACTCCCTATAGGTTTTTGTGGCTGACTAAGGTTCATCTTGTCCCTGGGGTCACTGTTGAGAAGAGCTCAGTTGCAGAGGATCTGGATTTTTTTTTTTTTCCTCTGTGGGTACAGACAGAAGCTTCTAGAAAAGAGCTGGAGACTTCGCTTTTGGAGGCTGTGTTGAATACCCATTGCCCACTCTTCACAAGAAGACAGAAATGCAGAGAGGCAGTCTCTTGTTGACAAATCCTCTTGGTTCTCTTGGAAATGCAACAGAACCATGGAGCTTCGTGAAGCCCATGGGCTTGGAAAGGGGCCTCCCGAGGTACCCAGGGTGGATGGAAAGCTGCAGGGATAAGTGCTCCTCAAGCCAGAAGTAGCCCAGATGGCACAGTCTATGCTGAGAATGGATTCATCACCAGCCTGTGTGCTGGAGGCTTGGGCCAGATGAACCTTGATTTAGAGAGGAAGTAAAGCATTTTTTGCCTTGGTTTGTGCATCAGAATTCATCTTCATGGTGTGCAAATGACGAGGCTGGATTCTATACAGTCAGCACTGAGAATGGATTCAGCACAAGCCCGTGTGCTGGAGGCCTGGGTCTGATGTACCTGGATTTAGGGAAGAAGCAAAGTATTTTTCTCATTTATTGCATGCCTTAGTTTGTGCATCAGAATTCATCTTCGTGGTGTGCAAATGAGAAGGCTGGATTCTACACAGTCAGCGTTGAGAATGGATTCATCACCAGCTCTTGTGCTGGAGGCTTGAGCCAGATGTACGTTGATTTAGAGAAGAAGTAAAGGATTTTTCTCATTTGTTGCATGCCTTGGTTTATGCATCAGAATTCATCTTCGTTGTGTGCAAATGAGAAGGCTGGATTCTATACAGTCAACGCTGAGAATGGGTTCATCACCAGCTGGTGTGCTGAAGCTTGGGCCAGATGTACCTTGACTTAGAGAAGAAATCAAGGATTTTTCTCGTTGGTTTGTGCATCAGAATTCTTCTTCGTTGTGTGCAAATGAGATTGCTGGATTGTATGTTTGGGATATTGCTGGTGTCAACTTATGTAAATAGAGTTTCTATTTATAGGCAGCCTCAGGGAAGGACTCCAGTGGTGGTACTTTTAGTGTCTAAGAGGCTAGTAGGGGGTCTGCAGACCCCTAAACCAGGGCTGTCCAACCCCCAGGTCATAGTACCAGTCCATGGCCTGTTAGGACACCGGCCGCACAGCAGAAGGTGAGTGGCAAGTGAACAAGCAAAGCTTCATCTGTATTTACAGCCACTCCCCATTGTTCACATGACTGCCTGAGCTCTGCCTCCTGTCAGATCAGCAGCAGCATTAGATTCTTATAGGAGCACAAACCCTACTGTGAACTGTGCATGTGAGGGACTTAGGTTGTGCACTCCTTATGAAAAGCTAAAGCCTGATGATCTGTGCATGGGAAGGATCTAGGTTGTGTGCTCCTTATGGAATCTAATTCCTGATGATCTGTCACTGTCTCCCATCACCCCCAGATGGGACTGTCTAGTCACAGGAAAACAAGCTCAGGGCTCCCACTGATTCTATATGATGGCGACTTGTAGAATTATTTCATTATATAGTACAATGTAATAATAATACAAATAAAGTGTACAATAAATGTCATGCCCCGGAATCATCCCAAAACCATCCCCACATTCCACCTCCACCTTCTGTCTTCAGAAAATTGTCTTTCACAAAAGTGGTCCCTGGTGCCAAAAAGGTTGGAGACTGCTGCCCTAAACTATTTCCCCAGAACCTTCCCTCCAAAACTCCTGCTAGTCAACCACGTGCCTCAAGTCTCATGGAAAACAGCCCCAGCTGAGCTCAGCCAGGGTGACTTCCAAGGCAAGAAGGAGCTACACTTCGTGCTTTTCTTTTTTTATTCTTAGAGCAATCAAGGTTTTGCAAACATTAAATACTTCAGACATAGAATATCTTTTTCATTTGCTAGTGGGTTGAAAATAGAACCTGACTGCCTCTGTCTGGCTGCTGTGGGAAGCTCAGAGGCAACGCGATGATTTATCAAGCACAAGAATAAATCAATAATAGACCTCCTGCAGAGCCGGTATTTATGGTTTATTCACTTCAAAATTGTATTTATCTAGCTTCCCATCCCCATGTCTGAAAATTGATAGATTTTTAATAATGCAGAGGATTTATAGATTTATCCTTGTCAGCCATCTTCCCATAACTCTAATGGATGAATTTCTTTCTGAGATAATGAATTACTAAGCATTATTTTTCCTACCACCAAAGAAATACGTCCACGATACAGGGTGACCCTGAAAAATAACAATGATTCTTCCCTGGCCAGAGACCTAAAGACTCTGTTTTTTGGTACAGTTCTTCATTCACCCATTCATTCATTCATTCATTCATTCATTCAAATTCATTCATTCACTTGAATGAATTCAAATGAGTGAATGAATGAATGAAAGAATTCAAATGAATGAATGAATTCAGAGGAATGAATGAATGCAAATGAATTCAAAGGAATGAACAAATGAATTCAAATGAATTAATTCTAAGGAATGAATGAATTCTAATGAATGAACAAATGAATTCAAAGGAACGAATGAATTCAAAGGACTAAATGAATTGAAAGGAATGTATGAATTCAAAGGAATGAATTCAAAGGAATGAATGAATGAATTCAAATGAGTGAATCTGAATGAATTCAAGGGAATGAATAAATTCAAATGAAGGAATGAATTCAAATGAATGAACAAATGAAGTCAAAGGAACGAATGAATTCAAAGGAATGAATAAATTCAGAGGAATGAATGAATGAATTCAAAGGAATGAGTGAATTCAAAGGAATGAGTGAATTCAAAGGAATGAGTGAATTCAAAGGAATGAGTGAATTCAAAGGAATGAGTGAATTCAAAGGAATGAACGAATTCAAAGGAATGAATGAATGAATTCAAATGAGTGAATTTAAATGAATAAATTCAAGTGAATGAATGAATTCAAAGGAACAAGTGAATTCAAAAGAAGGAATGAATTCAAATGATGCAAATGAATGAATGGAATCAAATGAATGAATGAATTCTAATGAGTTCATTCAAATGAGCAAATGGGCACAGGGCACCTACAAGACCCATGAGAGTTAAGGAAGATTCATTCGGGGAAGCCCAGGTGTGCAGTTCTGCATCAACAGAAGACTGAGGTGCAGTGGAGCCGGTCCTTACTGAGGACCCACTTTTTGGTGGACGGACACCTGAGCAGCCATCTCCTGTCTTTGTGGGCGCCTGGCATTTTCTATGTGACTCGGGCTCCACAGTCATCTGGTCTCCCTCCCGGGAAGACGGAAAGTGTTGCATCGCGGCGCATGCATTCGTCAGCGGATCCTTGAGTCTGCACAGGTGTAGACCATTTATTCTGCGTGCCTTCTGTTTGCTTCTCTTCCAGAGCTGCTCTCCTGTGGATAGAGTAGCTTTCTGTTCCGTAGTGGTTTCCTCTGCCTCTCCCGATGGCGCCTTCTCTGAACAGGAGGCATTTGGATGTTCTTTTAGTGTTGGTGTTGGCAGCAGCATGGGATGTGGTCTGTTGTGACTCTGCGGCAGGCTGTTCCCTGCCAGAGAAGGCTAGATGTTCAGGGCGTCCGTCCCATAGCCTCCCTGGACTGGCTCCATCCTTCCCACCGCCCTCCCGAGATTCTAGGAAGTGGGTTGAGAAGCAGTGGTTTTTCAGTTACTCAAATGCTTTTCTCCTCTCTCTCTCTCTTTCTGTAACTCTCTGTCTCTCTCTCCTCCTTCTCCCCGTCTCTCTGTCATTCTCTCTTTCCACCTCTTCACTGTCTCACTTTTCCTCTCTTTTGCTTTTTCTCTCTGTCTCTCTCTCTCCTCAGTCTACCCCATCCCCGCTTCTACTATTTTGCTCTCGACCTCCCTTCTCCCTCCTCCCTCCCTCTCTCCCCCTCTCTCTCCCCTTCTCCCTTCTCTCTCTCCCTTTCTCCCTCTCTCTCCCTCTCTCTCTTTCTCTCTTCTCTCTTTCTTCTCTCTCTCCCCCTCCCTCCCTCGCTTTCTCCCCTCTTCTCTCTCTCCCATTCTCCCTCTCCCTCCCTCCCTCTCTCCTTCCTTCCCTCTCTCCCTCTTTCTCCCCTCTTCTCTCTCTCCTTTTCTCCCATTCTCTCTCTCCCTCTCTCCCTCCCTTTCCCTTCTTCTCTCCCTCCCCTCTTTCTTCTCTCTCCCCTCTTTCTTCTCTCTCTCCCTTTCTGTTTCCCTCTCGCACACCCTCCCTCTTCTCCCTATCTCCTTTCTCTTCCTGTCTCTCCCCTTGTCTCTCTATCTCCTTTGTCTTCCTCTGTGTCCCACTTCTCTCTCTTTCCTCCTTCCCCCATCTCTCCTCCTCTCTCCTTTGCCTTCCTTCTCTCCCCCTTTCTCTCTTTCTCTCTGTCTCTTTCTCTGTCTCTCCCCTTATTTCCTCCCTCTCCTTCTCTCTTCCTTTCTCGTTTGCCCTCCCTCTCTCTCCCTGTTCCCTCTCCATCTCTCTCTCTCTTTCCCCCATTTCCTCCTCTTCCTTCTCTCTCCCTCTCGTTTGCCCTCCCTCTCTCTCCCCGTTCCCTCTCCATCTCTCTTTCTCTCTCTTTCCCCCATTTCCTCCTCTTCCTTCTCTCTCCCTCTCGTTTGCCCTCCCTCTCTCTCCCCGTTCCCTCTCCATCTCTCTTTCTCTCTCTTTCCCCCATTTCCTCCTCCTCCTTCTCTCTCCCTCTCGTTTGCCCTCCCTCTCTCTCCCCGTTCCCTCTCCATCTCTCTTTCTCTCTCTTTCCCCCATTTCCTCCTCCTCCTTCTCTCTCCCTCTCTCGTTTGCCCTCCCTCTCTCTCCCCGTTCCCTCTCCATCTCTCTCTCTCTTTCCCCCATTTCCTCCTCTTCCTTCTCTCTCCCTCTCGTTTGCCCTCCCTCTCTCTCCCCGTTCCCTCTCCATCTCTCTTTCTCTCTCTTTCCCCTATTTCCTCCCTCTCCTCCTTCTCTCTCCCTCTCTCGTTTGCCCTCCCTCTCTCTCCCCGTTCCCTCTCCATCTCTCTTTCTCTCTCTTTCCCCCATTTCCTCCTCCTCCTTCTCTCTCCCTCTCGTTTGCCCTCCCTCTCTCTCCCCGTTCCCTCTCCATCTCTCTTTCTCTCTCTTTCCCCCATTTCCTCCTCCTCCTTCTCTCTCCCTCTCGTTTGCCCTCCCTCTCTCTCCCCGTTCCCTCTCCATCTCTCTTTCTCTCTCTTTCCCCCATTTCCTCCTCCTCCTTCTCTCTCCCTCTCGTTTGCCCTCCCTCTCTCTCCCCGTTCCCTCTCCATCTCTCTCTCTCTTTCCCCCATTTCCTCCTCTTCCTTCTCTCTCCCTCTCGTTTGCCCTCCCTCTCTCTCCCCGTTCCCTCTCCATCTCTCTCTCTCTTTCCCCCATTTCCTCCTCTTCCTTCTCTCTCCCTCTCGTTTGCCCTCCCTCTCTCTCCCTGTTCCCTCTCCATCTCTCTTTCTCTCTCTTTCCCCCATTTCCTCCTCTTCCTTCTCTCTCCCTCTCTCGTTTGCCCTCCCTCTCTCTCCCCGTTCCCTCTCCATCTCTCTCTCTCTTTCCCCCATTTCCTCCTCTTCCTTCTCTCTCCCTCTCGTTTGCCCTCCCTCTCTCTCCCCGTTCCCTCTCCATCTCTCTCTCTCTTTCCCCCATTTCCTCCTCTTCCTTCTCTCTCCCTCTCGTTTGCCCTCCCTCTCTCTCCCTGTTCCCTCTCCATCTCTCTTTCTCTCTCTTTCCCCCATTTCCTCCTCTTCCTTCTCTCTCCCTCTCTCGTTTGCCCTCCCTCTCTCTCCCCGTTCCCTCTCCATCTCTCTCTCTCTTTCCCCCATTTCCTCCTCTTCCTTCTCTCTCCCTCTCGTTTGCCCTCCCTCTCTCTCCCCGTTCCCTCTCCATCTCTCTCTCTCTTTCCCCCATTTCCTCCTCTTCCTTCTCTCTCCCTCTCGTTTGCCCTCCCTCTCTCTCCCCGTTCCCTCTCCATCTCTCTTTCTCTCTCTTTCCCCCATTTCCTCCTCCTCCTTCTCTCTCCCTCTCGTTTGCCCTCCCTCTCTCTCCCTGTTCCCTCTCCATCTCTCTTTCTCTCTCTTTCCCCCATTTCCTCCTCCTCCTTCTCTCTCCCTCTCGTTTGCCCTCCCTCTCTCTCCCTGTTCCCTCTCCATCTCTCTTTCTCTCTCTTTCCCCCATTTCCTCCTCCTCCTTCTCTCTCCCTCTCGTTTGCCCTCCCTCTCTCTCCCCGTTCCCTCTCCATCTCTCTTTCTCTCTCTTTCCCCCATTTCCTCCTCCTCCTTCTCTCTCCCTCTCGTTTGCCCTCCCTCTCTCTCCCTGTTCCCTCTCCATCTCTCTTTCTCTCTCTTTCCCCCATTTCCTCCTCCTCCTTCTCTCTCCCTCTCGTTTGCCCTCCCTCTCTCTCCCTGTTCCCTCTCCATCTCTCTTTCTCTCTCTTTCCCCCATTTCCTCCTCCTCCTTCTCTCTCCCTCTCGTTTGCCCTCCCTCTCTCTCCCTGTTCCCTCTCCATCTCTCTTTCTCTCTCTTTCCCCCATTTCCTCCTCTTCCTTCTCTCTCCCTCTCTCGTTTGCCCTCCCTCTCTCTCCCCGTTCCCTCTCCATCTCTCTTTCTCTCTCTTTCCCCCATTTCCTCCTCCTCCTTCTCTCTCCCTCTCGTTTGCCCTCCCTCTCTCTCCCCGTTCCCTCTCCATCTCTCTTTCTCTCTCTTTCCCCCATTTCCTCCTCCTCCTTCTCTCTCCCTCTCGTTTGCCCTCCCTCTCTCTCCCCGTTCCCTCTCCATCTCTCTTTCTCTCTCTTTCCCCCATTTCCTCCTCCTCCTTCTCTCTCCCTCTCGTTTGCCCTCCCTCTCTCTCCCCGTTCCCTCTCCATCTCTCTTTCTCTCTCTTTCCCCCATTTCCTCCTCCTCCTTCTCTCTCCCTCTCTCGTTTGCCCTCCCTCTCTCTCCCCGTTCCCTCTCCATCTCTCTCTCTCTTTCCCCCATTTCCTCCTCTTCCTTCTCTCTCCCTCTCGTTTGCCCTCCCTCTCTCTCCCCGTTCCCTCTCCATCTCTCTTTCTCTCTCCCCCATTTCCTCCTCTTCCTTCTCTCTCCCTCTCGTTTGCCCTCCCTCTCTCTCCCCGTTCCCTCTCCATCTCTCTCTCTCTTTCCCCCATTTCCTCCTCTTCCTTCTCTCTCCCTCTCGTTTGCCCTCCCTCTCTCTCCCTGTTCCCTCTCCATCTCTCTTTCTCTCTCTTTCCCCCATTTCCTCCTCTTCCTTCTCTCTCCCTCTCTCGTTTGCCCTCCCTCTCTCTCCCCGTTCCCTCTCCATCTCTCTCTCTCTTTCCCCCATTTCCTCCTCTTCCTTCTCTCTCCCTCTCGTTTGCCCTCCCTCTCTCTCCCCGTTCCCTCTCCATCTCTCTCTCTCTTTCCCCCATTTCCTCCTCTTCCTTCTCTCTCCCTCTCGTTTGCCCTCCCTCTCTCTCCCCGTTCCCTCTCCATCTCTCTTTCTCTCTCTTTCCCCCATTTCCTCCTCCTCCTTCTCTCTCCCTCTCGTTTGCCCTCCCTCTCTCTCCCTGTTCCCTCTCCATCTCTCTTTCTCTCTCTTTCCCCCATTTCCTCCTCCTCCTTCTCTCTCCCTCTCGTTTGCCCTCCCTCTCTCTCCCTGTTCCCTCTCCATCTCTCTTTCTCTCTCTTTCCCCCATTTCCTCCTCCTCCTTCTCTCTCCCTCTCGTTTGCCCTCCCTCTCTCTCCCCGTTCCCTCTCCATCTCTCTTTCTCTCTCTTTCCCCCATTTCCTCCTCCTCCTTCTCTCTCCCTCTCGTTTGCCCTCCCTCTCTCTCCCTGTTCCCTCTCCATCTCTCTTTCTCTCTCTTTCCCCCATTTCCTCCTCCTCCTTCTCTCTCCCTCTCGTTTGCCCTCCCTCTCTCTCCCTGTTCCCTCTCCATCTCTCTTTCTCTCTCTTTCCCCCATTTCCTCCTCCTCCTTCTCTCTCCCTCTCGTTTGCCCTCCCTCTCTCTCCCTGTTCCCTCTCCATCTCTCTTTCTCTCTCTTTCCCCCATTTCCTCCTCTTCCTTCTCTCTCCCTCTCTCGTTTGCCCTCCCTCTCTCTCCCCGTTCCCTCTCCATCTCTCTTTCTCTCTCTTTCCCCCATTTCCTCCTCCTCCTTCTCTCTCCCTCTCGTTTGCCCTCCCTCTCTCTCCCCGTTCCCTCTCCATCTCTCTTTCTCTCTCTTTCCCCCATTTCCTCCTCCTCCTTCTCTCTCCCTCTCGTTTGCCCTCCCTCTCTCTCCCCGTTCCCTCTCCATCTCTCTTTCTCTCTCTTTCCCCCATTTCCTCCTCCTCCTTCTCTCTCCCTCTCGTTTGCCCTCCCTCTCTCTCCCCGTTCCCTCTCCATCTCTCTTTCTCTCTCTTTCCCCCATTTCCTCCTCCTCCTTCTCTCTCCCTCTCTCGTTTGCCCTCCCTCTCTCTCCCCGTTCCCTCTCCATCTCTCTCTCTCTTTCCCCCATTTCCTCCTCTTCCTTCTCTCTCCCTCTCGTTTGCCCTCCCTCTCTCTCCCCGTTCCCTCTCCATCTCTCTTTCTCTCTCTTTCCCCCATTTCCTCCTCCTCCTTCTCTCTCCCTCTCGTTTGCCCTCCCTCTCTCTCCCCGTTCCCTCTCCATCTCTCTTTCTCTCTCTTTCCCCCATTTCCTCCTCCTCCTTCTCTCTCCCTCTCTCGTTTGCCCTCCCTCTCTCTCCCCGTTCCCTCTCCATCTCTCTCTCTCTTTCCCCCATTTCCTCCTCTTCCTTCTCTCTCCCTCTCGTTTGCCCTCCCTCTCTCTCCCCGTTCCCTCTCCATCTCTCTTTCTCTCTCTTTCCCCCATTTCCTCCTCCTCCTTCTCTCTCCCTCTCGTTTGCCCTCCCTCTCTCTCCCTGTTCCCTCTCCATCTCTCTTTCTCTCTCTTTCCCCCATTTCCTCCTCCTCCTTCTCTCTCCCTCTCGTTTGCCCTCCCTCTCTCTCCCCGTTCCCTCTCCATCTCTCTTTCTCTCTCTTTCCCCCATTTCCTCCTCCTCCTTCTCTCTCCCTCTCGTTTGCCCTCCCTCTCTCTCCCTGTTCCCTCTCCATCTCTCTTTCTCTCTCTTTCCCCCATTTCCTCCTCCTCCTTCTCTCTCCCTCTCGTTTGCCCTCCCTCTCTCTCCCTGTTCCCTCTCCATCTCTCTTTCTCTCTCTTTCCCCCATTTCCTCCTCCTCCTTCTCTCTCCCTCTCGTTTGCCCTCCCTCTCTCTCCCTGTTCCCTCTCCATCTCTCTTTCTCTCTCTTTCCCCCATTTCCTCCTCTTCCTTCTCTCTCCCTCTCTCGTTTGCCCTCCCTCTCTCTCCCTGTTCCCTCTCCATCTCTCTTTCTCTCTCTTTCCCCTATTTCCTCCCCTCCTTCTCTCTCCCTCTCGTTTGCCCTCCCTCTCTCTCCCTGTTCCCTCTCCATCTCTCTTTCTCTTTCTTTCCCCCATTTCCTCCTCTTCCTTCTCTCTCCCTCTCTCGTTTGCCCTCCCTCTCTCTCCCTGTTCCCTCTCCATCTCTCTTTCTCTCTTTCCCCCATTTCCTCCTCTTCCTTCTCTCTCCCTCTCTCGTTTGCCCTCCCTCTCTCTCCCTGTTCCCTCTCCATCTCTCTTTCTCTCTTTCCCCTATTTCCTCCTCTTCCTTCTCTCTCCCTCTCTCGTTTGCCCTCCCTCTCTCTCCCTGTTCCCTCTCCATCTCTCTTTCTCTCTTTCCCCCTATTTCCTCCCTCTCCTCCTCTCTCCCTCTCGTTTGCCCTCCCTCTCTCTCCCTGTTCCCTCTCCATCTCTCTTTCTCTCTCTTCCCCCATTTCCTCCTCTTCCTTCTCTCTCCCTCTCTCGTTTGCCCTCCCTCTCTCTCCCTGTTCCCTCTCCATCTCTCTTTCTCTCTTTCCCCTATTTCCTCCCCTCCTTCTCTCTCCCTCTCGTTTGCCCTCCCTCTCTCTCCCTGTTCCCTCTCCATCTCTCTTTGTCTCTCTTTCTCCCTATTTCCTCCCTCTCCTTCTCTCTTCCTTCTTTGCCCTCCCTCTCTCTCTCCTCTCTCTCTCTCTGATTGCCCTTTCATCCCCATCACTCTCCTTTCTCTGGAGTTCTCCGCTTGGAGAGCGGAGAACTCTCCCTTCTCCTCCCGTTCAGGATACACCTCACCTGTGTTCACTGCTTCAGGCACAATATGTGATTGTGACCCTGAGCGTTCACTCCCCAGTAAAATGCCATTAGGTGCACAGACCAATGAACGATAATTGTATTGCGTATTTTCCACCTTTGAATTGGCAGATCAATGGACGATAATTTTACTGTTTATTTTCCACCTTTGAATTGGCAGATCGATGGACGATAGTTTTATTCTGTATTTTCCACCTTTCGATTCGCAGATCAATGAACGATAGTTCTATTGTGTATTCTCCACCTTTGAATTGGCGAAGAGACAGATTCCGTGAATGCTCCTAACGTGGACGGCACCCGATACACTGACGTGGCCACAGGGTTTTCTTATTCCTTACAAAATTCGCAATGAAACATCAGTATATTTGCTGATGATTAAAACTTGTGCAACAAAATCTCAGAAGTCACCACAAAAGAATGTATCCATGTAGCCCAAAACCACTGGTTTCCCAAAAATTATTGAAATTTTAAGAAACAGGCCGGGCGCGATGGCCCACGCCTGTAATCCCAGCACTTTGGGAGGCCGACGTGGATGGATCACGAGGTCAGGAGTTCGAGACCATCCTGGCCAACACGGTGAAATCCCGTCTCTACTAAAAATACAGAAATTAGCTGGGCATAGTAGCATACACCTGTAATCCCAGCTACTCAGGAGCCTGAGGCAGGAGAATTTCTGGAACCCGGGAGGCAGAGGCTGCAGTGGGCCGAGATTGTGCCACTGCACTCCAGCCTAGCGACAGAGTGAGACTCCATCTCAAAAATAAAATTAAATTAAAATTTTTAAAAAAAGGCAAATTATTATTTTATTTTATTTATTTATTTCCTTTTTTGAGACAGAGCCTTGCTCTGTCGCCCAGGCTGGAGTGCAGTGGCACAACCTCTTCTCACTGCAATCTCCGCCTCCCAGAAAAAAACAGGCAAATTAAATCTATGGTAATGGAAATTGGAATTGTAGTTACCTTAGAAGAATGTGATAATTAATTTTGGATCAAAAAAGGGCTTAGGGGTGCAGATGTGGGAGGCGGTTACCTGAGAGGGGAGAGTGCTCGCTTTGGATGATTCCATTGAGATTTCCCTCATGATCTCTGCACCTTTTTTTTTTTTGTTTTGAAACATAGTCTCGCTGTTGTCGGCCGGGGCTGGAGTGCAGTGCACGATATCAGCTCACTGCAACCTCTGCCTCCTGAGTTCCAGAAATTCTCCTGCCTCAGCCTCCCAAGCAGCTGAAATTACAGGTGCCCGCCACCACACTCAGCTAATTTTTTTTTTTTTTTTGTATTTTTAGTAGAGACGGGGTTTCACCAAGTTGGCCAGGCTGGTCTCAAACTCCTGACCTCAGGTCATCCGCCTGCCTCGGCCTCCCAGAGTGCTGGGATTACAGGTGTGAGTCACCGTGCCCAGCCCTGTGCACCTTTTTTATACTTTCCTTTGATTTAAAAGAAAATAATAACTTGACAAAAATAAATAAATAGAATTTTACTGATGCCGAAAAAAACATGATTATGGAAAATTTAAAACACATACAAAAGCCTACAGGCATTTGAATTTGCCGTCGATTGTCTAACTAGTACTCAATTCTGCATTTCGGACTTCCGTCAATCCCTCCTCTGGGGTACCATCATCTCTTCCTAGGCCATGATAATGGCCTCCTAACAGGCATCTCAGGCACCCATCCAATCTCTCTACCTGGCACCAATCTGGTCTTTCAATGCTCTGCTTACATAGGAAGAGGAAAATTAATACCTAAAGCCACTGGCAAAGAACTCAACAACAAAACAATTTCTCCTTCAGAATATGTCAGGCTTTCGTTCCGTAAATATCAGCGTTTCAGGTGGGTTTGCTGCCTAGAAACGTCTCCGTGACACTGTGGTTTAAAATACGGGTGCGTGGCCGGGCGCGGTGGCTCACACCTGGGATCCCAGCACTTTGGGAGGCTGAGGCGGGCAGATCACTTGGGGTCAGGAGTTCGAGACCAGACTGGTCAACATGACAAAACCCCATCTCTACTAAAAATACAAAAAAAAAAAAAAAAAGTTTAGCCGGGTGTTGTGGTGCACACCTGTAATCCCAGCTACTTGGGAGGCTGAGGCAGAAGAATCACTTCAACCCGGGAGGCGGAGGTTGCAGTGAGCCGAGTTCAACCCACTGCAATCCAGCCTGGGCAACAGAGTGAGACTCCATCTCAAAAAAAATGAAATAAAAAATAAAATACGGACACACTGCACTCCAGCTTGGTTGACAGAGCGAGACTCTGTCTCCAAAAAAATAATAATATTAGTAGGGCTGGGTGCAGTGGCTCACACCTGTAGTCCCAGCACTTTGGGAGGCCAAGGCGGGAGGATCAGTTGAGATTAGGAGTTCAAGAGCAGCCTGGCCAACATGGTGAAACCCCGTCTCTACTAAAAATACAAAAAATAGCTGGCCATCGGGGCAGGTGCCTGTAATCCCATGTACTCGGGAGGCTGAGGCAGGAGAATCGCTTGAACCCAGGAGGCAGAGGTTGCAGTGAGCCGACATCACAACACTGCACTCCAGTCTGGGTGACACAGCAAGAGTTTACCTCAAAGTAATAATAATAATAATAAAATAGGAATAAACGTAATTACTCGCAGTAGCTCACTAACGATGAATTATCAGCATCCAGGGCCCCTGCGCGTGGCTGCTGCATTCACCACGGCGCAGGAATTCTCACGCAGCTTCCCCGCCAGGCGAGTCCCTAGCACGGCTCGGATTCATCTGGAGCACAGGTCACCACCTGCCTGCACAGAAGCACTGTCCCCTCTGCTCTTGCAAAAGATACCTTCCCCAACGATGCTGTTGTCACCAAGAATTTGCTCAGAGCTGCAAGCCATTATCCTAAGAGAACCAGCACAGAAACAGAAAACCAAATACTGCATGTTCTGACTTACACCTGGAAGGTACACAGCGGGTACTCATGGACACAAAGATGGGAAGAGCAGAAACTCTTGACTGCTAGAAGGTAGGGGGAGGGAGGCAGGGGATGAAAAACCACCTGTTGGGTACAGTGGCCATTTCCTGGGTGACAGGTTCACTCACAGCCCCACCCTCAGTCTCTAATGTGTATTCCTCTATTCCGTATGCCCCTTCAATGCCAGAAGCATACCCAGAGCTTAGTGCCCACTTACAAGTGAGAACGTGTATTTGCTTTTCTGTTCTTGAGTGACTCCACGTAGAATAATAACCTCCAGTTCTATCCAAGTTACTGCCAATGACACGATTCCACTCTTTTTAATGGCTTAGTAGTATTCCATTCCATTTTCTTTATCCAGTACTCCACGGAGGGGTACTTAGGTTGATTCCGTATGTTTGCAATTGTGAGTTGTGCTGCAAGAAACAGACAGGTGCAGGTATTTTGTTTTGTATTGTTTTGTTTGATTATTTTATTTTATTGATTTATTTATTTTTGAGATGGAGTCTTGCTCTGTCACCCAGGCTGGAGTGCAGTGGTGCGATCTCGGCTCACTGCAACCTCCACCTCCTGGGTTCAAGCAATTCTGGGGTTTCTCCATGTTGCCCAGGCTGCTCTCGAACTCCTGACCTCAGGTGATCTGCCCGCCTTGGTCTCCCAAAGTGCTGGGATGACAGGCGTGAGCCACCATGCCTGGCCTGCAGGTGTCTTTTTGATATAAGGACTTCTTTTCCTTTGGGTAGATACCCAGGAGTGGGATTGCTGGATCGAACAAATGATCTGCTTTTAGTTCTTTGAGAGGAACATCCGTGCTGTTTTCTATACAGCTTGTATGAATTCACTTTCTTTCGGGGCACAGGAATGTAGGCAGTTCTGCCTGGGGGGTCTCCTGTGGGGCTGCAGCTGGGGCTGACTTTATCTGAAGGCTTGACCAGGTTGGATGTCCAGGATAGCTTTCTCTGGTGTCAAGAAGCTGGTACAGCCTGTCACCTGGGCTTAGCTGGGAGGGCCAACAAGAACAGGTACCTGGGGCCTCTCCAGCATGTCAGGCTGAAGGTGCTCAGTCTTTTTAAACCAAAGCTGGCTCCTCCCAGACTCAGCATTCCCAAGAACCAAGCAGGGGCCACGTGACCTTATTGACCCAACTTTGGAAGTCACACAGTGTTTACACCACTGTGGCATTCTACAAAAGAATTAACGAGAAAGTTAATGAGCATGGCCGAGATTCAAGGGAAGGGGCGTAGACTCTAGCTCCCAAGGAGACGAGTGTCAAAAGAATTTGCAGGCCTGCTTTAGAGCCCCCTGAAGCTGCCTTTCAAAACCATGCATGCATAAGCCAGGTGTTCATGATAAGCTCGTCTCTCCTAAGCTGGGAATTTATGACACTTCAGGCACGGATTGAGCTGTGTGTCTCCAGATTCTTCACATCAAATAAAATATGAGGAAAATGGCATCGTGAAAAAGATGTTTATAGTTCATCAAAATGCAAAGCTTCCCGTCCACCCACAGCAACCTATTCTGGTGTTTTTGTTTTTTTGTTGTTGGTTTTTTTTTGTTTTTGAGACAAAAATCAACTTAGGTTGATTCCGTATGTTTGCAGTTGTGAGTTGTGCTGCAAGAAACAGACAGGTGCAGGTATGTTTTTTTGTTTCGTTTTGTCTCACTCTTTCGCCCAGGCTGGAGTGCAGTGGTGTGATCTCGGCTCACTGCAACCTCTGCCTCCCAGGTTCAAGCGATTCTCCTGCCTCAGCTTCCCGAGTAGCTGGGATTACAGGCATGCACCACCACGCCCGGCTAATTTTGTATTTTTAGTAGAGACAAGGTTTCTCCATGTTGGCCAAGCTGGTCTCGAACTCCTGACCTGAACTGATCTGCCCGCTTCGCCCTCTGAAAGTGCTGGGAGGATTACAGGCATGACCCACCGGGCCGGGCTTTTTTTCTGGATAACTCCTGAGGTGAATTCTGACATACTTCTCAGAAGTGTTTTGTTAGATGGGCTTTGAGGACTGTAGGAGTGTTGAATGTTTAATACACATGTGTCTTGTGACTGATTGATACTGGACCCTGATTGATATTGGATCCCTCCCAGTTGGTTTATACTCCTGATGTTTTACAGGCATAAGCTCAGGGAATAAATTCTCTGTATCCTGGAAGTTTTTTTGAAAGCTAGATATTCACGTAGGAGGGGGAAGCACTGAGTCTGGCTGGAAAGTGTGTGCAGGTGAGAAGCAAGGACTGCACCTGAACAGTCTGCTCATTTCTCCCTGAGGATTTCAGCAGGCCACAGGCCTGGAATGGCATGGTGGTGCCTCTCCCCTGCCACCATTCTCTGTGAGAGTGTGTCCAGAATTTATTCCTTCTTGTGGGTTCTTGGTCTCGCTGACTTCAAGAATGAAGCCGCAGACCCTCACGGTGAGTGTTAGGGCTTTTAAAGATGGTGCGTCCCGAGTTTGTTCCTTCAGATGTTCAGATGTGCCTGGAGTTTTTTCCTTCTGGTGGGTTCGCAGACTCGCTGACTTCAGGAGTGAAGCTGCGGACCTTGGCAGTGAGTCTTACAGCTCATACAGGTAGTGTAGACCCAAAGAGTGAGCAGCAGCAAGATTTATGGTGAAGAGTGAAACAACAAAGTTTCCACAACGTGGAAGGGGACACAAGCTGGCTCAGGTGGCCAGCTTTTATTCCCTTATTTGGCCCCGCCCACATCCTGCTGACTGGTCCATTTTACAGAGTGCTGATTGGTCCATTTTACAGAGTGCTGATTGGTCCATTTTACAGAGTGCTGATTGGTCCATTTTATAGAGCATTGATTGGTCCATTTTACAGAGCACTGATTGGTCCATTTTACAGACTGCTGAATGGTCCATTTTAGAGTGCTGATTGGTGCCTTTACAATTCTTTAGCTAGACAAAAGGTCTCCGGGTCTCCACTCGACCCAGGAAGTCCAGGTGGCTTCACGTCTCAAAAGCAGCAGATCTCCATCCACGTTTATTTTTTATTTCCCCCTTGCTGTACCCAAAGCACTACAACCGCACTGTGGAGGCTACAGCCAGAATAAGACGTTGGTTTTTCCTCAAGGACCTCACAATTGTCAAGCCTCCACTGGGGCCAGGGACGTGTAGAGCCGCGGGACCCACTGCTGAGTCTTCTGTGGGCCCTCCGCGCAATGGGGCATCCAGTGCGGCCTGTGCATCCACAGTTTTGAAAGGCGGGTTGGAGAGGCTGTAAAACAGGCCTGCAAATTCTTTTCACACTTGTCTCTTCGGGAGCTGGAGTCCCTGCTCCGTCTCTTGAATCTCGGCTGTCCTCATTAACTGTCTCGTAATTCCTAGAATGGGGCAGTGGTGACAACTCTGTAGGAGTTCCAAAGTTGGGTCGATAAGGCCACGTGGCTCCTGCTTGGTTCTTTGGGAATGCTGAGCCGGCGAGGAGCCAGCTTTGGTTTTGAGTGTTCATAAAGTACAACTGGAAAGACTGTGTACACAAACACAGGCAGGTACACAAATGCACACGCATCAAAAATTTATAGGGAAATGGGTCCATGTACCGAGGCACAAATAACATACAGATATTACAGTACACACAGAAGCAAGCACATATACAAATGCATGTACCTCAAAAAATGTATACACCTACGGATACACCTCTACATATACAAACACATAGAGAAATGCTAGACCTACATATATGTATAGATAGCTCCATATAAGATACACACAAACACAAGCACGTGTACAAATGCATATGCATAGAAAAAGATGTACGCTATGCAGATGTACATATACATACACAAATACATACAGAAACGCTAGACCTATAGATATATACATATCTCCATATAAAATACACACACGGCCGGGTGCAGTGTCTCACGCCTGTAATCCCAGCACTTAGGGAGGCCGAGGTGGGCGGATCCCCTGAGGTCAGGAGTTTGAGAGCAGCCTGGCCAACATGGCAAAACCCCGTCTCTACTGAAAATACAGAAAAATTTAGCCACGTGTGGTGGTGGGTGCCTGTAATCCCAGCTACTCGGGAGGCTAAGGCAGGAAAATTGCTTGAACCTGGGAGGCGGAGGTTGCAGTGAGGCGAGACTGCCTCATTGCACTCCAGCCTGGACGACAAGAGCGAAACTCCTCCTCAAAAAATAAATAAATACATACATATAAAATACACACACACATACAAGCACATAAACAAATGCATGTACCTAGGAAAATGTATTCATGTACAGATACACGTATACATATACAAATAAGTAGAGAAATGCTAGGCCTATATATGTGTAGATATCTCCATATAAAATACACACAAATACAAGCACATATACAAATACATGTACATATAAAAAATGTGTGCACTTGCAGATGCATGTATACATGTACAAATACACAGAGAAATGCTAGACCTCTATATATTTGTGTGTAGATATAAAATACATACACACTAATACAAGCATATATACAAATGCATATGCATAGGAAAATATGTACACATGCAGATATACATATACAAATATGTAGACAAATGCTAGACCTACATATATGTATAGATAGCTCCATATAAAATACACACAAACACATATACAAATGCATATGCATAGAAAGATATGTACACATGCAGATGCAAACACATATATATACAAATACAGAAATAGATCTACAAATATCAATATAGCTCCATATTGAAATACATCTTTGAACACAAACGTGTCCATATGCAAATGGATAGGTGTGTGTGTGTATTAATCATACACCTCAAATGCATTTGCAAATGCAAACGTGCACAAATGCAAAAGCTATGGGATTCCACAGATGAATCAAAATGCATATTCATGCGTGCAATACACGTAGATGTTCCAATGTACAAATAATGACAAATGCTGTGTGTTTGTAGGTGTATGAACACATGCAAATACTTGCGATTGTACAATTCCAAATAGAAACATATAATATATACATACACTGTATGCAGATACACATGCAAAGATGTAAATGTGTATGGACATGTATATACATGTGAATAAATGTGTACACATGCAAACTCATGCACATGTGCATACAACACATATGTAAAAGAAAATATGCACAAATTTATAGGCATTTGAAAATGAATCTGCATGTAAAGACGTGAACACATATGTACATGCTAACATATATCTCTATAGGCATATATCTTTGAATTATGCATACATGCAGTTATATACCCAAGTGTATAGCTATATAAACACATTTACAAATGCGTATGCATATATGTATATGAATAGACGTGCCTGTATTTGCGTTACGTGTAGATAGATACAGAATTCCAGGTACATATATAACATGCCTATGTATACACATCTACATTATCCATGTACATACAAATACATATCTACATTGGCATTAATATCCAAGCAAACTGGTCTGCTCTAAGTACAAGGCAGTATGGTTCGTGCGTGTTTCTAGGACAAGTCACCTTTGAGATCAGGCCTCCACAGCAAGGACTTCAGGGCAGGCGCTCAGCCGGGCTTGGCCTGACAGGGGTGGGCTGTTCTGTGTCTGGTAGATAGAACATGTCAAGCACAGAACCTGCGGTGATGATGATGTCTATAGAATGATGACCGACAGGGCTGCCCTGTGGTCTAGGGGTGAGGACAGGCCATGTTTATACTGAGGTCGGCATTTCTCAAAGGACATCTGAGCAGTTTGTTTGTGGGATACTCAGTGAAGAGGGGGTGCCATAGCAGCTATACTTGTCCAGAATTCTGGGGGGAGACAGGATCTCTGTTGCCCAGGCTGGGGTGCAGTAGCACAATCTCGGCTCACTGCAACCTCCACCTCTTGGGCTCAAACAATCCTCCCGCCTCAACCTCCCCGAGTAGCTGGGACTACAGGCACGCACCACCACACCCACTAATTTTTTGTATTTTTGGTAAAGATGGAGTTTCACTGTGGTGCACAGCCTGGTCTCGAACTCCTGACGTCAAGCAGTCTGCCCTACTCACCTACCCAAAGGCTGGGATTACATGTATGAGCCATCACACCTAGCCGCCCAGAATAATTAATTGTCCAGGGGACTCTGTTTGGTGACTTGGATGATTCTCACTCTCTTGTGTGTGTTGCTGTGTTATCATTGTGGTTATTATTTTTCTTTTCCTTTTTTTTTTTTTTGAGATGGAGTCTCGCTCTGTCACCAGGCTGGAGTGCAGTGGCATGATCTCAGCTCACTGCAACCTCCGCCTCCCAGGTTCAAGCAATTCTCCTGCCTCAGCCTCCTGAGTAGCTGGAACTACAGGACCCTGCCACCAAACCTGGCTAATTTTTGTATTTTTACTAGAGACAAGGGTTTCACCATGTTGGGCAGGCTGGTCTTGAAGTCCTGACCTCAGATGATCCACCCGCCTTGGCCTCCCAAAGTGCTGGGATGACAGGCATGAACTTCTGACCTCAGGTGATCCACCCGCCTCAGCCTCCCAAAGTGCTGGGATGACAGGCGTGAGCCACCGCGCCCGGCCTGTGGTTATTATTTTTAAACTCAAGGCACAGAGGTGCAGAGACAGAAGGCAGGAAGGGACTTCAGTGATCTTCTAGAATCTTCTCCATCACACCTAAAGCAGGAAACAGAGGCCCAGGAGGAAGACATGGCCGCCAGCTCTACACCCCACCCTCCGATGTCCTGGGCCATTTGCGCATCTGGGGAATCCATCTGTGAGATTTCTCCACTGTCTTCCCCAGTCTAACTCCTTCTGATATTCTCTTTTGTCCAGCTGGGGTGATGATGGTCCCTCAGAGGAAAACCAGAGATGGATTCGAAGAACATTTCGGCCTGAACTACCTAGGGCACTTCCTGCTGACCAACCTTCTCTTGGATACGCTGAAAGAGTCTGGGTCCCCTGGCCACAGTGCGAGGGTGGTCACCGTCTCCTCTGCCACCCATTACGTCGCTGAGCTGAACATGGATGACCTTCAGAGCAGGTAGGTGCACCCTGTGAATAATCATAACAGCATCTCAGGTGGGTTAAAGGTTATTCATCTCCCTCTGTCTGTGCGGTGTGGCGCTCCCTGCATCTGCTGGACGCTGGTGCTCTGGGAACAGTGCTCCCTGCGTCTGCCGAGCACTGGTGCTTTGGGGACAGTGCTCCCTGCATCTGCCGGACACTGGTGCTCTGGGGACAGTGCTCCCTGCATCTGCCGAGCACTGGTGCTCTGGGGACAGTGCTCCCTGCGTCTGCCGAGCACTGGTGCTCTGGGAACAGTGCTTCCTGCGTCTGCCGAGCACTGGTGCTCTGGGAACAGTGCTCCCTGCATCTGCTGTACACTGGTGCTCTGGGGACAGTGCTCCCTGCATCTGCCGAGCACTGGTGCTCTGGGGACAGTGCTCCCTGTGTCTGCCGAGCATTGGTGCTCTGGGGACGGTGCTCCCTGTGTCTGCTGTACACCGGTGCTCTGAGGACAGTGCTCCCTGCGTCTGCTGGACACCGGTGCTCTGGGGACAGTGCTCCCTGCGTCTGCCAAGCACTGGTGCTCTGGGGACAGTGCTCCCTGCATCTGCTGTACACTGGTGCTCTGGGTACAGTGCTCCCTGTGTCTGCCGTACACTGGTGCTCTGGGTACAGTGCTCCCTGCGTCTGCCGAGCACTGGTGCTCTGGGGACAGTGCTCCCTGCGTCTGCTGTACACTGGTGCTCTGGGAACAGTGCTTCCTGCGTCTGCCGAGCACTGGTGCTCTGGGAACAGTGCTCCCTGCATCTGCTGTACACTGGTGCTCTGGGGACAGTGCTCCCTGCATCTGCCGAGCACTGGTGCTCTGGGGACAGTGCTCCCTGTGTCCGCCGAGCATTGGTGCTCTGGGGACGGTGCTCCCTGTGTCTGCTGTACACTGGTGCTCTGAGGACAGTGCTCCCTGCGTCTGCTGGACACCGGTGCTCTGGGGACAGTGCTCCCTGCGTCTGCCAAGCACTGGTGCTCTGGGGACAATGCTCCCTGCATCTGCTATACACTGGTGCTCTGGGGACAGTGCTCCCTGCGTCTGCCGAGCACTGGTGCTCTGGGTACAGTGCTCCCTGCGTCTGCTGTACACTGGTGCTCTGGGTACAGTGCTCCCTGCGTCTGCTGTACACTGGTGCTCTGGGGACAGTGCTCCCTGCATCTGCTGAGCACTGGTGCTCTGGGGACAGTGCTCCCTGCATCTGCTGGACACTGGTGCTCTGGGGACAGTGCTCCCTGCTTCTGCTGGACACTGGTGCTCTGGGGACAGTGCTCCCTGCGTCTGCTGGACACTGGTGCTCTGGGGACAGTGCTCCCTGCGTCTGCTGTACACTGGTGCTCTGGGGACAGTGCTCCCTGCGTCTGCTGAGCACTGGTGCTCTGGGGACAGTGCTCCCTGCGTCTGCTGAGCACTGGTGCTCTGGGGACAGTGCTCCCTGCGTCTGCTGAGCACTGGTGCTCTGGGGACAGTGCTCCCTGCGTCTGCTGAGCACTGGTGCTCTGGGGACAGTGCTCCCTGCGTCTGCTGAGCACTGGTGCTCTGGGGACAGTGCTCCCTGCGTCTGCTGGACACTGGTGCTCTGGGGACAGTGCTCCCTGCGTCTGCTGAGCACTGGTGCTCTGGGGACAGTGCTCCCTGCGTCTGCTGGATACTGGTGCTCTGGGGACAGTGCTCCCTGTGTCTGCTGGACACTGGTGCTCTGGGGACAGTGCTCCCTGCGTCTGCTGAGCACTGGTGCTTCCTGCATCTGCTGGGCACAGGTGCTCTGGCTACGGTGCTCCCTGGAGTCTGCTGGGCATGGGTGCTCTGGGCACAGTGCCCCCGCATTTGCTGCACATTGGTGCCCGGCATAGTGCTCCCTGCATCTGCTGGGCATGGGTGCTCTGAGAACGGTGCTCCTTGCATCTCCTGAGCATTGTGCTCTGGGCACGGTGCTCCCTGTGTCTGCTGAGCACAGGTGCTCTGGGCACGGTACTCCCTGTGTCTGCTGGGCACAGGTGTTCTGGGCACACTGCTCTCTGTGTCTACTGGGCGCACGTGCCCTGGAAATGGTGCTCCCTGGATCTGCTGGGCACAGATGTTCTGGGCACGATGCTCCCTGCATCTGCTGGGCATGGTCCTCTGGGAACAGTGCTCCCTGCATCTGGTGGGCACTGGTGCTCTGGGCATTGTGCTCTCTGCGTCTGCTGAGCACAGGTGCTCTGGGCACAGTGCTCCCTGAGTCTGCTGGACACAGGTGCTCTGGGCACGGTGCTCTCTGCGTCTGCTGAGCACAGGTGCTCTGGGCACAGTGCTCCCTGAGTCTGCTGGACACAGGTGCTCTGGGCATGGTGCTCCCTGCATCTGCTGGGTAGAGGTGCTCTGGGCACAGTGCTCCCTGAGTCTGCTGGACACAGGTGCTCTGGGCACGGTGCTCCCTGAGTCTGCTGGGTAGAGGTGCTCTGGGCACGGTGCTCCCTGCTTCTGCTGGGTAGCGGTGCTCTGGGCACACTGCTACCTGTATCTGCTGGGCACATGTGCTCTGGAAATGGTGCTGCCTGCATCTGCCGGGCACAGGTGCTCCTGGCGCTGTGTTGTGGGATATGTACATCCCCAGCCATTTGCTGTCCTTGGGCAACTTAGCAATGTGCGATGGTATTGTTACTTTATTTTTTAGAAGGAACAAGAAACACAGAGGTGAGACATAGAAAAGGAAAACGGATCTATTTAAACCTTCTCTTGTGCCCCCATGGGAATGTCAGGCACTGCATCTGCAGGTGGCATTGGTGTGGACTCCTGTCGACACGCAATGTACTGTCTGTCCATCAGCAGGTCTCTCTTGTGAATTCCTCCTAACCCCGCCTTAAGGATAAAAACGATTCCTCTGTGGGAATAATCATCTTAGTTTGTTTAAGCTGATATAAGAAAAAATCCAGCAGTCCGGGTGTGGTGGCTCACGCCTGTCATCCCAGCACTTTGGGAGGCTGAGGCAGGTAGATCACGAGGTCAGGAGATCGAGACCATCCTGACCAACATGGTGAAACCCCATCTCTATTAAAAATACAAAATTAGCCAGGCGTGGTGGTGGACGCCTGTAATCCCAGCTACTCGGGAGGCTGAGGCAGGAGAATCGCTTGAACCCGGGAGGCGGAGGTTGTGGTGAGCCAAGATCACGCCACTGCACTCCAGCCGGAGTAACAACAGCAAAATTCCGTCTCAAAAAAAAAAAAAAAAAAGAAAGAAAAATTCCATAGTTTGGGTGGCTTATAAATAACACACATTTATGTCTCACGGTTCTGGAGGCTGGAAGTCCAAGATCAAAGTGTGCCAGCGTCTGGCGAGAACCCGCTTCCTGGTTCACACATGGCACCTTCTCACTGTGTCATCAAGCAGTGGAAGGGGCAAGGGAGCTCTCTGGGGTCCCCTTTATAAAGGCACTGATTCCATACTTGAGTCTCCCCCATCGTGACCTCATCACCTCCCAAGGGCCTCACCTCCTAACACCATCTCACGGGGGATGAGGATTTCCATGTAGGAATTTGGAGACAGACACAGTCAGAGCACACAGTCGGACTCGCCTTTGAATTTCTCTGCAGCCCTAAGATCACAAAGCGTTAATGCCACACTCGGAAAGAACTGGCTGCTTGGCTGTGCCAGCATCAGACTTTGGGGCCAGCCTCTGTAATGTACAGCAGGGTGGGCGCCCTCCCCACCCCCAGGCCCTGGAGTACCCTCAGGACTACGAGGAGGGTGAGCCCAGGGGCACAGGCCCTGCCAGCTCCTAACAGTTTGCATTTCCCTGCACAGCGAGGGGCAGGATGTAACGAAGGGAGGGCCGTGGGGGCCTCCTAGGATACCTTGGCCCATCTGTTTTGTCGAATTGAGCTCCTGTGTCTGTGAGCCTCTCTGCTCTGAAGGGTGTGGGATGAGGGAGTCGGCCTCGATGGGATCCTGCATGAAGTGTGAACCCTGCCGGTTGTGGGAGGGAAGGAGCGAGGCTGGCCAGGACTTCATCTTCTCCGGGCAGCTGAAGAAGCACCGGGCTGTGCAGGGAAGGGCGGGTGAGAGGAATGCAGGGAGAGCAGGGCCTGTGGCCGGGAGGGGCTGCTTCTCCTTCATGGTGCCCTGAGGAAGCAAGGGCATGTGTGCGTGCCTGTGTGTACAGCTGAGATGTGTGTGCCAATGTGCACAGGTGAGGTGTGTACCAGTATGCACAGGTGAGGTGCATGCGTGCCCATATGCACAGGTGAGTTGTGTGTACCTGTGGGCACAGATGAGGTCTTTGTGCCCGTGGGCACACATGAGATGTGCATGCCTGTGTACACAGGTGAGGTGCGTGCCAGTGTGCACAGATAAGGTGCGTGAGTGCTCGTGTGCACAGGTGAGTCATGTGCGTGCCAGTGTGCGCAGGTGACGTGTGTATGCTGGCTGGGGCATTTCCTGTTTTCACACCCATGCATGACAGCACCCAGAGGAAGACATGCGTGTTTCTCAGGCTTCTTCTCAGCTCAGGGCTCACTGCAGGATTGTGTAGGCCTCCTGCCTCGGGCTCCATGCTGAAGGGTTTGCCTGGACCCACTGGCAAGAACAGCCCTGCCATGACTGGCTTCCCTAACTCCAGGCCTGAGGCTGGGCTGGGTGTGTGGGGGCCAGCCTTCCCTGATGCCCACTCGGGGCTCCACACACGGAGCCTGCTGTATGAGAGGGCCTGGGAGAAGGGAGGAGGGAACGAGGAGTCTTGGCACAGCCAGCAGCACTTGCTGCAGACACGACTCACTGAGCAAGGCAAGGCATGGGTTGGGGAACCTGGGGAATGTGAGCTGCTTGGCAGGCATTACCGCTCGCCAAAGACACACAGGAACACCCCTTCCTCGTACAGCACTGGTGGAGGGCCGCCTGTCTGTTATTCTGAGAGCTCACTTTGGGGTTGATACTGTTGATCAAAGCAATCTCTGTTGTATTTACTCATTTTTTTTTTCAGATGGAGTCTCACTCTGTCTCCCAGGCTGGAGTGCAGTGGTGTGATCTCGGCTCACTGCAACCTCCGCCTCCCGGGTTCAAGCAATTCTCTTGCCTCGACTCCCAAGCAGCTGGGACTACAGGCACCCGCCACCACGTCCAGTTGATTTTTGTATTTTTAGTAGAGACAGGATTTTGCCACGTTGGCCAGGCTGGTCTCGAACTCCTGACCTCAGGTAATCCTCCCATGTCGGCCTCCCAAAGTGCGTGGATTACAGGCATGAGCCACCGTGCCCAGCCACGATCTCTGTTTTGAATAATGAAGATAAGCAGATCACATCCAGAACAACCCCACCCAACAGAAATGACAGCTACTTCCTAGAGACTTTAGGTGCTACAGAGCAGATTCATGCGCTTAATAAGAATTGAGCCTCATTATCACCTAAGAAAGCTGAGGAAGCATATATTACCAAGTGCAATTAACAAGAGAGTTTTTATTCCTATAAAAACACATATTAAAGAAAGGCTTTGACGGTATTGCTTATATGCCATTAACTATTATTTTATTTTATTTTTTGAAAGAGACAAATGTCACTCTGTTGCCCAGGCTGGAGTGCAGTGGTGCTATCTTGGCTCACGGCAACCTCCGCCTCCCGGGTTCCAATGATTCTCCCACCTCAGCCTCCCGAGTAGCTGGGATTACAGGCATGCACCACCACACCCAGCTAATTTTTGTATTTTTAGTAGAAACAGGGCTTCACCATGTTGGCCAGGCTGTAATCAAACTCCTGACCTCAAGTGATCTGCCTGCCTTGACCTCACAAAGTGCTGGGATTACAGGCATGAGCCACCACACCCGACCACCATTAACTCTTATCTGAAGAGTTATGTCCACATCCTAACTCCAAATATGTATAATTGAGACCTAATTTAGAAATAGGTCTTTGCAGATGGAATTAAGTGAAGATGAGATGATTAGGGTAGACCCTTGATCCAATATGATGGGTGGCCTTACAAGAAGTAGAAAATACCTGGGCACACTGGCTCATGCCTGTCATCCCAGCACTTTGGGAGGCCAAGGTGAGCAGATCACCTGAGGTCAGGAGTTCAAGACCAGCCTGACCAATATGATGAAACCCTGTCTCTACTAAAAATACAAAAAATTAGCCGGGCGTGGTGCTGCGCGTCTGTAATCCCAGGTACTCGGGAGGCTGAGGCAGGAGAATTCCTTGAACCTGGGAGGTGGAGGTTGCAGTGAGCTGAGATCGTGCCATTGCACTCCAGCCTGGGCAACAAGAGCGAAACTCTGTCTCAAAAAAAAAAAAAAAATGAAGTAGAAAATTTGGAGACAGAGAGACACAGAGAAGGCCACATGGAGATGGAGATGGAGGTGGAGACTGGAGTGATGCGGCCACACACCCAGGGATGCCTGGAGCCCCCAGGAGCTGGGAGAGGCAGGAAGGACCCTCCCCTCCACCCTCACAGATACCCCAGAGTAACATTCAATCAAACATCTAGGTGCCCCATGATCCAGTCAGGTTAACACATAATATTAACTATTCCGACCCCACTCTACATATAAGAAGGGCCCTAAATGGAATGACAGGTGTTCTTGGAAAGAGACAGAAGAGGAGACACAGACACAGAGGAGAAGGCCACGTGGAGATGGAGGCAGAGACTGGAGTGATGCAGCCACAGGGTCAGGGATGCCCGGAGCCCCCAGGAGCTGGGAGAGGCAGGAAGGGCCCTCCCCTAGAGCCTCTGGAGGGAACTGGATACAATTGTAGTGGATTGAATGGTGGTTCACAGAAAGATCTGTCCACATCCCGAAGCCCAGAACCTAGAATGAGACTTTATTTGAAAATAAAGAACTTTGCCGGTGTAATTAGTTAGAGATCTAGAGATGAGATCATCCTGGAGTAGGGTAGGTCCTAAATCCACTGACCGGTATCCTTCTAAAAGACAGAAGAGGAGACACAGACACAGAGGAGAAGTCCACGTGGAGACGGAGGCAGAGACTGGAGTGATCTGACCACGGGGTCAGGGACTCCCCGAGCCCCCAGAAGCTGGGAAAGGCAGGAAGGGTTCCTGCCCTAGAAGACCGTCCAGAGAGAGCACGACCCTGTCCACTCCTGAATTTCAGACTTCTGGTCTCCAGAAGGTATCACTTCACTGGATGAATTTCTGTGACTTTGAAGCATCCAGTCTGTGCTCATTTGTTTGGACAATCCCAGGAAAGTAATACAGATTGCAAAGCAGATCAAGGAACTTCAAAGTCAAAGGGCTTGAGAGCCAGAGCCAGCTCAGAGCCGGCTCTAACATTTTTTGTTTATTTATTTGTATTGTATTGTTTTTATTTTAATTTATTGTATATATCTATATCTATATATATATCTATATATCTATATATATATCTATATATATCTATATCTATCTATATATCTATATCTATATATATCTATATCTATCTATATATCTATATCTATATCTATATATCTATCTATATATTTTTTTTTTGAGACAGAGTCTTGCTCTGTCGCCCAGGCTGCAATGCAGTGGTGCGATCTCGGCTCACTGCAACCTCTACCTCCTGGGTTCAAGCGATTCTCCTGCCTCAGCCTCCTGAGTAGCTGGGATTACAGGCATGCGCCATCACGCCCAGATAATTTTTATATTTTTAGTAGAGACGGGGGTTCACCATGTTGGCCAGGATGATCTCCATCTCCTGACCTCGTGATCCTCTCGCCTCGGCCTCCCAAAGTGCTGGGATTACAGGCGTGAGCCACTGCGCCCGGCCACTTCCCCCTATTTTTTCGAGACTTACAATTCAACTTACACTGCTTTTCTTTTCCTGTTCTCCTCTTTTGCTTCACCAGTTTGATTATGTAAAATGAATATTGATGACAGGCATTCACCTGAGCCATGTTTCATTTCTCCATGATTCCTCTGCAGGGGATAATGAGAGAGTGTTAACAGATGCCTCCTCTGAGCTTTCTGGAAACTGTTCTTCGTTGACGGCACTGACTCTTTCCAAATAGGCCCCTTTTTCATCGTTCATAGCTTAGGAGTGATCTCTTAAAGGAGAGAACATTGCTTTGCTGGGGCTGCCATAATAAAATACCACGGACCTAGTGGCTTAAACAGCAGACATTGAGCCTCCCACAGTCCTGGAGGCTGGAGGTCCCAGATCAAGGTGTGGGTGTGGCTGACTCCTCCTGAGGCCTCTCTCCTTGGGTTGTAGACACCGTCTTCTCCCTGTGTCCTCACAGGATCATCCCTCTGTGTGTGTCTGTGTCCTCATCTCCTCCTCTTATGAGGTGTCTTAGCCCATTTCAGGCTGCTATCACAGAATACCATAGACTGGGTAGATTATAAACAACAGACATTATTCTCTCACAGTCCTGGACGCTAGAAGTTTGAGATCCAGGTATGGGCAGGGCTGGTTCCTCCTGAGGCCTCTCTGCTGGACTTGTAGACGCCATCTTCTCTCTGTGTCCTCACAGGGTCGTCCCTTTGTGTGTGTGTGTGTCCTCATCTCCTCTTCTTATGCAATGCCTTACTCCATCTCAGGCTGCTATCACAGAATACCATAGACTGTGTAGCTTATAACAGCAGACATTGATTCTCCCACAGTCCTGGAGGCTGGAGGTCTGAGATCAAGGTGTGAGCAGGGCTGGTTCCTCCTCAGGCCTCTCTCCTGGGCTTGGAGATGTCATCATCGCCCTGTGTCCTCACTTGGTTGTCCCTCTGTGTGTGTCTGTGTCCTCATCTCCTCTTCTTATAAGGACCTCAGTCCTATTGGATCAGTACCTACCCTAGTGACCTCATTTTACCTGAATCGCATCTTTAAAGACCCCATCTCCGGCCGGGCATGGTGGCTCATGCCTGTAATCCCAGCACTTTGGGAGGCTGAGGCAGGTGGATCACCTGAGGTCAGGAGTTCAAGACCAGCCTGGACAACACGGTGAAACCCCGTCTCTACTTAAAAAATACAAAATTAGCCAAGCGCCATGGCAGGTGCCTATAACCCCAGCTACTGGGGAGGCTGAGGCAGGAGAATCGCTTGAACCCGGGAGGCGGAGGTTGCAGTGAGCCAAGATTGCACCATTGCACTCCAGCCTTGGTGACAAGACCGAAACTCTGTCTCAAAAAATAAATAAAATAAAAGGACCCTATCTCCAAATAAGGTCATCTTTCTGAGTTCCTCAGAGTTAGAACTTCATAGGAATCTGGGGAGACGTAATTCAGTCCATGAGATACGCCCAGGTCCCCTTGGTAGAATAGAACACGCCTCAGCCGGCGTCTTCTGTATTACTGTAGGAGCCCCTAGATGACCAGATGGTGGTAGGACAGCCAGGTATTCCCAGTCAGGTGCAGTTGCCTGGATGTGTGTTCCCCGAATTATTGTGCATTGGGCCATCTGGCCGACGAACTTCAGCTTCCGTGGTTAGCTCCGTCTCCATCTCCCTGATTTTTCTGTTCTTGTGTCATCCCTGCGTCACATATGACTGAAGTTCAGTAAATATATGGTGAGTGGGCCGGGCATGGTGGCTCACGCCTGTCATCCCAGCACTTCGGGAGGCCGAGGCAGGTGGATCACAAGGTCAGGAGTTCAAGACCAGCCTGGCCAACATGGAGAAACCCCATCTCTACTAAAAATACAAAAATTAGCTGGGCGTGGGGGTGCACACCTGTAATCCCTGCTACTCGGAAGGCTGAGGCAGGATAATTGCTTCAACTGGGACTCGAAAGGCAGAGGTTGCAGTGAGCCAAGATCGCACCACTGCACTCCAGCCTGGGCTGCAAAGCAAGATTCTGTCTTAAAAAAGAAAAAGAAAAAAGAAATGAAGATGCTCCCATTCTCAGACCATCCTCCAGATCTCCTAAACCCGAAGTTTGGAGAACAGGGGTTGGCAAGGAGAAGGTCTTTGGGGGAATTCTGATGCATGCTAAAATATGAGAACCACTTGAATTTAAAATATACTGCTTTTTTTTTTTGGATGAAAGATGTGGTTCTTGGCTTTTGCCTGATATAATCATTGCCAGTAATTAGTGTTAATTGCCAAGATTGATTTACTGGCTTGGAAAATTAGCGTTCTTGTAAAGGAATAAATCACAGTGTTGTAACATATTCCAAAAATCCAAGAGTTTTTACACATGAGAGAACATGTCTCCTCAACTTGGCTGTACCGAATCATCCCCATGGTGAAATAAATTTCAATAGAAAGCACTTTGGGAGGCCGAGGCGGGCGTATCACCTGAGGTCAGGAGTTCGAGACCAGCCTGGTCAACATGGGGAAACCCCGTCTCTACTAAAAATGCAAAAGTTAGCCAGGCATGGTGGCATGTGCCTGTAATCTCAGCTGCTTTGGAGGCTGAAGCAGGAGAATTGTTTGAACCCGGGAGGTGGAGGTTGCAGTGGGCCAAGATCATGCTACTGCACTCCAGCCCAGCTTGCACTCCAGAGCAAGACTCCCTCTCAAAAAAAGAAAAAAAAGGGCAGGCACAGTGGCTTAAGTCTGTCATCCCAGCACTTTGGGAGGCTGAGAGGGGTGGATCGCAAGGTCAGGAGATCAAGACCATCCTGGCCAACATGGTGAAACCCCGTCTCTACTAAAATATAAAAAATTAGCCAGGCATGGTGGCATGTCCCTGTAGTCCCAGCTACTGGGGAGGCTGAGGCAGGAGAATTGCTTGAACCGGGGAGGTGGAGGTTGCAATGAGCCAAGATCGCACCACTGCACTCCAGCCTGGAGAGAAAAAAAAAAAAAAAAGAGGGACACATACCTTCCAAAATCATTTTCTATTCTTTAAGATTTCTTTCCTGTGAGACCCTTAAATTTGTTTTGTTTTATTTTATTTTATTTGAGACAGAGTTTCGCTTTTGTCACCCAGGCATCGAGGCTGGAGTGCAGTGGCGCAATCTCAGCTCACTACAACCTCTGCCTCGTGGGTTCAAGTGATTCTCCTGTCTCAGCCTCCCGGGTAGCTGGGACTACAGGCACCGCCACCATGCCCACCTAATTTTTGTGTTTTTTTTTTGTAGAGCTGGGTTTTCACCATGTTGGTCAGGCTGGTCTCGAACTCCTGACCTCGAATGATCTGCCCACTTCGACTTCCCAATGTGCTGGGATTACAGGTGTGACCCACCGTGCCTGGCCATGATAGATTCTCTACCTATTTAAGAAATTCTTTATTTCACTCTGACGTCCCTCAGTCATGGAGTTGTTATAGGCATGGGCGTGCCTCACTGTGAACATGGCTGTCTTGGTTTGAGTTTCTCAACTTATGTAACTTTGGGTGACTTCTTCATTATTTTATTCCTAACCATGAATTCACATCCCGTGAAATCATCCAGTATAGACTAAGTTGTGTAACGTGTTTTGAGTGTGGTATCCCATCTCGATTCGGATTTCACTCAAGGTTTCACATGTTCCCCCTGTGTTCTGAGATATGTCGGACAGCTGACACACTCACTATGTGTCTATGAGCGAAAGTATCAGGGTGTTTGGATGCAGCTGGAATTCACAAGATACCTGCAATGTCCTGTGTTGTTTTGGTTGTTTTCTCTTAGCGGAAAAAGTCAAAGACCTCTCTTTGAGATCGACACCATCCAGGCCAATGTGGTAAAAACCCGTCTCTACTAAAAATACAAAAATTAGCTGGGTGTGGTGACGGGTGACTGTAGTCCCAGCTACTCAGGAGGCTGAGGCAGGAGAATCACTTGAACCCGGGAGGTGGAAGTTGCAGCAAGCCAAGATCATAGCACTGCACTCCAGCCCGGCCTGGGCAACAGAGCAAGACTCCCTCTCAAAAAAAAAAAAAGAAAAAAAAGGGGGGGGGCGTGGGGCAGGCACAGTGGCTCACACCTGTAATCCCACCACTATGGGAGGCCTAGGGGGTGGATCACAAGGTCAGGAGATCAAGACCATCCTGGCCAATGTGGTGAAACCCCACTGTGCTAAAAATACCAAAATTAGCTGAGTGTGGTGGCGGGCACCTGTAGTCCCAGCTACTCGGAAGGCTAAGACAGGAGAATCACTTGAATCCGGGAGGCGGAGATTGCAGTGAGCCGAGATCGCACCACTGCACTCCACCCTAGCAACAGAGCGAGACCCTGTTTCAAAAAAACAAACAAACAAAAAAAACCTCTCTTTATTCGCAGTATTTTCTGAGTTCCTGGTAGGCGGATCGTTATCAAGAATATTAAATGTAGATGATAGTTATCAAGAATATTAAGCGTAGATATCCTAGAAAGAATGTAATGGAGTTGTTTGTACTGCCAAAGGGAAAATTCAATTTAGACATGAAGGATTGTTATAATACTTATAAATATATTGAATGCCACCCATACTTACTCATTAAAACAGTGATTGTCATCAGGTTTAATGAGCACTGGAAAAATAGCTCCAGTCAACTAGGTTATGAGCAGTCGATTGAGTTTCCCTAATTGCATTGGCAATTTGATTATGCAACAATGTCCTGCAATGGAAATACGTTGCAATGCAACGGATTCGTAGGAAGTTAACATAAAAACTCAGTTGTCCTTGCTTCTACACAAGTACCTCTCAAAGTGGATAAATAATCAATGCAAAAACTGCCTGTTGATCCATATAAAAGGACACCGCCTACGGAGACTGGCTGTTGGGAGACCGAGATATGACACGTTTACATCCTACAGTATCCATCACAATAACTTATAAAGGGCTCCTTTCTTTTTGTTTTTTTTTGAGACAGAGTCTTGCTTTGTTGCCCAGGCTGGAGTGCAGGGTGTGATCTCAGCTCACTGCAAGCTCCGCCTTCCGGGTTCACGCCATTCTCCTGCCTCAACCTCCCGAGTAGCTGGGACTACAGGCGTCTGCCACCACACCCGGCTAATTTTTTTGTATTTTTATTAGAGACGGGGTTTCACCCTGTTAGCCAGGATGGTCTCGATATTCTGACCTCGTGATCCGCCCGCCTCGGCCTCCCAAAGTGCTGGGATTACAGGCGTGAGCCACCGCGCCCGGTCTTATAAACACTCAAAAGTATGTTCAGTCTTCACGATTTTTAATAACAAGAAGAGAGTAATGCTTTAATCAGCAAAAAATGGAGAACTCAAATACCCTTTTATAAGGTCCAGATTTAGTAGCAGGTGGCTTTTGTTCAGTTTCTTATTCAACAGGAAAGCTCATTGAATGATTTTTTGTTTCATTTTGTTTTTTGGCAGTCTCCCTGTCTCACCCAGACTGGAGTGCAGTGGCGCCATCTTTGCTGATTGGCTCACGGCCATGTCCGCCTCCCAGGCTGGAGTGTGGTGGCGCCATCTTGGCTCACTGCCATGTCCACCTCCCAGGCTGCAGTGCGGCCGCGACATCTTGGCTCACGGCCATGTCCGCCTCCTAGGCTGGAGTGCCGTGGCGCCATCTTGGCTCACGGCCATGTCCGCCTCCCAGGCTGCAGTGCGGCCACGCCATCTTGGCTCAAGGCCATGTCCACCTCCCAGGCTGCAGTGCCGTGGCGCCATCTTGGCTCACGACCACGTCCGCCTCCTAGGCTGGAGTGCCGTGGCGCCATCTTGGCTCAAGGCCATGTCCGCCTCCCAGGCCGTGCAGTGGCGCCATCTTGGCTCACTGCCATATCTGCCTCCCAGGCCGTGCAGTGACGCTATCTTGGCTTGCTGCCATGTGCGCCTCCCAGGCTCAAATGATCTGCTCCCACCTCAGCCTCACAATTAGCTGGGACTACAGGTGTGCTTTACCACACCCAGGTACTTTTTGTATTTTTTGTAGAGATAAGGTCTTACTATACTCCCCAGTCTGGTCTTGAACTCCTGGGCTCAAGCGACCTGCCTGCCTTAGTGTCCCCTAAGTGCTCAGATTACATGCGCGAGCCACCACTCCCGGCCTAATACCAACGACTTTTGTCAGAGTCCTTAGGGTTTCATTTACAGACCTTAATGGGCATTTCCTCCTACGTATTTGCTTTCATTCTTTCCCATTTCTGGGGTGGATATTTCTTCATCCCTAACCCCCACCCCAGGGAATCTCTCCTGAAACTACGTGCCCCTCTTGGATTCATTTCTTCACCTCCTGTAGAGAAATGTATTGGCTTTTCGCCTGCCCCCACACCGTATTTTTAAACAATCTTAGTTCTCTCTTCTCCACGCTACTGTGTAAAACCATAATTACAGAACCAACCCCTCCATTTACTCTGGAAAAATCTGCCTTTGGATGATGCATTTTCTGCTTTTTCAAGTAACCATTCCTCTTACCCATCAATCAAATGCTGGAGATTCAGAACCGAATGCTTGTAGCTGATATTTAAAAAACGATCATGCCAGCAGGAAAGCCAGTCTTTGCCTCTCTGCACTTAGTAACTATCTGTTTCCTGGACTCTTCTCTTCCCCTGGGGTGAGGAGATTGGAGAAGTTTGCCTTAAAAAGATATCTTGACAGTAATTGGAGGTTTACAGTTTATCTTGGATCAGAGATGGGACTTCAGCTCTGAACTACTCAATTTCCCTGTCTTAATTCTTCCAGTCTCTTAGATTTCTTTTTATTTATTTATTTTTGAGACAGAGTTTTGCTCTTGTCACCCAGGCTGGAGTGCAATGGCGTGGTATCAGCTCACTGCAACCTCTACCTCCCGGGTTCAAGGATTCTCCTGCCTCAGCCTCCCGAGTAGCTGGGATTACAGGCACCTGCCACCACGCCCTGCTAATTTTTGTATTTTTAGTAGAGACGGGGTTTCACCATGTTGGCCAGGCTAGTCTCGAACTCCTGGCCTCAGGTGATCCACCCACCTCAGCCTCCCAAAGTGCTGGGATTACAGACATAAGCCACCATACCCAGCCAATTCTTCCAATCTCTTTATTATGCAGTCAGCCTTTCCAGTCCCCTCCTACCCCACCCCAACCCCCAAAAAGTTATGTTTTGATTGTTCATTATTTTGCAAAGTCTCCATGGCTAAGGACCCCCTTGTCACCCTTTCTGTCCTGCCCTTATTTATTTCTAAGGCAGCAGACCTGAGGTTTCTTTTCCAGCAGAAATCGGGTAAACCTCAGGTCTGTTTGAAATGCTTGTTCCCCAGTGCCATAAAGAAATAGCACTTGAACATTAATTTCCTCAGCAAGGCCATTTTTTTTACTTTCTGCAGAAAGGGTACACTCTCCAGCAGTTTTGCCAGGAGAGTACAGCGAACAAAGGGGACAGGGTCATTTATCACTTGATGCGTCCGCCCTACTGCTGTGTCCAGTTTCCAGGGCTGGAATGGGACCTCACATTCTGTATTTGTCCCGATTGGCCAGCACCTTGGAACTATTTAAAAGAGGCAAAGGCAGAGGAGAACAAAGGAAGGAGGAAGTAACTTGTGGAATGCTGAGAAAGGAAAAAGCACTTTTAGATAAAGAAGAGGAACAGGCTGTGACGTAATGCTTGCTTGGACCAGTATAAGCATGCCAGGGCTGATACTTAGGTTAAATTGTGGGAGCTAAGAGCATAAAGTACATTGATTTCTTTATCACGGCTAGCAGATATTTAGGAATGTTAGCACAAGTCTTTGAATGAAGTTTGCTTCTCAGAGAAGTTACTATTTATTCCTAATTAGATGGGGAGGAAAGTCTTTGAACAGGAACCTTTATTTTTTACAGGCCCGATGTCAGATTTTGGCATGTGGCTTTCTGCTACCCATGGCTGCGTGATGAGACAGTGGCTGGAGGCAGAACTGAGCCCCTGGAGGTGTTAATGGGGGAGTCACTTGTCCTCATGCAAGCATTCAAACATGCCTTTTGCACAACGGCAAGGCACATCTCAGAACATGTCAGCTGCAGGCTGCGATTTCCCGGGTACGAGCTTTCCAAGCTCTGTGATCCACTCTGTCTTTGGTTACATGAAGGTGGGAAAATTGCTCAGTTGCTAAGATCACAGTGTTGGGGCTCAGAAAACAATCCCCTAAATTTTTCAGAGGCATTAGAACCAGAGCAACTCTGCCATCTTGAATAGGGGCTGCGTAACATGAGGCTGAGACCTGCTTGGGCTGCCTTCTCTGGAGGTGGATGAGGCATTCTAAGTCACAGGATGACAGAGGAGGTCAGCACAAGACACAGGTCACAAAGGCCCTGCTGATAAACCAGGTTGTGGTAAAGCCAGCCAAATCCCACCGAAACCAAGATGGTGACGACTGACCTCTGGTCATCCTCTCTGGTCATGATACGCTAATTCTAATGCATTAGCTGATAAGAGACGGTTTACAGATGCCATGACATGGTCTAAAAGGGGGATGAACCTTCAGCTCCGGGAATTGGTCACCCCTGTCCCAGAAAACTCATGAGTAATCCACCCGTTGTTTAGCATATGATAGAGAAATAACCATAAAAATAGGCCACCAGCAGCTCTCGGGATGCTCCATCTATGGAGTACACATTCTTTATTCTTCTACTTTCATAATAAACTTGCTTTCACTTTACTCTATGGACCCACTCGGAGTTCTTTCTCACGAGATCCAAGAACCCTTTCAAACCCCTGAAAGGATCAGGTGATCCGCCCACCTCTGCCTCCCAAAGTTCTGCTGGGATTACAGATGTGAGCCACTGCACCCAGCCAGAAAAGACTTTTTGAATCAATGCTTAATTTTTTTTTTTTTTTTTTTTGAGATGGAGTCTCACTCTGTTGCCCAGGCTGGAGTGCAGTGGCGTGATCTCGGCTCACTGCAATCTTCACCTCCCGGGTTCAAGCGATTCTCCTGCCTCAGCACCCAAGTAGCTGGGATTACAGGCATGCGCCACCACTCCTGGCTAACTTTTTGTATTTTTAATAGAGACGGGGTTTCACCGTGTTAGCCAGGATGGTCTCGATCTCCTGACCTCGTGATCTGCCAGCCTTGGCCTCCCAAAGTCCTGGGATTACAGACGTGAGCCACCATGCCTGGCCCAAGGTTTATTTTTTTAAGATCAATTTCAAGTAGTGATGTTACTAAAAGATATTCATAGGCCAGGTGCGTTGGCTCACGCTTGTAATCCCAGCACTTTGGGAGGCCAAGGCGGGCGGTTCACTTGAAGTCAGGAGTTCGAGACTGGCCTGGCCAACACAGTGACACCCCATCTCTACTGCAAATACAAAAATTAGCTGGGCGTGATGGTAGGCGCCTGTAGTCCCAGCTACTTGGGAGGCTGAGGCAGGAGAATCACTTGAACCCGGGAGGTGGAGGTCGCAGTGAGCTGAGATTGCGCCACCGCACTCCAGCCTGGGCTACAGAGCGAGACTCTGTCTCAAAAAAAAAAAAAAAAAAAAAAAAAAAAGGCACAAAAAGGGCTGAGCGTGGTGGCTCACATCACGTCTGTCATTCCAGCACTTTGGGAGGCCGAGGTGGGCAGATCACGAGGTCAGGAGATCGAGACCATCCTGGCTAACACGGTGAAACCCCGTCTCTACTAAAAATACAAAAAAAAAAAAAAAGCCGGGCATGGTGGCAGGTGCCTGTAGTCCCAGCTACTCAGGAGGTTAAGGCAGGAGAATGGTGTGAACCCAGGAGGGGGTGGTTGCAGTGAGCCAGGATTGTGCCACTGTACTCTAGCCTGGGCGACAGAACAAGACTCTGTCTCAAAAAAAAAAAAAAAAAAAGATTTATGATTTTAAAGATTGAGTTGCATGTTGTGAAGTTGCTCTCCCAAAAGATGTGCAAATGTATGTGCACGCCCTTCCTTTGGTTGTCTGGCCAGTTTTCCCCATGTTCTTCACAGTGGAAATGATGACAGTGTGATAGGAGAACAGATGGAGGGTCATTCCCTCTGATTTTGCAAGCTGAAAAATCAACTTGCAAAAGCAGATGAATAGGAGAAAAGGCATACAAAGTTTACTCGATGGATACATACAGCAGCCTTCAGAGGGAAGACCCAAAGATGCAGGGGAAACCGTCTATTTTTATGCTTAGGTTCAACGACGTCTGAACGAAATCCGTGTAGGAATAGGATTGGAGGAAGAGGGTGTGATCTAAGGCTGACGGTCTGAGTGGGGAAACAGACAGGCCTGTCTAGATTTTTTTGGCCTCTGAGCAGTGCGCCTTCCTTCTGGGGGTGGGGTGGGACCCTCTCTGGGAAGGGGGTCGTAGAACCTACATTCAAACAAGGCAGGTCAAGGAATTTCCTTTTCCTTTTCTTTTCTTTCTTTTTCTTTTCTTTTCTTTTTCTTTTTTTTTTTTTGAGACAGAGTCTTGCTCTTGTCGCCCTGGCTGGAGTGCAATGGCGCAATCTTGGCTCATTGCAGCCTCCACCTTCTGGGTTCAAGCAATTTTCCTGCCTCAGCCTCCCGAGTAGCTGGGACTACAGGTGCCCGCCACCACACTTGGCTAATGTTTGTATTTTCTTTTTTCTTTTTTTTTTTGAGACAGAGTCTCGCTCTGTCGCCCAGGCTGGAATGCAGTGGCGCAATCTCCACTCACTGCAAGCTCCGCCTCCTGGGTTCACACCATTCTCCTGCCTCAGCCTCCCAAGTAGCTAGGACTACGGGCGCCCACCACCACACCCAGTTAATTTTTTGTATTTTTAGTAGAGACCGGGTTTCACCGTATTAGCCAAGATAGTCTCGATCTCCTGACCTTGTGGTCTGCCCACCTTGGCCTCCCAGAGTGCTGGGATTACAGACGTGAGCCACCGTGCCCGGCCTAATGTTTGTATTTTCAGTAGAGGTGATGTTTCCCTGTGTTGGGCAGGCTGGTCTCGAACTCCTGATCTCAAGTGATCCACCTGCCTTGGCCTCCCAAAGTGCCGGGATTATAGCCGTGAGCCACTGCACGATGATAGGAAATTTCTTTATGGCGAGTTTTTATATACTCAGGGTGTAGGGAAACTTAGAGTCCTATTTATAGGGTTTCTGGCTGGCCTTGGGGGAAAGGTGCTTTGGTTTTCGGGACCCACCTTGGGGAAGAAGGATTCCAGTTTCCGTGGTGCCCTTGGGGCGAAATGGGTCTGAGAGACAGGAGGGTAGGAGAAGGTCAGCAAGAAAGGTTTGCTTCTGATGCTGCTTCTGAGGTCTTCATTTTAGGTTACTGTTCTCTGAGCCCCAGCATAGGCATGCATTATTGGTTTTGTTCATTTATTTTATGAAAAAATGAATACATGAATATAGAGGGTATCTAATTTTTTTTTTTTTTTTTTTTTTGTGAGACGGAGTTTCACTCTATCACCAAGGCTGGAGTGCAGTGGCGCAATCTCGGCTCACTGCAAGCTCCGCCTCCCGGGTTCACGCCATTCTCCTGCCTCAGCTTCCCGAGTAGCTGGGACTACAGGCGCCCGCCACCATGCCCGGGTAATTTTTTGTTTTTTTAGTAGAGACGAGGTTTCACCATGTTAGCCAGGATGGTCTCGATCTCCTGACCTCGGGATCTGCCCATCTCGGCCTCCCAAAGTGCTGGGATTAGAGGTGTGAGCCACTGCACCCAGCCCTAATTTTTTTTTTATAGTTTCAGGGTCTGCTCTGTAATTGTAATATTCTACTTTTCATCTGCAAAATATAGTGTATATTGGACATTTTATAACAGGGAGAGGAGGTTTAGAAACCAATACCAGGGCCATGTACAGTGGCTCACACCTGTAATCCCAGCACTTTGGAAGGCCAAGGTGGGTGGATCACTTGGGGTCAGAAGTTCCAGACCAGCCTGGCTAACCTGATGAAACCCCGTCTCTACTAAAAATGCAAAAATTATCTGGGCATGGTGGTGTATGCCTGTAATCCCAGCTACTCAGGAGGCTGAGGCAGGAGAATTGCTTGAACCTAGGAGGCAGAGGTTGCAGTGAGCTGAGATGGCGCCACTGCACTCCAGCCTGGGTGACAGAGCAAGACTCCTTCTCAAACAACAACAACAAAAACCAACATCAGTCTCTGTTCCCCAGTGGTATCATTTATGTTTATACTGTTTTCTTTCTGTATTTCTCATTTGCTTTGATCTTTTTGGTTTTCTTTTATGTGTTTTCCTTAGGAAAGCATTTTCATTTTTCTTCTCCAGATCCTTAGGTCAAAGTTTACTTCATTTATTTCAATTTTCTATTCTTTTATTTTCTTTCTTTTTCTTTCTTTCTTTCTTTCTTTCTTTCTTTCTTTCTTTCTTTCTCTTTCTTTCTTTTCTTTTCTTTTTCTTTCTTTCTTTTCTTTCTTTTCTTTCTTTCTCTCTTTCTGTCTTTCTTTCTTTCTTTTTTTGACAGACTTTCACTCTGTTGCCCAGGCTGGAGTACAATGGCGTGATCTCGTGTCACTGCAACCTCCACCTCCCGGGTTCAAGTGATTCTCCTGCCTCAGCCTCCCAAGTAGTTGGGTCTACAGGCACCCGCCAGCACGTCCAGCTAATTTTTTGTATTTTTAGTAGAGATGGGGTTTCACCATGTTAACCAGGATGGTCTCAAACTCATGACCTGGTGATCTGCCCACCTCAGCCTCCCAAAGCGCTGGGATTACAGGCATGAGCCAACGCACCCAGCCCTCAATATTGTATTCTTATTTAGGAACAGCTTTTGTTGGTAAGAGGCATTGGATTTTCAGAAGCTTTTTCTGAAACGCATATGATGACGGATGTCTTTCTTTTGATCTTTTGAATGTGTTAAACATTCTTTTAGGCTTTTTGATCTTATCTTTAGTTTTTTAGCATAAATATCATGCTGATATTCAAACTATATCTGAGATGGCTTTGTGAACCCTGAAAATTTGAGACAGGTCTCAGTTAATTTAGAGTTTGTTTTGCCAAATTTAAGGACGTGAGCCTGTGACATAGCCTCAGAAAGTCCTGATGACGTGTGCAACGTGGTCAGGTCACAGCTTGTTTTTTTTTTGTTTGTGTGTTTTTTTGTTTTTTTGTTTTTTTTGAGATGGAGTCTCACTCTCTTGCCCAGGCTGGAGTGCAGTGGTACAATCTCAGCTCACTGCACCCTTTGCCTCCCAGGTTCAAGCAATTATCCTGCCTCAGCCTCCGGAGTAGCTGGGACTACAGGCACATGCCACCATGCCTGGCTAATTTTTTAATTTTTTTTTTTAGTAGAGACAGGGTTTCACCATGTTGGCCAGCCTGGTCTCAAACTCCTGACCTTGTGATCCGCCCGCCTTGGCCTCCCAAAGTGCTGAGATTACAGGCATGAGCCACTGCGTCTGGCCATAGCTTGGTTTTATACATTTTAGGGAGACAGGAGACATCAATCAATATATGTAAGAGCTACGTTGGGGTGGGTGCGGTGGCTCACGCCTGTAATCCCAGCACTTTGGGAGGCCGAGGCAGGCGGATCACCTGAGGTCAGGAGTTCGAGACCAGCCTGGCCAACATGGTGAAACCCCATGTCTACTAAAAATACAAAAAATTAGCCGGGCGTGGTGGCGGGCGCTGGTAATCCCAGCTACTCGGGAGGCTGAGGCAGGAGAATGGCTTGAACCCAGGAGGTAGAGGTTGCAGTGAGCCAAGATTGTGCCACTGCACTCCAGCCTGGGCAATATGAGCAAAACTCTGTCTCAAAAAAATAAGAAGTATAGTCCTTGAAAAGCAGGGACAACTGGAAGCAGGGAGGGGGCTTCCAGCTCACAGGTAGGTGAGACACAGATGGTTACATTCTTTTGGGTTTGTGATGAGCCTTCCCAAAGGAGGTGATCAGATATGCATCTATCTCAGTGAGCACAGGGGTGACTTTGAACAGAGTGGGAGGCAGGTTTGCCTTCAGCAGGTTCCAGCTGGACTTTTCCTTTGAGCTTCCCGCTTTTGGGGTGCCCAGATATTTTCTGTTCACAGCTTCCATCAGGATACATATACCATGTGGTTAATTCAGAAAATTAGGCCGGGCACAGTGGCTCATGCCTGTAATCCCAGCACTTTGGGAGGCCGAGGTGGGCAGATCACGTGGTCAGGAGATCGAGACCATCCTAGCTAACATGGTGAAACCTCGTCTCTACTAAAAATACAAAAAATTAGCCAGGCAGGTGGCAGGCGCCTATAGTCCCAGCTACTTGGGAGGCTGAGGCAGGAGAATGACTTGAACCCGAGAGGAGGAGCTTGCAGTGAGCCGAGATCACGCCACTGTACTCCAGCTGGGTTGACAGAGCAAGACTCTGTCTCAAAAATAAATAAATAAAAATAAAATTTAAAAATATATATATATATAAAAGAAGCAAGCGATATGAACCTTCAGCCACCTTGAAATGTTGTTACGATAATTGTGTAGCAAATTGATCGCCTCTGGGCATCTTTGGAGCCCCAGAGGAAAGAAAAACATTATTGCTCAAATACTTCTCCTTGTCTTATTGAAAAGAACTATGAGGCCAATTCTAAGGCTAATGATCTGTGCCTAGCATTAAATTCTAAAAGGAGTCTATGGTGGTTGTGTGCCTTCAAGGGACGTTATGTAACACCGCAAATAACATCTCTTTAAAAAGTGTTTCTAAGGCATACATAGAAAAAGTAGAACATATTTACAGGAGCAAAGCTGGAAACATCCAGTTTTCTGTGTTTCTGGTGATTGAGGTTACCAGAGAGAGAGAGAGAGGCACGTTACTCACTTTACCGCGGTTATCGGATCGATTTTTATCACTATGTCCTGTGATACTAAAACATTTCTCTAAACTGCTTGAACCAAGGTGCAAAGAGTTTAACATGTGCTTAGCACACTACAGAGCTTGCAGTAGATGTGAGGAAAATTTATGATAGCTTGGGAAGTTTGCCAAATTGCTTGTGTGGTTGTCTTTTATGATTTGAGACTCATCAAGAAGACCACATGTGGCCAGGCGCGGTGGCTCATGCCTGTCATCCCAGCACTTTGGGAGGCCAAGGAGGGTGGATCACCCGAGGTCAGGAGTTCAAGACCAGCCTGGCCAACATGGTGAAACCCTGTTCCCACTAAAAATACAAAAAATTAGCCGGGCGTGGTGACAGGAGCCTGTAATCCCAGCTACTCTGGAGGCTGAGGCACGAGATTCGCTTGAACCCGGGAGGCTGCAGCCTGGGTGACAGAGTGAGAATCTGTCTCAAAAAAAAAAAAAAAAAAAAAAAAAAAAAAAAAACAGGGAGCATAGTGGCTCCTGCCTGTAATCCCAGCACTTTGGGAGGCTGAAGCGGGTGGATAATTTGAGGTCAGGAGTTCGAGAGCAGCCTGGCCAACATGGTAAAACTTCCATCTTTGCTGAAAATACAAAAAATTAGCAGGGTGTGGTGGCGGGCACCTGTAGTCCCAGCTACTGGGGAGGCTGAGGTAGGAGAATCACTTGAACCGGGCAGGTGGAGGTTGCAGTGAGCCAAGATTGCACCACTGCACTCCAGCCTGGGCGACAGAGGGGGGACTCTGTCTCCAAAATAAATAAATAAATAAATAAAAAATTAGTAACATAATTTAACATATCTGACCCCAATACAATTAAGGGATGAGTTTATAATAAAAAGGTGAACTAGAAAAATCCACACGCGTTGGAAAACTGGCCAACAGATGGCATGATCACACATGGGTCTAGGGGAGGTGGCTGCGTATAGACGTGGCCGTGGCCGCAGGTACAGATGCTGCTGGGATGAAGCACTTAGGCGTGAACGCCGTCAGCCTCTTACACCTTCTCCTGCTTGCCCCACAGTGCCTGCTACTCACCCCACGCAGCCTACGCCCAGAGCAAGCTGGCCCTTGTCCTGTTCACCTACCACCTCCAGCGGCTGCTGGCGGCTGAGGGAAGCCACGTGACCGCCAACGTGGTGGACCCCGGGGTGGTCAACACGGACGTCTACAAGCACGTGTTCTGGGCCACCCGTCTGGCGAAGAAGCTTCTCGGCTGGTTGCTTTTCAAGGTAAGCCCCTTCTGCTTCTCTGATTCACGGCTGCACCTGAAGATGCTACAGGAAAGGGGGTCCCCAGTCCAGACCCCAAGGGAGGGTTCTTGGATCTCGTGCAAGAAAGAATTCAGGACGGCTCAGTGGTGGAAAGAGAAGCAAGTTATTGAGAAGGTAGAGGAGTAAATGAATGGCTCCTCCGCAGACAAAGCATCCCCGGCGGCCGCTGGTTGGCCATTTTTACGGTGATTTCTTGATGATATGCTAAACGAGGGGGGGATTATTCATGCCTCCCCTTTTTAGACCGTAGAGGGTAACTTCCTGACATTGCCGTGGCATTTGTAACTGTCCTGGCGCTGGTGGGAATGTAGCCGTCACGACAGCCGGAGGTCACTCTTGTCGCCATTTTGCTTTTTGTGGGTTTTGGCCCGCTTCTTTACTGCAAGCTGTTGTATCAGCAAGGTTTTTATGACCTGTACCTTGTAGCAACCTCTTATCTCATCCTGCGACTTAGCATACCTTAACCGCCTGGGAATGCAGCCCAGCAGGTCTCAGCCTCGTGTTACCCAGCCCCTATTCAAGATGGAGTCACGCTGGTTCACACAGCTCTGACACAACCACTTCCAGGCTGCGTGTGCGGTGTTGGGGGCTTGGATTCCGTGATGTATTTGTACATTCTCACCCCAAAGCCTTGGTTGTGTGCGAGCTCGGTGGGTGACGCTGTGTAGCTAGGTAGTGCCCATAAATGAATCTTCTTAGGAGCTGGAGACCGTTTGGGGATGCTGTGGTAGGGGCCAAGGGAAAAACATCCCCCTTTGCCATTTGAAGGTTTGCTGAAAAATCAACGCACAAAATACAATTGCCCTTTTTGAAACATGAATAAAGGAAATGACAGGCAAATGTATTCTCATCCATGGAGGAGAATGTCAGAGGAATTGCCCCATTACACAAAGGGGTACAGACGCTTGTGTCCTCTTCTTCTTAGCGGAAGGGGAGTGGGGAATTGGGGGTGAATATAGGATTCCAAATAGTAAATGATTTTAAAGAGAAGTCAATGGGTTTGAACAATGTACAGTGGCCCGAAAACAGATAATGTTTTTTGTTATTGTTGTTTGTTTGCTTGTTTTTTTTGAGACGGAGTTTCGTTCTGTGTTGCCCAGAGTGGAGTGCAGTGGCGGGACCTCTGCCCAGTGCAACCTCTGCCTCCTGGGTTCAAGCGATTCTCCTGCCTCAGCTTCCCGAGTAGCTGGGATTACAGGCATGTGACACCACGCCTGGCTAATTTTGTATTTTTAGTAGAGACGGGGTTTCATCACGCTGACCAGGCTGGTCACGAACTCTGGACCTCAGGTGATCCACCCGCCTCGGGCTCCCAAAGTGCTGGGATGATAGGTGTGAGCCACTGCGCCTGGCCTCAGATAATGGTTTATGACGAGTCTCTGCAGGGACAGAGGCTGTGGAACCCTCAGAACAGACAGTGGTTTATGAGGAGTCTCTGCAGGGCTGTTGACAGACATCAGTCTTTCCTCCGCGATGTGGGTTCAGAAACTCAGGGAAGGGGACACTGGTCATTTTTCCTTCTTTGACATGTCCAGACTTCAGGAAACTTCAGAGAACAACTTCATCCTGTGCATCGGGAGACACAGAGGAAGCAGGAGGGGGAAGTTAGAGAGATCTTGAGGCTTCTTCAGTTCAGCAGGACAAAGCACCGTACTTTGGGGTGTTGGTTTTTAAGACCCAGCAGCTGAAAGCTCCCACATTTCTGCAATGATCTTCGTTGTCGTGATGCATTAACTTCTTAAGCACTGCAAGATTTCATGCCCCAGCCATTCCCTTGGGTTTTTTTGTTTGTTTGTTTGAGATGGAGTCTAGCTCTATCACCAGGCTGGAGTGCCGTGGTGTGATCTCGGCTCGCTGCAGCCTCTGCCTCCCGGGTTCAAGTGATTCTCCTGCCTCAGCCTCCTGAGTAGCTGGGATTGCAGGTGTGCGCCACCATGCCCGGCTAGTTTTTGTATTTTTAGTAAAGACAGGGTTTCACCATGTTGGCCAAGCTGGTCTCGAACTCCTGACCTACCTCAAGTAATCTGCCCGCCTCGGTCTCCCGAAGTGCTGGGATACAGTAGTGAGCCACCGTGCCTGTCCTCCTTGAGGTCTTTTGAAGTGATATGTATCTGGGAGCTATAGATTTACTTTCTTTCCTATCTATCTCAAGTCGGGATACTAAAGTTTTAATAATTTGTTTACAAAACAAAGAAAGAACCTTGAGAAGCTTTTCTATTTCTCCCTTTACATTGCAGAATCGTCTAATTAGCATTTTTAAAAGTGTCTGCTTTTGAAACACCGCCACGATTCACCTTCAAAACCGCATGGGTTGAGGAATTTTCGGAAGAGCGATTCTAACTCAGCTTTCAAAATTCCTTGGGCGTCTACTGCTTGTTGAAGTTTCCCACCTCTTTCTGAGTCAGTTTAGACAGCTTTTCCCTTTAGGTAATTGTCTGTTTCATCAAGCTTTGGAATTAATGAGCTTGGTTACAAATTCTCTTTTCTCCCTGTTGGACTCCTGGCATTGCTCTTGATTTCGTCTGAAAGTCTCTCATGATATGAGCTGCCCGCCCCCAATGTGGACTTTTTGAGGGGATTAATTACTTCCCTTATTTTGCAGTTTGCTTTCTTATCAGTTGTTCTTCGAATCTCTCATTCCTCAAGCAAAGGAATTTCTTTTTTTCTTTTTCTTTTTCTTTTTTTTTTTGAGATAGAGTCTCGCTCTGTCACCAGGCTGCAGTGCACTGGCGCGATCTCAGCTCACTGCAACCTCCGCCTCCTGGGTTCAAGTGATTCTCCTGCCTCAGCCTCCTGAGTAGCTGGGACTGCAGGCACCTGCCATCAAGCCTGGCTAAGTGTTGTGTTTTTAGTAGGGACGGGGTTTCATTATGTTGCCCAGGCTGGTCTCGAACTCCTGACTTCGGGTGATCCGCCCACCTCGGCCTTCCTAAGTGATGGGATTACAGGCGTGAGCCACCGCGCCCAGCTGTACATCCCTTATTTTGCAGTTTGCTTTCTGATCTGTTGTTCTTCACATCTCTAATTCCTCAAGCAAAGGAATTTCAAAATATTAGTTATTTTATTAAGCACTAAGTATTCGCTAGCAATACACCAACACTAGGATACATTTCATCCTTATAAAACCCCCATGAATCCCTCAGAGAGTGACTTCAGTATCCAAGGAGAGCATTTGCTGTTTTTTTATTTTATTTAATTTATTTATTTTTTTTGAGACTGAGTCTTGCTCTGTTGCCCAGGCTGGAGTGCGTTGGCGCGATCTCAGCTCACTGCAAGCTCCGCCTCCCAGGTTCATGCCGTTCTCCTGCCTCAGCCTCCCGAGTAAATGGGACCACAGGTGCCCGCCACCACGTCTGGCTAATTTTTTTTTTATTTTTTATTTTTTTTTAGTAGAGACGGGGTTTCACCATGTTGGCCAGGATGGTCTTGATCTCCTGACCTCGTGATCCACCTGCCTCGGCCTCTCAAAGTGTTGGGATTACAGGCGTGAGCCACCACGCCCGGCCTCTTTTAAATTTTTTAGAGACCAGGTCTTGCTCTGTCACCCTGGCTGCTGTGCATTTTTTTTTTTTTTTGTAGAAACGGCATCTTGCTGTTCGCCCAGGTTGGTCTTGTGCGCTGGAATTATGACACAATCACTGGCTGCAACCTTGAAATCCTGGCCTCAAGTGATTCTCCCACCTCTGCCTCCCAAAGTGCTGGGATGACAGGCATGAGCCACCATGGCTGGCCTTGACATTATTTCTTTCTAAATATTTAACAAGCAAACTGCAACTTTAGCCACATGAATCATTCTTTAATCCTTTGATCATCATCTGCAAATTTGGATTAAAAATAACCACGGGGCATTGCTCGAGTGATACTGCCTTTATATAAGAGACAACATTGTGGAAACTTTAAAATTATAGAGCAGAAGAATATGCATTAGCCTGGAAATGAAATTAAAATAATGTAAGAATTTTAAAGAAAAGGCTATACAGCTGCAGTAGCTTGATGCTGTCTTTGTAATGATAATTCTGTATTGCTGTGTATGTATTATTTACTAGTGTGTATGCATGCATGCATGCATGCATTGTATATTAAGACTTGGAAGATCAGCTGGGTGCCGTGTCTCATGCCTGTAATCCCAGCACTTTGGGAGGCCAAGGTGAGTGGATTACTTGAGGTCAGGAGTTCGAGACCAGACTGTCAAACATGGTGAAACACCATCTCTATTAAAAAAAAAAAAAATTAGCCGAGTGTGGTGGCGCGTGTGTGTCATTCCAGCTACTCGGGAGGCTGAGGCAGGGGAATCGCTTGAACCTGGGAGGCGGAGGTTGCAGTAAGCCGAGATGGCGCCATTGCACTCCAGCCTGGGTGAAAAGAGTGAAACTCCGTCTCAAAAAAAAAAAAAAGAAAGAAGAAAAACCTTGCAGGATCTGTCCAGGGTCCCTGGGGAGAATCTGTGTGACATACATATCTCTGTGATGTTTCATATCATCTGAGGGCATGGTTGTATGTCACTCTGAAACCTCTATCCTCTGTCTCATCAGAACACATGGACTCGATTCCAAATTCACGGCCAGTAACCTGGGCGACCAGTCGGTACCAGAAGAAAAACTAGGAGGTTGATTGGTTTGTTTTTGAGATGGGGTCTCGCCCTGTCACCCAGGCTGGAGTGCAGTGGTACAATCACAGCTCACAGCAGCCTCGACCTGCTGGACTGAAACGATCACCCCACCTCCACCTCCCGAGTAGCTGGGACTACACGAATGCACCAGCATGCCTGGCTAATTTTTTAAAATTTTTTGGTAGAGCCGAGGTCTTGCTATGTTGTCCAGCCGGGTCTCCAGTTCCTAGCCCCAAGCGATCCTCCTGCTGTGGCCTCCCAAAGTGTTGGGATTATGATTTGTGCATTTATAAAGATGAGAGGTTTGATTTGTCCTGTATACAAATGCATCAGGCCATTCTTCATGCTGAGACATGCAGATGGTCTCAGCCTCCGTAGGAGAGTAGCTTAGTATTTCAGAGGGCATGTGTGCTCTTCAGACCTCTAGGAAGCTCCTCGCAGCTTCATCAGTGAAACTCAGTACCCCCTACAATGTATACCCCTCCTAGGGAGCAAATGAACGTGGCTATTACCTCTCTTCCCACCCCAGTTGTCTCAAGATCAATGGGTGTTACAAAAAAGAGCTATCGGCTGGGAGTGGTGGCTCATGCCTGTAATCCCAACACTTTGGGAGGCTGAGGGGGAGGATCATGTGAGGTTAGGAGTTCAAGACCAGCCTAACCAACATGGAGAAACCCAGTCTCTACTAAAAATACAGAAATTAGCCAGGCGTGGTGGCAGTCACCTGTAATCCCAGCTACTCAGGAGGCTGAGGCAGGAGAATCGCTTGAACCCGGGGGCGGAAATTGTGGTGAGCCCAGATCATGCCACTGCACTCCAGCCTGGACGACAAGAGCGAAACTCCATCTCAAAAAAAAAAAAAAATAGAAAGCTATTGTAAATGCTGAGTGTATCAGCTCCACCATTCAGGGCTCATGTCCAGCAAGTCCTGACCACTTTGAAATCATGTGATCAGGCCTGCCATCAAAATGAACAAATTTGCAGTGTAGACTGCGCCCACTTCACCATGAAGTAGACCACTCGTATCATTGCTTGTCTTAAGCATGTATTTGTATCCGCCATGCAGTCTAATGAAAGTCTGTCTTAGGGTTGATTGGAACTTGGATTGATGTGCCGAGAGGGTGACAGGTTAATTAATCAAATCAAGGATGCAGGTACTGGGAATTTTTTTATTTTTATTTTTTTTAAGATGGAACCTCTCTCTGTTGCCCAGGCTGGAGTGCAGTGGTGCGATCTCGGCTCACTGCAACCTCCGCCTCCTGGGTTCAAGCAATTCGGCCTCATCCTCCTGGGTAGCTGGGACCTCAGCTACCTCCCAGCACGCCTGGCTAATTTTTACATTTTCAGTAGAGACGGGGTTTCGATATGTTACTCAGGCTGATCTCGAACTCACAGTCTCGAGTGAGCCGCCTGCCTCGGCCTGCCGAAGTGCTGGGATTACAGGCATGAGACACCCTACCCAGCCCCCCCATTTCTTTTTTTTTTTTTATTAATAAACAAATCTAACCACCCTCTCTGGACCTTCTATTTCCCCTGGGGACTGTCCCTGACTACAGTCTCCGCTGCAGCAAATCCCCATACAGGAATTGCTCATACAATTCACTTCCAGTCCCCCATGCTCCACTGAAAATGCTCCAGGTGGCCGGGCGCAGTGGCTCACACCTGTCATCCCAGCACTTTGGGAGGCTGAGGCGGGTGGATCACATGAGGCCAGGAGTTCGAGACCAGCCTGGCCAACGTGGTGAAACCCCGTCTCTACTAAAAATACAGAAATTAGCCAGGCATGGTGGCGGACGCCTGTAATCCCAGCTACTCGGGAGGCTGAGGCAGGAGAATCGCTTGAACCCGGGAGCAGGAGGTTGCAGTGAGCCGAGATCGCGCCACTGCACTCCAGCCTGGGTGACAAGAGTGAAACTCCATCTCAAAAAAAGAAAAAATAAGAAGAAATTGCTCCAGGTAGAGCCACCAGGGACTTCACCCTTTCCCTGCAATGTGCAGGCCTCAGCCCTGGCTGTTTCCTCCTCCACGCACGCCCTTCCCCCAGGTATCCAATCCCTCTCCTTCCCTTCATTCAGGCCTGCGCCAAAACCTCCGAAGACAGGGCTTCTCCTGGGCGCTTGCTTTCCCCTCACAAAGCTTTGTTTGTCTTTATGGGTCATCTCACCAATTGGCTTATGTATTTATCGATTCACTTATTTATTATAAATTTAAGGAGTACAGGTGCGGATTTATTTATTTTATTTATTTATTTTTTTTCTTTGAGACGGAGTCTCACCCTGTCACCCAGGCTGGAGTACAATGGCGCGATCTCAGCTCACTGCAACCCCTGCGTCCCAGGTTCAAGCGATTCTCCTGCCTCAGCCTCCCGAGTAGCTGGGATTATAGGCATGTCCCACCACACCCAGCTAATTTTTATATTTTTAATAGAGATGGGGTTTCACCATGTTGGCCGGGATGGTCTTGATCTCTTGACCTCGTGATCCGCCCGCCTCGGTCTCCCAAAGTGCTGGGATGACAGGTGTGAGCCACCGCACCCGTCCTGGCTTATGTATTTATTGATTTGCTTATTTATTATAAATTTAAAGAGTACAGGTGCGGATTTCTTTTTTTGTTCCCTTTTTTTTTTTTTTTTCCCCTGAGATGCTCTGTTGCCCAGGCTGGAGTGTAGTGGCATGATTTTGGCTCACTGCAACACCTGCCTCCCGGGTTCAAGCCATTCTCCTGCCTCAGCCTCCCGAGTAGCTGGGATTATAGGCATGTCTCACCACACCCAGCTAATTTTTATATTTTTAATAGAGGTGGGGTTTCACCATGTTGGCCGGGATGGTCTTGATCTCTTGACCTTGTGATCCGCCGGCCTCGGCCTCCCAGAGTGCTGGGATGACAGGTGTGAGCCACCGTACCCAGCCCGGCTTATGTATTTATTGATTCACTTATTTATTATAAATTTAAGGAGTACAGGTGCGGATTTCTTGCATGGAGACATTGCACAGCGGTGAAGTCCCGGCTTCTAGTGAACCCCTCACCCCAGCTGTGAATACTATACCTGTAGGTGATTTTTTTCATCCTCCACCTCCTGCCAACCTCCCACCTTTCAGGGTCCTCATCGTCAATCCACCCTCTGTGTCTGTGTAGACCCACTGGTGAACTCCCACTTGCAAGTGAGAACATGGCAGGATCAGTGTTTGACTTTCAGTATCTGAGTTGTTTGTTAGGAGAACGGCCTGCTTTTCAAACTGAAGCTCTGTTTCCATTAAAATACAACTTCCAATTTCCCTGCTGTTCCTAGCTCCTAGCAACACCATTCTGCCTTCTGTCTTGATGAATCTGATGACTCTAGGGACCTTAGAAAGTGGAAACAGGCTGGGCATGGTGGATCATGCCTGTAATCCCAGCACTTTGGGAGGCTGAGGCGGGTGGATCACCTGAGGTCATGAGTTCAAGACCAGCCTGACCAATATGGTGAAACCCCGTCTCTACTAAAAATACAAAAATTAGCTCAGCATGGTGGCACACGCCTGTAGTCCCAGCTACTCGGGAAGCTGAGGCAGGAGAATCGCTTGAACATGGGAGGTAGAGACTGCAGTAAGCCGGGATCGTGCCACTGCACTCCAGCCTGGGCAACAGAGTGAGACTCCGTCTCAAAAAATAAAAAGTAAAATAATAAAATAAAAAGTGGAAACGTGCAGTGTTTGTCCATGTCACTGCAAAAGACATGATTTCATTCTTTGATATGACTGCATAATATTCCATGGTGTGTATATACTATACTGTACTTTCTTTATATTAGCCAGTCCTCTGCTGACAGACACTTAGGTTGATTGCATATCTTTGCTGTTCTGAATACTACTGCAAAAAACCTAAAACAGCTGTGTGCGTGGATCAGGGCTCTGTGCCTGGAAGGCAGGGAAGGAGGTACTGAATGTGTGTGTGTGGGTCTAGCTGTGTGCATGGATCTGGGCTGTGTGCATGGATCAGGGCTGTGTGCATGGATGAAGGCAGGGAGGGAAATATTGAATGCATGTGCATGGATCAGGGCTGTGTGCATGGGTGAAGGCAGGGAGGGAGATATTGAATGCACATGCATGGAGCCAGCTGTGTGCGTGGATCAGGGCTGTGTGCATGGATGCAGGCAGGGAGGCAGCTGCAGAATGCATGTGTATGGAGCCAGCTGTGTGCATGGATCAGGGCTGTGTGCATGGGTGAAGGCAGGGAGGGAGATATTGAATGCATGTGCATGGATCCAGCTGTGTGCATGGATCAGGGCTCATGATAGCAAAGCAGAGAAAGAAGGGAGATGACGAGGGAGGGGTCCCTGGAAGAATCAGGCAGTGGCTATTTCCTGCAACAGCTCCCTTCTCCTCTCCTTCCCTGCTATGCCTCTCATTTTTCTAATTTGTTAATTCTGGATAATAATATCACATAAGAGTGTTGTGAACATTGCCGACAGAATATATGGGAAACCATTTTCTCCACTGTAAAGCTCTGTGTAATTATGTAATTATGAGCCATTCATTCCTCTCTCTGACTATATTGCTTGTGGCTCTATTTAGTACACTTGAAACTCTATCTTCTATTTTGTGTGTGTTTCATCTTTTTTTTTTCCTGCACTTGTGCCTCACCATCCACCCACTGCCCATGTCTATTGGAAGCTCCTGGGCAGCAGGGGTTATTTCTGAAATTCTCTTCCTTTGCCCCAAGAGCTGGCAAAATACGGGTGAGCATTTAATAAACATTCATTGGACTGAATGAAGTTGAAATGGTTTCTGTAGCTTGCAGCTCCAACACTCTCCAGGACTCAAGAGTGGCTTGATGCAGATTTTACCATAAATGGTGCTGCACCGTCTCCCCAGCGCCCCCCAGCCGGGCGTCTGGAACTTCAAAGATGCTCTTGTGTCTGTTAAAAGGGAACACACTGCGTTCTTGGATTTGGGTTCACATTTATACATCTTCTGTCCTCTTGCCAGTCTCTAAAGATTGTCATTTAAAAAAAAAAAAAAGCTGTAGATAAAACAGGATGTGTTATTTAAGCCACAGGGAGCATGATTTACAGGACCGTCTTGTGTATTCAGAAGACAACTTTCATTTCCCTGCACAAGGCGTCACCAAGCAAGCCCACTTCATCATTCCGAGAATGTGTGGAAGACAGCGTCTGTCAGCCACAGCTGCACAGCGGCAGATAATGAAATTCTGCCGCGAAGCCACAGTTCCTTGCTCTACACAGGAGGTCGGCCAGATAGGAAGTGTCTTAGTCTTCGTGGGCCACCTCTAGTCTCTTTGGCATATTTCTTTCTTTCTTTCTTTCTTTCTTTTTCTTAACAACACTTTAAGAGTATAAAACCATTCTTAGCTAGTAGCCTGTACAGAAACAGGTACAGGCTGAATTTTGCCCATGGTGTATAGTTTGCAGAGCTGCATAAGAAGCTAGAATGAGTGAGGTTCCCAGCGTGGTCTCTGAGACCAGCAGCCTCTGGGAGCTCGTTAGAAATGCAGATTCTTGGGTCGGGCACGATGGCTCATGCCTGTAATCTCAGCACTTTTGGAGGCTGACATGGGCGAATCATGAGGTCAGGAGTTCGAGACCAGCCTGGCCAACATGGTGAAATCCTGTCTCTACTAAAAATACAAAAAATTAGCTGGATGTAGTGGCAGGCACCTGTAATCCCAGCTACTCGGGAGGCTGAGGCAGGAGAATTGCTTGAACTTGGGAGGCGGAGGTTGCAGTGAGCCAAGATCATGCCACTGCACTCCAGCCCTGGCATCTCAAATAAATAAATAAATAATAAAAAATAAAAAAAAATGCTGATTCTTGGGCCTCCTAAGATCCACTGAGTTAGAAATACCAGGGGTGCAGTTGTTTTTACAAGCTCTCTGGCCCATTCTCTTGAGTGCTAAGCGTGAGGACCCCAGACCCCAGGACTGCAGGGGATTGAGCCCCAGCTTTGGGGCTGTGGACAAAAGAAGATAGTTCTCGGTAATTCCATATGAATGCTCTATATGAATCCTAAAGGAAGTTCTGTTGCTTTAGTTGTTGTTGTTTTCAAAACAAGTGGATACAAGTTCATTCAGGAATCCCCCAGCCTCACACAAGTGAACAAGAGTGATTTCGATTCAGAGGAAGACTTTTAGAAACAGAAGGGTGTAGTGTGAAGGTTGTCTAGTTTTTTTTTAGGAAAAGCTGGATTATACTGTAAATTGATAATAGAGGGGGCAGAGAGAGAGGAGGAGAAAGAGGAAGGGGAAGAGGAGGAAGGGAAGGGAGAGAGAGAAAAAGGAAGATGAGGAAAAGGAGAAAAAATAAAAGGAGGAAGACAGAGGGATAGAAAGAGAAAAAGGAGGAGAAGGAAGAAGGAGGAGAAGATGAAGGAGGAGGAAAAAGGGAGGAATAGAGAAAAGGAAAGAAGGGCAGAAAGAAAAGAGAAGGAGGAGAGAAGAGGAAGAGAAAGATAGAGGAAAAGAAGAAGATAAGAGAAAGAGGAGGAGGAGGAAGAAGTTGGAGAAGATGGAGGAGGAAGAAGAGGGAGAAAATGAGAAAGAGGAGAAAGAAAGGAAGAGGAAGGGAGAGAGAGGGATAGAGAGAAAAACAGGAGGAGGATAAGGCAGAAAGGAGGAAGAGGACGAGGTGGAGGAGGAAGAAGAGAAGATGGAGGAGAAAAAAAGAGGAATAGAGAGTGAAAAGGCAAGAAGAGAAAAGAGGAGAAAGAAAAAAAGAAGAAAAGGCAGAGAGAGAAGAGAAAGGGAGAAAGAGATGGGAAAGGAGAATAAGGGAAAAAAGAAAAAGGAGGATACGATGGAGGAGGAAGAAGAGAGAAAAAGGAAGAGGAAGGGATAGAAGAATAGGAGGAGGATAAGGGGGAAAGAGAAGGAGAAGGAAGAAATGAAAGAGGAGGAGGATAAGATGGGGGAGGAAGAGAAAGAGGAATAGAGAGAGAAAAAGAGAAAAAGGAAGAGGAAGCAAAGGAGGAAGGAGAAGGGTGTGAGAGAGAGGGAGGGAAAGAGGGAGGTTCTCTCAGGCTCAGAGGTGATGCCACCCAGATCAGTTTGAGGTACACATTGGAAATGCCACAGAAGTTACAGAACTGGGAAGGGCCGTTTTGTCCAAGGAGATGCCATCTCTCCTTTCCACAGGGTATGTCTGTGATGGACTCTCTGGTGGCTCTAACAGACTCCCCAGGAACAAAGACATCATAGGCTCTGAGGCTGCCACCCTAAAAAGAAGTGTCCTCTTTGGATGGGAAACTTCTTCCCTTGAGTGGATAAATGCCCTCCTTTGGTTTAGCCTTAAAAGCCAGCCAGCAGTCTCTGTGCTTTTGATTGAAGGTCTCTGTGCGAGACCTTCCAGTGACTCAAGCTAAGAGATGAGCCAAGATCATTCCTGGAGCCCGGCATTTCTTCCTGGTTTCAGAATGCCCAGACTCTCTGCCATTGAGACCGTTCAATTTTGTATTAGTCGCAGTTCTCAAGAAAAACAGGACCAATAGGATCTATGCATAGAGAAAGATTTAGTTTAATTGACTCTTGGGATTGTAGGGGCGGGCAAGTCCAAAATTGGTAGGCTGGCTGGCAGGCTGGAGACCTGGCCAAGATTTGACATTGCAGCCTTGAGCCTAAAATCTGCAGGGCAGGCTGGACACTCAGGCAGGATTGCCCTGTCACAGTCTGGAGTGGAATTCCTTTTCTAGTAAGTGTCAGTGTTTGCTGTGAAGGCCTTCTCCTGATGAGGTGAGGCCCACCCACATTGTGAAGCGTCCTCTCCTTCGCTTAAATGCAACTGATTTGTAAATGTTAATGATATCCACAAACTACCCAGTCTGGTGCTTGACCAAATGTCTGGGCACCATAGCCCAGCCAATTGATACGTGAACTCAATCATCACAGAGCCCACTTAAGACCTGTGTTACCTGACATTAAACAGCACAAGCCATCTCCTCTCTGTTGTCTGTCAGGTGAGTGTTTATTCCTGGTAAGAGCAGGTTTGTGTGTGTGTCTTACGAGATTGTAGTTAAAGGAAGGTTTTCTTAATCCTCTCTGCTTCAGGTGGTCACTGAGGCCATGAAACATCCCTAGAAGTTTAGCACAACCCACAGCTCTCATTGGGGAGTTGAGAGCACGTGTGTGCACGTACACATGTGCACACTCATGCACACATACATGCACACATGTACAAATACACACATATAGATGCAAACACATGCGCGCACCTGCACCCCTCCCACACATGCATAGTATGTGCACACATGCTCACGTGCATAAATGCACACACACCTTCACATGCATAGACACACATGCACATATACACGTGCAAACCCATGCACACAGACATGCGTATATCCACACATCTGTGCCCACATGCATGTGTGCACATATGCATGAGCAAACACACATGCACACATTTATGCAAATGTATATTCCTATCGACACATGCACATATTCACATGTGCATTCATGCACATGCATGTACGTACATGTACTCACACATATCCATATACATACAGACATGCACATACACTCATACAATACACATCCCTCAAGTACACATTCACATGCATGCATACATATACACATGTGCAAACACACGCAGGCCCATACCCGCACATCTGCGCCCCCACACACATGCATGCACATATATTTATCCAAACACATGCATGAATACACACACGTACCCATTAACGTGTGCATTCATGCACGTGCACATACATATACATATACATACAGACATGCACATACAATCATACAATACACATCTACCCACAAGTACACACACATCCACATAAATGCGTACCTATGCATATCTGTGCACACACACACATGCACACATTATGTCACCCTATGATTTGCGTGTGAGTCAGCATCCCAGAAAACATCCAGCCCCGAAACCTATTTTCCAGAACATTCCAGAAGGAGCAAGCAGCAGGTACAGAGAGGCAAGAGGCAGGGGACATCGTGGCAGAAGCAGCAGGATCCCTGGGTGGCTGGAGCAGAGGTATGGAGAGGAAGTGTTGCCTTTGTAGAATGTTCAGAACATTCTTCCAGGAAGGCAGCTGAGCCTGGGCAGAAGTCTCTGAATTTCTCTTTGACCACAGCATTACTCCGTCCCCTCTTCCACAACTTTGGGGCGTGGAAACTCTCCTTGGGAAGCTCAGCTAGGAGTCTCTTTACTTGCCAGCCACTTCCCTGAGTGTGAGTTTCTGCCCTAAGATGTGGACGGTGCTAAAATAAATACATGTGCCCTCAGATCTCTCTCAGCACAACTCAAGGATCTACTAACAGCGTCTGCATTCAAATAGCAACATTTCCAGAAGGCGAACGAGCCTCTGCGTGCCTTGCAGAGAGCTGAGCGTTTGCCGCCCAAGCCCTGCTAGCCTCCTCCCTAGGAGACATCCCGGGTGATGCCATTCCTGCTGCCCTCTGCTCCTGGCAGTGGAGCGTTAGGTAGTTTCCTTGCAGACAGCACAGGGGATCCGTCCCAAGGACAAAGGGAAGCCCTGTGTGTGTCTCTTCTGCAAAGCCCAGCATGTCTAATACAAGTTAAGTGTGGAGTTCAGAGGGAACAGCTTTCTGAAGCTCTTTGAAGAGTCACAGGCAAATATCTCTGTGTGCCCTGGGTGCTATCTGGAGAACAGGAGCTCTAACAAAAAGGAAATCGTGGTTTGAATGACACAAAAGGGATTTGCTATTTCAAATTCACAATATCTGCCTTATCTTAGAAATCAGAATTCTCAGAGTCACCACAGATATTTGGTCAAATAGGGGCAGAACCAGAATTGGTAAATGCAGCAAAGGCTCTGAGGAATAAATTCCTCCCTCCCTTCCTTCCTCTTATCTTCTCTTTTTTCCTCCAGTCCTTCCTTTTGCCTCCCTTTTTTCCTTCCTTCCTCCCTTCCTTCCTTCCTTCCTCCCTCCCTCCCTCCCTCCCTCCCTTCCCTCCCTCCCTCCCTCCCTTCCTTCCTCCCTCCCTCCCTCCCTCCCTTCCTCCCTCCCTCCCTTCATTCCTCCCTCCCTCCCTCCCTTCCTTCCTCCCTCCCTCCCTCCCTTCCTCCCTCCCTCCCTCCCTCCCTTCCTCCCTCCCTCCCTTCCTCCCTCCCTCCCTCCCTTCCCTCCCTCCCTCCCTCCCTTCCTCCCTCCCTCTCTCCCTCCCTCTCTCCCTCCCTCTCTCCCTCCCTCCCTCCCTCCCTTCCCCCCTTCCCCCCTCCCTCCCTCCCTTCCCCCCTCCCTCCCTCCCTCCCTCCCTTCCCTCCCTCCCTCCCTCCCTTCCCTCCCTCCCTCCCTTCCTCCCTCCTTCCCTCCCTCCCTTCCCCTCTCCCTTCCTCCCTCCCTCCCTCCCTCCCTTCCCCCCTTCCTCCCTCCCTCCCTCCCTCCCTCCCTCCCTTCCCTCCCTCCCTCCCTCCCTTCCCTCCCTCCCTCCCTCCCTTCCCTCCCTCCCTCCCTTCCTCCCTCCCTCCCTTCCTCCCTCCCTCCCTTCCCTCCCTCCCTCCCTCCCTCCCTCCCTCCCTCTCTCCCTCCCTCCCTCCCTCCCTCTCTCCCTCCCTCTCTCCCTCCCTCTCTCCCTCCCTCCCTCCCTCCCTTCCCTCCCTCCCTTCCCCCCTCCCTTCCCCCCTCCCTCCCTCCCTTCCTTCCTCCTTCCCATCCTTCCCTCCCTCCCTCCCTCCCATCCTTCCTTCTCTTTGGTTCTTTGTTTCTCTTCTTTTTTTTTCTTTCTGTCTCTTTTCCTTCCTTCCTCCTTTCCTTCTTTGCTTCCTGCCTCCCTTCCTTCTTTGCTTCCTTCCTGTTTTTTTTTCTTTTTTCATCCTTCCCTTCCTCCCTTCTTCCCTCCTTTCTCCCTTTTTTCTTCCTCCCTCCTTTCTTCTCTGCTTCCTTTCTCTCTCCTTCCTTCCCTCTTTTCTGTCTTGTTCTCTGCTTCCTTCCTTTCTTACTGCCTCCCTCCCTCTCTCTCTGTGTCACTCCTTCCTTCCCTCCCATTATGCTTCCTTCTTTCCTTCCTTAATTCCTTTCTCTATTTCCTCCTTTCTTCTTCCTCTTTTTCTTTCTCCTTCTCTTTCTTCCTTCCATTGATTTTTTTTGTTTCTCTGTCTTTCTCCTTCCCTTTCACTCAACCCTTCACTGACCTTTGAATACCCAAAACAAAGGTGCTTTGACCCAGGCCATAGCTGATGACACTGAGTTGTTCCCAGCAGGTGCAGGATTCTGTGCAGACACGTCTGTCCCCTCCCTTCCTGCCCGGTTCTCAGCACTGCCTGGCATGTACAGATGTGGGTGCAGGGCTGGCTGGGGTGCAGGTGCAGGGTGCTCCAGCTGCACCTTCCGGAAAGACATTTCATGGAGTTAGGAGGAAAAGGGGCTGCCTCCGGAGGGAAAACTGAGGTATTCATTGTCAGCAGGAGGAAGGCTGACTCGAACCCTTCTTATTCTGCAGCAGCTCTGAGACAGGTCCCAGAGCTTCCCCTCTAACAAAAGCGACTCTGAGAACGATGAGTTGCTTTGCTGTTTTCCCTACCTGTCACATTCTCTGTGCTGCCCTAACACGAGAAACCGTGCCCATGGTCTGGGTGTTTTCTTTTTTTTCTTTCTTTTTTTTTTGAGATGGCATCTCGCTCTGTCGCCCAGGCTGGAGTGCAGTGGCGCCATCTCGGCTCACTGCAAGCCCCGCCTCCCGGGTTCACGCCATTCTCCTGCCTCCCGAGTAGCTGGGACTACAGGCGCTCGCCACCATGCCCGGCTAATTTTTTGTGTTTTTTAGTAGAGACGGGGTTTCACTGTGTTAGCCAGGATGGTCTTGATCTCCTGACCTCGCGATCCGCCTGCCTCGGCCTCCCAAAGTGCTGGGGTGACAGGCGTGAGCTACCGCGCCTGTGTTTTCTTTGGGGAAAAAGATCACAAAGGGCTGGGCCAGTCCAAGGTCTGCTTTGCAGAACGTGGCATTAGAGAGACAAATGCTGGCAGGAACCCTTGGTGTTCTTGAACAGTCCCATGAACACAGAGGGCTCTGTTTGCAATAGAGCTGTGGGGCAGACTGAATGAGCCAGGTAACCAACAGGAGATTGAAATGACTTGGGAGGGGAACTCGAGTAATTGCTCATGCTCCTGAAGTCTCTCCCCTCCCTGACTCTTGAGGTAGCAGGTAAGTGTGGGTATAATTGCCTGTTTCCTGGAAAAGAGGCTTTCTTGACATATGCACACAGCAGCCTGCGCCAATCCCAGTCAGGAGAGAAGTCACCTGGGCTTGGTCTCCATCTGCCGGGGTTGCCAGCCTGACGTCCCATAGACTGGGCAGCTTAGACAACAGACACTGATTTTCCCACCGTCCTGGAGGCTGGAAGTCCAAGATGAAGGTGTGGGCTGGGCGGGCTCCTCCCGAGGCCTCTCTCCTTGGGTTGTAGATGCTGTCTTCTCACTGTGTCCTCACAGGGTCGTCCCTCTGTGCATGTCTGTTTTCTCCTCATCTCCTCTTCTTATGAGCTGTCTCAGTCCATTTCAGGCTGCTATCACAGAATACCATAGACTGGGTGGCTTATAAACAACAGACGTTGACTCTCCCACAGTCCTGGAGGCTGGAAGTCTGACATCAAGGTGTGGGCAGGGCTGGTTCCTCCTGAGGTCTCTCTCCTGGGCTTGGAGACGCCGTCTTTTCCCTGTGTCCTCACAGGGTTGTCCCTCTGTGTGTGTCTGTGTCCTCATCTCCTTTTCTTATGACATGTCTTAGTCCAGTTCTGGCTGCTGTCACAGAATACCATAGACTGGGTGGCTTAGAAACGACATACATTGATTCTCCCACAGTCCTGGAGGCTGGAGGTCTAAGATCAAGGTGTGGGCAGGGCTGGTTCCTCCTGAGGCCTCTCTCCTTGGTTTCATATTTTGCAATATTAGGATAAATAATCTGTGCATGTGTATGAGTGTGTGCATGCAAATGAATATATAAGCATGTTTGCATGTGTATAAGTATGCATGTGAATGAGTATGTGAATGTACACGTGGATGAGCATGTGTGCATGTGAATGAGTGTGAGCATGTGTGCATGTGTATGTGCGTACTTGTGAATGAGGGTGCGTGCATGTGTATGTGTGCATGTGAATGTGTGTACATGTGAAAGTGCATGTGTGTGAGCTGTGTGCATGTGAATGAGTGTGAGCATGTGTGACTGCATGTGAATGTGTGTACATGTGAATGTGCATGCAAATGTGTGCATGTGTGAGCTGTGTGCGTGTGTGAGTGCATGTGAATGTGTGTACATGTGAATGAGTGCATGTGAATGAGTGTGTGCATGTGTGTGAGCTGTGTGCATGTGAATGAGTGAGCATGTGAGTGCATGTGAATATGTAAATGTGAATGCATGTGTGAATGTGAGCTGTGTGCATGTGAATGAGTGTGAGCATGTGTGTGTGCATGTGAATTAGTGTGCATGTGAATGTGAGCATGTGTGTGAGCTGTGTACATGTGAATGAGTGCATGTGAATGTGTGTGTACGTGTGTGTGTGCGAGTGTGAGCATGTGTGCGTGTGAGCTGTGTGCATGCGAATTTGTGTGCATGTGAATGAGTATATGTGAGCATGTGTTCATGTGAGTTTGTGTACATGTAAATGAGCATGTGTGCATGTGAATGAGTGTGAGTATGCATGTGCAAGTAAGTGTGCATGTGTGTGTGCGTATGCATGAGTATGTGTGTGTCCATATGTGTATATATATTTGTGTGCATGTGAGTACATACGAATGTATGTGTGCATGTCAGCATGTAAGTGACCATGCGCACATGAATATGTGTGTGCGTGTGTTTTTCTTACAGAAAAAAAATCATCCAATAGAACTTCATCACGTCGTCATCTCTGTGTCCCCAGAAATACCTACATTTTCAGCACAATGCGCTTGCTGTCTTCTAGAAATCACAAGCTCATTTTCAACATAGCACAGGTGGTATCTTGCCCCCTAAAACGGTAGTACTTGTGTCGCAATTGAATATGCATAGCCCAAGAACTCTTACTCAGATAAGAGGATTTTTCAAAATATGGTAGAAACAGAAGCCCCCAGACACTGCCCACAGGGGAACCACAAAGAGGAAGCCTCCTTCCAGAGAGTGCTGAGTTTGTTCAACAATAGGGACGATGCAGGAGAACCCAGGAGCGGCCTAAGCTGCAGCTGCAGAACACAGGGGCCTCTCCGGGTGGAGGCATCATACTACATGGTCAAGACACAGGTCGGGTATTTGGGGCATGAGCCCCTGAATCCTCAGTGTCAATGATGGCAGACAACAACACAAAACTTGTTCCAGGAGCTGATTTAAGGATTTGTTTGCAAAGAAGGCACAGCACTAAATATAACACAGTGTGGGTGAACATCTCAGGCACCAGCGTGAGGTGTAAATGCTCATTTCTGCGCAGCAGGAACCATGGTCTCTCCTGGGGACCCAGGGTGGCCCCCATCTGGCCTCTCTGATCACTTTGTCCAGAGCAGCAGTGTGGGAAGGGGCACCATGTTGGATTCACAGCTGCAGTGCTTGGTGTCCCTGCCTTTTATATGGAAGTGGGCTGGGCCCCAGAAAGACTCCGTATTTTCCAGCTACAAGATGATGGAGAAGGAAGAAGAATGCCGGCTTTGGGAGCAGATCCTGCCTGGAAATTGGGCAGAACACAGCCGCAAAAGAGAGAAGCATGAAACAGATCAATAAAACCTCTTTCTGCGTTGAAGGCTGCCCCAGAGAAAGACCCTCAAACACCATGGGTGCCTTCACTTGGCCCCTGCCTTCCCTCTCCCTTTCCTCCTGCTCTGTTCTGTCCTTCCTCCCTTCCTCTTTCCATCCCTTTCGCCTTTACTTTTGGTCTTTAGATGCCCAGGGCAAGACACGGGACACAGGGCTCCCCTGCAAGAGCCAAGCCATGGCGCCTGCATCCGCCCCCGAGATGTTTTCAGATACAGTCTCTCTATTAGTCTGTTCTCATGCTGCTAATAAAGACATGCCCAAGACTGGGTGATTTATAGAGGAAAGAGGCTTAATGGACTCAGTTCCATGTGGCTGGGGAGGCCTGACAATCATGGCGGAAGGTGAAGGAGGAGCAAAGGCATGTCTTACATGGCAGCAGGCAAGAGAGTGTGTGCAGGGGAGCGGCCTTTTATAAAACCATCAGATGTCATGGGACTTATTCATTATCATGAGAACAGCACGAGAAAGATCTCCCATGATTCAATTACCTCCCACTGGCTCCCTCCCTTGACACATGGGAATTATGGGAGCTACAGTTCAAGATGAAATTTGGGTGGGGACACAGCCAAACCGTATCAGCCTCCAAATCTCCCAGGACACTTTGGGTTTGCAAGATCTCTGGGCACCCCTAGGTGATTTCCAGACTTGGGAAGTTCTCTAGCTCCATCCATTTCTTTTTAGGCAGCAGAAGAGCAGAGGCAAGTCAGTGGGAAACAATCTCAGGAGTCTGGCAGCTCTGTTCCTCTACTGGGGTCCAGCCTTCCTGTTCCCCTTGCTCGGCACCCAGAGGATGGGCTGGTGGGCACACTGGATTGTCTACCATGCCTTTCCACGTCACACTGGCTGCTGAAGTCAAGACCAGGAGGCAGTGAACTGACAGCAGCAGAATTTCTGAAGTGACTGGGTGTCACAGGCCACCCCACAGAGTCCACCCTTTTCCTTTTTGGAGGGTGTGTGCCTGAACTCTCACCAGTGCTAGGTTTTGCCATGTGGCCCACACTCATCTTGAACTCCTGGACTCAAGCAGTCCTCCTGCCTTGTTCTCCCAAAGCACTGGGATTACAGGCCTGAGCCACTGCAGTGCTAGGGGCACTGGTGAGAGGTGAAATCAGTTCGGGCAAATGGATCATCACTCCCAGAAGACTAGAGGGGACATAACAAAGGCAATATCTGGTCTTTATTCCTGGTTCTGTAACAAGGAGGAGCTTCTAAAACTCTCGCAATTTCACAAATGCTAGCAATTCCCTGGTTGTATAATGAGGTGATATTTGCTGTTTCCTAAATGGCTTCAAGATGGGGCTGGCCACCAGAAACACCAACCATGTCATTAGGAGGTTGGAATTTCAGGCCAGCCTGACCTCTGGGGAGGAAAGAGGAACTGGAGGTTGAATCTGATTATGTGGCCAATGACTTAATCATACCTATGCAATGAGACCCCAGTAAAAACTCTGGACATCAAATGTCTTAGTCTGTTTGTGTTGCTATCACAAAACAACATAGGCTGGGCAACCGGTAAACATTTGTTGCTCACAGTTCTGGAGGCTGGAAGTTCAAGATCAATGCATGGCAGATTCTGTGTCTGGAAGGGACCTGCTTTCTGGTTCACAGACGGTGCCTCATTACTGTGTCCCCACATGGTGGATACGTTCACCAGATTCCCAGAAGCTTATTACAAGAGACAACTTCTGAAACATCTTCATTGTGACAGAAGTTAAGATGCACTGTGTTGGTTCCTGGATTATTGCATCCTAGCTCTGAAGGTTCTCAGGTCCCACAACTTCTAATTCCTCTGAGAATCCTACATTTCTTCCATCCCACTGACCATGACCAAGGGCCAACTCCCACTGCAGAAAACCAGGGTGTGCTGTGTTTCAAGATTATCGCCTTCCACTAGGGTAAAATCCCCAGTCTTTGAAAAACCTTTTTCTGCATCTCAAGTTCCTTTTTGAAACGTCTGTTTCCATGAAACATACGATCACAGCTCATAAATGCCTCAATTCTCCGATGTAGCATGCCTTGCTGAATTGAAAACAAGAATCTTTTTGATGTCCTGATGTTTCATCTAATTGCTAAATATTGTTTATTAAATACAGAAGCCAAGCACTCACTCATCTGCTTCTAGTCAATTAATAAGCATTTCGGTCCCATAAAGAGTGCGTGATTAAATACGTACATCAGGGATTTTAATATGCATCTGCCTAGTGAGATGGATTAACCCACCACTGAAATGCAACCCACTTGGGTACGTTATTGTCAGTGCCTGTTGTAAAGAAACCCAACAGCAGAAAAGCTGTGGTTCAGATTGATCACCCAACCTCGCTTTTTGCATACATTTCTCAGTGCAGCTGATGAGTATATTCCACCTGTCCCTGCAGCATCCATGTGAGTCCTGAGACTCCTGTTTCCTGCTCAGAAATTTGACTCATCGTAGCCTTCTTTTCTTCTTCCACCAGACCCCCGATGAAGGAGCGTGGACTTCCATCTACGCAGCAGTCACCCCAGAGCTGGAAGGAGTTGGTGGCCATTACCTATACAACGAGAAAGAGACCAAGTCCCTCCACGTCACCTACAACCAGAAACTGCAGCAGCAGCTGTGGTCTAAGAGTTGTGAGATGACTGGGGTCCTTGATGTGACCCTGTGATATCCTGTCTCAGGATAGCTGCTGCCCCAAGAAACACATTGCACCTGCCAATAGCTTGTGGGTCTGTGAAGACTGCGGTGTTTGAGTTTCTCACACCCACCTGCCCACAGGGCTCTGTCCTCTAGTTTTGAGACAGCTGCCTCAACCTCTGCAGAACTTCAAGAAGCCAAATAAACATTTTGGAGGATAATCACCCCAAGTGGTCTTCAACCATAAACTTTGTGATTCCAAAGTGCCCAGTTGTCACAGGTGCCATAAATAATTACATTTTCCAACATAAATGTGCCATTTTCCTTGCCGCGTTAATACAACTGAGTACAAAAGTTCCAAGAGAGATGCTCTCTTTTCAGGGGCTGCAATGTCCTCTCTGAGACCTAGTGGTGGATGAGGTCTCCTGTTTGATTTTGTTCCTGCACTCACTCATTTTTCCAGAGACCCAGCTGTGATTCACAGGTGTCAGACATGGGGAGGTGTGAGCCTTGCTTGCTACAGCCTGTAGGATGAGTTTGACGTGGCCAGCAGCACCATCTGGTCAACCTCATTCCAGAATGGCACAGTCACAAGTGAAGCATGCCACTGTCAAATCCGAGAATGTAAACCGCTGAACAGCTATGGATCAAATGGTAGCCCTCAAAAGATATGTTCATGCCCTAACCCTCAGAACCTATAAATATTACTTTATTTGGAAAAGAATCTTTGCAGATAGAATTAAGAATTTTGAGATGGGTCATTATGGATCATCCCAGTGAACCTAATGCCATCACGAGGGTTCTTATCAGAGACAGGTAGAGGGAGATTTGAGTACAGAAGACAAGATATTCGTGTGATGATGCAGACAGAGACTGGAGTGATGCCACCACAAGCCAAGCAATGCCTGGAGCCACCAGGAGCTGGGACAGGCAGGAAGGATTCTCCCTTATACCCCTCAGAGCAATCTTGGCCCCTCTGACGTCTTGACTTTAGACTTCTGGTCCCCAGAACGGAGAGAGAATAAATCTTTCTTGTTTTAAGGCTCCAACAAATTGGTAGTCACTTGTTACAGCAACCACAGGAAATGTATACAGCTTCTGATACTTCTGAAAACCTCACACAGCCAAAGGGTACATCCTTGGTATAGAGGCTCACTCTTACTCACCAGCCAGGCAAGGAAGGCTCAATCCTTTGGTGTTAGAGAGATAGATGTTGGGTTTTCAAATTTCAACATAGAGAAATCAGTCATTTGCAATGCTTTTGAGAAAGTACTGTGTATACCCTACGAGCCTGCACTCCTTATGTGTGAGACTGATGACCATTGGTTGGCTTATTATCCATTCCACTAAGTGACAAAATCCCACTGACTATTCAAATCCAGGCTCCTGGCATGCCTGTACCTTAGAATCACAACCAGCTGCAATTCCAGGATGGAGTTCAAACTAATTGTGGGGGCATGTGCTTCTTACATGACTGCTAGATTGTTCCCAGATGGGGAAGGTTGCCCTGATAAGCAACTTAAATGAAAATAATAAATGTATTGTTTGGCCTCTTTAAAAAAAAAATCATTCATCCTCCGGGAATGGGTTTGTCACCACAGATGGTGATTTTCCTTGGTAGATAACCAGGATGCCTGGATTTCTGTTGTTCCTTTACAGAAAACCAGGAATTTTATGTCATGGACCCACTAGACAGGGGACCTTCCTTGGTACAAAAGGATAAGAAATGTGGATTTGTTCCCTGGGATATTCACGTTAGATGCTTACTACATCATCGGTGTAAGGTCAGCCGAGAGAGAGGATGAGGAGACCTAAAGTCAGGCAAGCAAACTTTACTGAGCTGCTTGGCTGCTCCACCACAGTTAGTGGAGGCAGCCCCACTTACAGACTATAGCAGGGTTTTATAGGGCCAGAACCAGGTCGGGGTGGGGGAGCTGAGTCGAGGGTGCAGGAGGATTGGGTTGGGGTGGGGGAGCTGAGTAGGGGGTGCAAGTGTCTTGACCGCATCCTGGAGATGTTTTTCACCAGCTTTGTTATGCAAGGTTCACAGACATGCTAACCACATCCTGTAACTGTCTGGACAAACAGTTACTGGAGGGGTCAGTGAAGGCGGGGGGCGTTTGTCTTTAGCCCTGGGGGAGCTGTGTGGAGAGTGCAAGGGACTGTATTGTAAGGCCTGTGGAAGGGGAAGGGAACGGTCTGGTTGGGGTGACCCTAACAATCGGTATGCTTCTGTTTCGGGCAGAGCTCAGACCTCAATACCCAGGACTCTCAGTGCAGAAAGAATGAGCTCAAGCCCCTTCTGCAGAAAGATGCAGTCTCTGTGCAGAATGTCTGCTTATATCCTGAGACCCTTCATAGGAAAACCATGAATGATACAACCAGACTAACAGGCCAGGAAACAGCCTCCGGGAAGGAGAGGTTGCCAGAGGTTACAAGGAACAATGAAACTTGCAGGAAACATGCATGATATTCACCTCCCTAGTGTAGCTGGATTCATGGTGCTGCAGGGAGACGTGAAGCCCAACGGTGAAAACTTGCAACAAGATTTATGGTGCAGGGGTCTGTCCCACAGACCCTGACCAAGTGATGGGTGAATGAAGTACATTGACACACAGCTATTCTGCTTTGCCAGTTTGGCTGAGCATCCAAGCCACTTAGTAGCAGCCGTGGCCTCGATCAGTCAGCAAGACTTGCATTTATTCAGTAAAGATTAATTGACAAAGGTTGTGAGTCAACACCACTAGAGGGAAATTGACATTGCGGACTTCCCTAAGTAGAAAGCAATGAAGCACCTGCGATACATAAAAGGTTAGTCTTAGGACCACATGAGTAAACAAGTTAGTTAGAGACATTCCCCACATTCCTTTGCTTCTACTCTAATTTATTTAACTAAAGGTAAGGGGACTAGGCTGCCTTCAGCCAGGTTTATTACTGAAGTTATACAAACGCTCAGGCCTTCCCAGAGGGTTTGTGTCTACTATAACTAAAATTTTCCCCACCAGCCTGACTAAACCCCCACATCTGGATCTGTAGAGGCCCCAACATCACATCTGCCAAGCTTCCCATGGGGCTTAGGTCTCTGTGTGAAGATGATGTAGATGGTCCCATGAGATGGCTGTGTGTTCAGACAGCCCATTGCAGGTTATGACATTGATCAGTTTTCCAGGCCTGCTGTAACAAGTAACCACAACTAGGGACCTCATGACAAAAGGAATTATTTCTCCTCTCCCAGCTCTGGAGACCAGAAGATTGAGATCAAGATGTCTCAGGGCTCTGCTCCATCCGGAGGTTCTAAGGAAGGATCAATTCCTGCCTCTCTTAGTTCCTAGGGGCTCCAGGCATCCCTTTGACTTGTGGTTGCATGACTCCAGTGTCACATGCGTGTAATCCCAGCTACTTGGGAGGCTGAGACAGGAGAATTGCTTGAACCCAGGAGGTGGAGGTTGCGGTGAGCCGAGATCACGCCATTGCAATCCAGCCTGGGAAACGAGTGAAACTCCGTCTCAAAAAAAAAAAAAAAATCCTTATTTCCAAATAAAGTCTTATTCCCAGGCTCTGGGTATTATGATATAGGCAGATCTTTTTGGGAGACCACAGTTCAGTCCACTACAGTTGCGTCCAGTTCCATCCAGAGGCTCGAGGAGAGGATCCTTCCTGCCTCTCCCAGCTCCTGGGGGCTCCAGGCATCCCTGGGCTTGTGGCCGCATCACTGCAGTCTCTGCCTCTGTCTCCACGTGGCCTTCTCCTCTGTGTGTGTGTGTCTTCTTCTGTCTCTTAGAAGGAAGCCTGTCATTGGATTTAGGGCCCACCCTACTCCAGAATGATCTCATCTCAAGATCTTAACTCATTGCATCTTCAAAGATCCTTATTTCCAGCCAGGCACAGTGGCTCACACCTGTAATCTCAGCACTTTGGGAGGGTGAGGTGGGCAAATCACCTGAGGTCAGGAGTTCGACACCAGCCTGACCAACATGGAGAAACCCCATCTCTACCCCATCATTACAAAAATTTTTAACCCCATCATTACAAAATTCTGTAATTTTGTAAAAATACAAAATTAGCCAGACATGGTGTCACATGCCTGTAATCACAGCTACTCGGGAGACTGAGACAGGAGAATTGCTTGAACCCAGGAGGTGGAGGTTGCGGTGAGCCGAGATCTCGCCATCGCAACCCAGCCTGGGCAACAAGAGTGAAACTCTGTCTCAAAAAAAAATCCTTATTTCCAAATGAAGTCTCATTCCCAGGCTCTGGATATTAGGATATAGACAGATCTTTGTGGGAGACCACAGTTCAGTCCACTACAATTGTGTCCAGTTCCATCCAGAGGCTCTAGGAGAGGATGCTTCCTGCCTCTCCCAGCTCCTGGGGTCTCCAGGTGTCCCTGAGCTTGTGCCCGCATCACTGTAGTCTCTGCCTCTGTCTCCACGTGGCCTTCTCCTCTGTGTCTGTGTGTCTTCTTCTGTCTCTTAGAAGGACACCTGTCATTGGATTTAGGGCCTACCCTACTCCAGGATGATCTCATCTCAAGATCTTTAATTCACTGCATCTTCAAAGATCCTTATTTCCAAATAAGTTCTCATTCCCAGGCTCTGGGTATTAGGGTATAGACAGATCTTTTTGGGAGACCACAGTTCAGTCCACTACAATTGTGTCCAGTTCCCTCCAGAGGCTCTAAGAGAAGAACATTCCTGCCCCTCCCATCTCCTGGGGGCTCCAGACATTCCTTGGGCTTGTGGCCACATCACTCCAGTCTCTGCCTCTGTCTCCACATGGTCTTCTCCTCTGTGTCTGTGTGTCTTCTGTCTCTTAGAAGGACACCTCTCAGCCGGGCACGGTGGCTCACACCTGTAATCCCAGCACTTTGGGAGGCCGAGGCGGGTGGATCACGAGGTCGGGAGATCGAGACCATCCTGGCTAACATGGTGAAACCCCATTTCTACTAAAAATACAAAAAATTAGCCAGGCACGGTTGCAGGCACCTGTAGTCCCAGCTACCCAGGAAGCTGAGACAGGAGAATGGCGTGAACCTGGGAGGCAGAGCTTGCAGTGAGCCGAGATAGCACCACTGCAGTCCGGCCTGGGCGAAAGAGTGAGACTCCGTCTCAAAAGAAAAAAAAGACATCTCTCATTGGATTTAGGGCCCACCCTACTCCAGGATGATCTCGTCTCAAGATCTTTAACTCATTGCACCTTCAAAGATCCTTATTCCCAAATGAAGTCTCATTCCCAGGCTCTGGATATTAGGATATAGACAGATCTTTGTGGGAGACCACAGTTCAGTCCACTACAATTGTGTCCAGTTCCATCCAGAGGCTCTAGGAGAGGATCCTTCCTGCCTCTCCCAGCTCCTGGGGTCTCCAGGTGTCCCTGAGCTTGTGGCCGCATCACTGCAGTCTCTGCCTCTGTCTCCACGTGGCCTTCTCCTCTGTGTCTGTGTGTCTTCTGTCTCTTAGAAGGACACCTGTCATTGGATTTAGGGCCTACCCTACTCCAGGATGATCTCATCTCAAGATCTTTAATTCACTGCATCTTCAAAGATCCTTATTTCCAAATAACTTCTCATTCCCAGGCTCTGGGTATTAGGGTATAGATAGATCTTTTTGGGAGACCACAGTTCAGTCCACTACAATTGGGTGCAGTTCCCTCCAGAGGCTCTAGGAGAGGATCTTTTCTGCCTCTCCCAGCTCCTGGGGGCTGCAGGCATCCCTAGGCTTGTGGCCGCATCACTGCACTCTCTGCCTCCATCTCCACGTGGCCTTCTCCCTGTATCTGTGTCTCTTCCTGTTTCTAATAAGGACACTTGATATTGGATTTATGGCCCACCTGGATAATCCAGATGATCTCATTTCAAGATCCTTTACTCAATGACACCTGGCAAGACCCTTTCTGTGAATAAGGTCCCATTCACGGATACCAGGGATTAGGCCTTAGTCATATCTTTTTGGGAGACAGTATTCAATCTACTATTGGCCACAGGGACCAGATGCCATGTGAGTGCGGAAAATATTCTTTCCATTTCTAGAGACCCGGAAAGCCTCGGAGGTGGATAGCTTCTGTTATCTACACCTCAAGTTTCATGAGTCCGCACCTTGCGTAACTCACACAGGGTCCCCACGCACGGAAGGGCGCCATATTGCTTTAACTGTCTGCTGCCCCCGCCTGGAAATTGTTAATTAGGTTTGAACAAGGAGTCCTTCTTCTCATTTTGCGCTGAGCTTGCAATTGGTGTAGCCATCTCTGTTCATGCGTCTTCCCTCTTCAAGGACAGGCAGCAGGTCTGAAACTGGACATCCCCAATCCCCAGTGAGCCTTGTGTAAAACCACTGGTGAGCTCAGGCCTCTCACTATCTGTGACGGTCTCCCCAAATATCCAGGAAAGCTAGTGGGCTTTTGATGCTCACTGGGCCAACCTCTGAAAATGACTGACGGTCAGCCCCATCCGCGAGAAAGTTCCGCAGTCAATTCTTCTGGTCATCAGCATTTGTTTTGAATTCCCCAAGTTGTTTTGCTTTCTTTTCCTTACTTTCTTTTTCTCTCTTTCTCCATCTTTCTTTCTCCTTTCTTTTTCTTTCTTTTCTTTTTCTTTTGCTTTCTTCCTTTCTTTCTTTCTCTCCTTTCTTCCTTCTTTCATTCTCTTTATTTTCCTTCCTCGTTTTTTCTTCTTTCTCTCTTTCTCCCTTTCTCCTTCCTTCCTCCTTCCCTTCCTTCCTCCTTCCCTTCCTTCCTTCCTCCTTCCCTTCCTTCCTCCTTCCCTTCCTTCCTCCTTCCTTCCTTCCTCCTTCCCTTCCTTCCTCCCTTCCTTCCTTCCTCCTTCCCTTCCTTCCTCCTTCCCTTCCTTCCTCCTTCCCTTCCTTCCTCCTTCCTTCCTTCCTCCTTCCCTTCCTTCCTCCTTCCCTTCCTTCCTCCTTCCCTTCCTTCCTCCTTCCTTCCTCCTTCCCTTCCTTCCTCCTTCCCTTCCTTCCTTCCTCCCTTCCTTCCTCCTTCCCTTCCTTCCTCCTTCCCTTCCTTCCTCCTTCCCTTCCTTCCTCCTTCCCTTCCTTCCTCCTTCCCTTCCTTCCTCCTTCCTTCCTTCCTCCTTCCCTTCCTTCCTCCTTCCTTCCTTCCTTCCTCCCTTCCTTCCTCCTTCCCTTCCTTCCTCCTTCCTTCCTTCCTCCTTCCCTTCCTTCCTCCTTCCCTTCCTTCCTCCTTCCCTTCCTTCCTCCTTCCTTCCTCCTTCCCTTCCTTCCTCCTTCCCTTCCTTCCTCCTTCCCTTCCTTCCTCCTTCCCTTCCCTTCCTTCCTCCTTCCTTTCCTTCTTCCTTTCCTTTCCTTACTTCCTCCTTCCCTTCCTTCTTCCTTCCCTTCCCTTCCTTCCTCCTTCCCTTCCTTCCTCCCTTCCTTCCTCCTTCCCTTCCTTCCTCCTTCCCTTCCTTCCTCCTTCCTTCCTTCCTCCTTCCTTCCTTCCTCCTTCCCTTCCTTCCTCCTTCCCTTCCTTCCTCCTTCCCTTCCTTCCTCCTTCCTTCCTTCCTCCTTCCTTCCTTCCTCCTTCCCTTCCTTCCTCCTTCCTTCCTTCCTCCTTCCTTCCTTCCTCCTTCCTTCCTTCCTCCTTCCCTTCCTTCCTCCTTCCCTTCCTTCCTCCTTCCCTTCCTTCCTCCTTCCCTTCCTTCTTCCTTTCCTTTCCTTACTTCCTCCTTCCCTTCCTTCTTCCTTCCCTTCCCTTCCTTCCTCCTTCCCTTCCTTCCTCCCTTCCTTCCTCCTTCCCTTCCTTCCTCCTTCCCTTCCTCCCTCCTTCCTTCCTCCCTCCTTCCTTCCTTCCTCCTTCCTTCCTTCCTCCTTCCCTTCCTTCCTCCTTCCCTTCCCTTCCTTCCTCCTTCCCTTCCTTCTTCCTTTCCTTTCCTTCCTCCTTCCCTTCCTTCCTCCTTCCCTTCCCTTCCTTCCTCCTTCCCTTCCTTCTTCCTTTCCTTTCCTTACTTCCTCCTTCCCTTCCTTGCTTCTTTCCTTCCCTTCCCTTCTTTCCTTTCCTTCCTTTATCTCCCTCCCTCCCTTCCTTCCTTCATCTCTCCCTCCTTCCCTTCCTTATTTCCTTCTGTTATCCCTCCCTCCCTCCCTTCCTTCCCTCCTCCCTCCCTTTCTCTCTCTCTCTCCTTCCTTCCTTCCTTTCTTTCTTTCTCTCTCTCTCTCTCTCTCTCTCCTTCTCTCTTCTTTCTCTGTTTCTTCTTTCCTTTTTTTCTTTCTTCCATTTTTTTTTTCTTTCAACAGGGTCTCACTATGTTACCCAGGCTGTAGTGCAGTGATGCAATCTCTGCTCACTGCAGCCTCGACCGTCTAGGCTCAAGCAACTCTCCTGCCTCAGCCTCTCAAGTAGCTGGGACCAGAGGCGTGCACCACCACGTCTGACCATCTGTATTTTTTTAATAGAGACACGGTTTTGCCATGTTGCCCAGGCTGGTCTTGAACTCCTGAGCTCAAAGCGATCCACCTGCCTTGGCCTCCCAAAATGCTGGGATGACAGGCATGAGCCACTGCGCCCGGCACCAGGTCATGTTTTTTTGTTGTTGTTCAGCCAAGTTTGAGATTCCCTGAGCCAGGCAAATGTCAACTGCAGTTTCCAGCCCTCAGCATCTACACCTCTGGCGTCTTTCATACAGGATCATTTCAAACACCTTGTACTTCCCAGAGGTTCTGCTAAGCCGTGGAGCCCAGACAGATGTGTTTCTGAATGGGAGTGACTTCCTCCATTAAACCAGGATCGCAGCATGCGTTCATCTGAAAAGTGTTTCCAAACAGCCAGGACTATGCACCAAATCTTCAGTTCTAAAAATATCTCCACCTCTGTACAGTTGCACATCATCCAAGAGCCTTTTGCAGCTTGAAGCTCTTGCAAGAAGTGCCAGCTGCTCTTTTATTTTTAATTTTTTATTTTATTTATTTTTTAGAGGATTCTGACTGTTTCGCCCAGGCTGGAGTGCAGTGGCACAATCTCAGCTCACTGCAACCCTCGCCTCGCAGGTTCAAGTGATTCTGTCGCCTCAGCCTCCCGAGTAGCTGGGATTACAGGCGCCCACCCCCACGCCCAGCTAATTTTTTTTTTTTTTTGTATTTTTAGTAGAGACGGAGTTTCGCCAAGTTGGCCAGGCTGGTCTCGAACTCCTGGCCTCAAGTGATCACCCCGTCTCTGCCTCCCAAAGTGCCGGGATTACAGGCGTAAGCCACCACGCCCGGCCGCAGCTGCTCTTCATCATCGTCATAAAGGTAGTTCCAAGTACAGGCTCTGGATGGGGTGACAGGATGTCTCCTATCTCCTAAAGCTGACAATTGATACCGCTGACTGAACAAGCACTCTGGAAAATGACAGACACCGCATTCCCCAGGCTGACAGATGAGCTGTGAGAGCGATCCGAATGTTGTATGACTCCAGCCTCACACTATTCCTCTGTGTTTCATGGTAACCCTTATGTGACCGTTCCTCCCAGGGAAACCAAGAGCATAATTCTGGAGAAGTTCGCCTGTGTTCCTTGATACTTGATTGTGCCATTTCCTGGACACTGTGCAATTTCCTGGAGACACTTCCCAGCAGGGGAAACTGCGTGGATTGTTGGGTGAGTAGCATGTGTGCCATTAGAGCTCTGTACGAACCAGGAGGAATGAGATTCTTTTCTTTGGCAAACCTTGATTCAATACTTGGACCTAGAGTGCATGGATGTCCCAGTGAAGCTACTCTTTTATGCCCTTCCAGTAGCCATGAATAGGTTTTATTCAGGTCCAGCAATGTATGGGACCATCTCATTCATTCATTCATCCATCCATGCATCTGTCCATCCATCCATCCATCCATCCATCCATTCATCCATGTAGTCATGTTTTCAGTAAATAAGTGTTAAGTGTTATACCCAAATACTGGGACTCGAAGTCGGAAGAACAGGGCTTGTGTCCTAAAGGAGCTGGAGGCTGTAGTCAACAGAGGAAGTCCCCAAAGATAGCAGGTCCTAACAGCCTGGAAACTGGCAGTATTGTCTCATGTAGTCACAGGGACTTTTAGCAGGAATGTGTGCGTCAACAAAGACTGGTGTGGGACTTTTAGCAGGAACATGTGCAGTCAGCAAAGGCTGGTGTGTGTCTTTTAGTGGGAATGTGTGCAGTCAACAAAGGCTGGTGTGTGGGGAACACATCACAGTCTAGATGTGTGTCTGGACGCCACCTTGATTTTGAGAGTGTCTGTCATGAACATGTGGTATCTCTCATCTTGGCTGTTAGGAGAAACTGTCATAGAAGGGACACGCCACATTTTCAAAGGCAGGACAGGTTGGGGGGCTGGACCGCAGACATCAGAACTGATCCCCAGATCACAGAAGGTGCATCATACCCATTTCTCCATTTGGGCTGGAACTGGGGAGGTAGCAAGTCTTGCATCAGGTGCCGTAGTTAAGCCATTGCGTCTCTATCTTTCCAACTCCTCATCTCCTCATTAGCAACGACCAGGCTAACAGCCGTCCCCTCTGCACCCAGTTTTGCTGAGAGCAAAGCAAGACTGATGCATTCTGTCAGAGCAGTGCTCAGAACTAAATAGATGCCAGCCATGGTTTGGTGGTGGGGCTCTGGTGTCATTTGTCATTGAAGCAGAAAACTCGGTTGAGGTTATGTTTTCTGCAGTTCGGGCGCCATTAACCCAGGCATCGGGGAGAATATCTGTACGTAGAAAAAAGCTTTGGAATTGTGGCCTCTGAAGCTGTCTTTGTGAAGCACCGTCTCGGATTCAGGAATAGACATTTTACTCATCATTGTGTTTATCGCTTACTTATCATTTTTAGTTACTGCTGTTTTATCCTCTTATAATTCTTTGCCTTCATTCTGGAATATGTTGTCTATTTTCTTGCCTCGACACATGCCATCTTTTTTTGTTTGTTTGTTTTCTTCCTTCTAATCGTAACAAATGTATTGTGAACTCATTTTTTTCCTGACCCCTGGGGCTGCATTTCATAGACTTAGAATGAAGTCGTTGTTTTCATTTTGCCTGATTTGACCAATGGATGAAGAGGGTATTTTAATATTTCCAAAGGTGTAGAATTAAAATTAGTGATTTTTTTTTGCCTTTTTATTTTTTATTTATTTATTTTTTTTGAGACAGAGCCTTGCTCTCTCCCTAAAGCTGGAGAGCAGTGGCACGATATCAGCTCACTGCAAGCTCCGCCTCTGGGTTCATGCCATTCTCCTGCCTCACCCTCCCGAGTAGTGGGGACTACAGGCACCTGCCACCATGCCCGGCTAATTTTTTTGTATTTTTAGTAGAGATGGGGTTTCACCGTGTTAGCCAGGATGGTCACGATCTCCTGGTTTTACAGACTTATGGTTTTATAGACTTATGTTTCTATAAATTGAAATTTCTATAAATTGAAATTTTAATCATGTTATGAAATGTAATGTATTTATCCTGTCTTTTGTAGAGAGAGTTCTGGAAATCTCTGTCACTCTCTGCTTTAGATATTTTGGGGCTGCAGTACTAGAGACCTACAGGTTCATGATTATACTGTCTTCTTGGTGTAATGCTTCTCTTATTAGTTTGTTATTTTATTATTATTACTGTAAAAGATTTAGCATCCCAGCTCCTTGGGAGGCTGAGGCAGGAGAATCGCATGAACCTGGGAGGTAGAGGTTGCGGTGGGCTGAGATCACACCACTGCACTCCAGCCTGGGCAACAAGAGCGAAACTCTGTCTCAAAAAAAAAAAAAATAGATTTAGCTTTGGTTCTTTGATGTTCTATCCTTAACTATCTTTTATCTGATATTTACCATCAGATAGTTCACAAATCCACTGACAATTAGATATTAACATCTTTTTATATCATCTCCTATTTTTAATTGACTACTGCTATCGACCGAACATTGGTGTCCTTCCAAATTCTTTTGTAGAAATTGTCACCCCCCCCCAAGGGGGTGGCGTTAGGAAGTGGAGGCTTTGGGAGGTGATGGTGTCATGAGGGTGGAGCCTAATGAGGGATGGAGCCTCATGCATGAGATTCCTGCCCTTATAAAAGGATGATGAGCTCAGAGTGAGCTCACTGTCCCACTGCCTTGTGAGCACACAGGAAAAAGGCAGCCAACTGTTCACAATAGCAAAGACTTGGAACCAACCGAAATGCCCATCAATGATAGACTGGATAAAGAAAATGTGGCACATATGCACTATGGAATACTATGCAGCCAGAAAAAAGAATGAGTTCATGTCCTTTGCAGGGACAGGGATGAAGCTGGAAACCATCATTCTCAGCAAACTAACACAAGAACAGAAAACCAAACACTGCATGTTCTCACTCATCAGTGGAAGTTGAACAATGAGAACACATGGACACAAGGAGGGGAACATCACACACCAGGGCCTGTCAGGGGGTGGGGGGATAGGGGAGGGAGAGCATTAGGAGAAATACCTAATGTAGATGACAGGTTGATGGGTGCAGCAAACCACCATGGCACGTGTATACCTACGTAACAAACCTGCACGTTCTGCACATGTACCCCAGAACTTAAAGTATAATAAAAAAAAAAATTAAAAACAAAGAAAAAGGAGGCCAAGAAGAGAGTTCTCACCAGGAACCAACCATACTGGCACCCTTGTCTCAGACCTCCAGCCTCCAGAAGTGGGATACAGGAATGTTAACAGTTTAAGCTTCCGACTCTATGGTGTTTTATCCCAGCAGCCTGAACTAACACATAAATTGTATGCAAAGATGTGTAAATTCACATGCAGTTGTAAGAGGTAGTACAGAGTCATCCCATGTACCTTTACCAACCTTCCTGCAATTAGAACATCTTGCAAAACTCCAGTAAATCGCTCAACCAGATACGGACATTGATACAATCTGACCTGCTTCTTCAGATTTTCTTTTCTTTTTTTTTTTCTTCAGATGGAGTCTCACTCCATCACCAAGCTGGAGTGTGGTGGCGAGATCTCGGCTCCCTGCAACCTCCGCTTCCCGGGTTCAAGCGATTCTCTTACCTCAGCCTGCTGAGTAGCTGGGACTACAGGTGAGCCCCACCATGCCAGGCTAATTTTCGTATTTTTAGTAGAGATGGGGTTTCACCATGTTGGCCAGGATGGTCTCGATCTCTTGACATCGTGATCCGCCTGCCTTGGCCTCCCAAAGTGCTGGGGAATACAGGCCTGAGCCACCGCACCCGGCCGCCTTTTCAGATTTTCTCTTTTAGTTGTATGTGGGTGTGGGTGTGTTTGCAAGTATTTCATCGTATGCAATTAAAAAAAAATTTTTGCACTTTGGGGAGACCGAGGCAGGCGAATCACAAGGTCTGGAGTTCGAGACCAGCCTGACCAACATGGCGAAACCCTGTCTCTACTAAAAATACAAAAATTAGCTGGGCATAGTGGCAGGTGCCTGTAATCCCAGCTATGCGGGAGGCTGAGGCAGGAGAATCACTTGAACCCAGGAGGTGGAGGTTACAGTGAGCCAAGGTCACGCCATTGCACTCCAGCCTGGGTGACAGCGCAAGACTCAGTTTCAACCAAAAAAAAAATTGAATTATTTTAAAAAATTGTTGTGGGTCCATAGTAGGTGTGTATATATTTGTAGCTTACATGAGATGTTTTGATACAGGCATGCAATGTGTAAAAAGCACATCATGGAGAATAGGGTGTCCATCTCCTCAAGCATTTATCCTTGCGGTTACAAAGGGGGTTGGAGTGGGGGAGGTGGGGATGGTTAATAGGTACAAAAATTGGAAAGAATAAATAAGACATAGCACAATAGGGTGACTATTGTCAACCAACACACACACACACACACACACACACACACACACAGTTCCTGCTTCAATGGATGAAGTTTTTTTTTTTTTTTTTTTTTTTGAGATGGAGTCTCGCTCTGTTTCCCAGGCTGGAGTGCAGAGGCGTGATCTCAGCTCACTGCAACCTCCGCCTCCCCGGTTCAAACGATTCTCCTGCCTCAGCCTCCTGAGTAGCTGGGATTACAGGGACCCGCCATCAGGCCTGGCTAATTTTTGTATTTTTAGTAGAGACGGGGTTTCATCATGTTGGTCAGGCTGGCCTCGAACTCCTGACCTCATGTGATCTGCCTGCCTCGGCCTCCCAAACTGCTGGGATTACAGGCGTGAGCCACCGCGCCCAGCCGATGTTTTTGTTCCATTTGTTCAGTTTCTCTTCCTGATTGTTCTTTCATCTATTTCCCTTTCCACTGGTTCCCTTTAATTTACTCCCAAACTAACATCCCCCCACCAAGATAACCAACATCAACACCATCCTTCCCCACAAGAAAGGACCTTGACTTCTGCCACTCCCACACCACATAGTTTTGTTTTCTGCAATTTCAGCTCTGGAGTATTTGGGAGGAGGTGGCTGACAGAGCACAGCAACAATCCTTACACGGTCTGTATTCTTTTCCTTCCTTCCTTCCTTCCTTCCTTCCTTCCTTCCTTCCTTCCTTCCTTCCTTCCTTCCTTCCTTTCTTTTCTTTCCTTTCTTTTCTTTGTTTTTTTGAAGGAGTCTCACCCTGTCTCCCAGGCTGGAGTGCAGTGGTGCACTCTCAGCTCACTGCAAGCTCCACCTCCCCGGTTCAAGCGATTCTTCTGCCTCAGCCTCCCAAGTAGCTGGGATTACAGGCACCTGCCACCACTCCTGGCTAATTTTCGTATTTTTAGTAGAGAGGTGGTTTCCACATGTTGGCCAGGCTGGTCTTGAACTCCTGACCTCAGGTTATCCACCTGCCTCGGCCTCCCAAAGTGCTGGGATGACAGGCATGAGCCACTGTGCCCAGCCCACGGGGTCTGCATTCCGTTTTGCTGTTTCTTTACTGTGATGGTTACTATTGAGTGTCAACTTGACTGAATTGAAGCAAAGTATTGATCATAGGTGTTCCTGGGAGGTTGTTGATAAAGGAGATTAACATTTGAGTCAGTGGACAGGGCTAGGCAGACCCACCCTCCATCTGGACAGGCATCATTTGATCAGCTGCCAGCACAGCTAGGATAAAAGCAGGCAGAGGGCCGGGCGCGGTGGCTTACACCCGTCATCCCAGCACTTTAGGAGGCCGAGGCAGGCGGATCACCTGAGGTCGGGAGTTCGAGACCAGCCTGAGCGACATGGTGAAACCTCGTCTCTAGTAAAAATATAAAAATTAGCCAGGTGTGGTGGCACACGCCTGTAATCCCAGCTACTCAGGAGGCTGAGGCAGGAGAATTGCTTTAACCTGGGGGGCGGAGGTTGTAGTAAACCGAGGTCGCACCACTGCACTCCAGCCTGGACAGAACAAGACTCCATCTCAAAATAATAATAATAATAAAAGCTGGGCGTGGTGGCTCACGCCTGTCATCCCAGCAGTTTGGAAGGCTGAGGCAGGCAGATCACGAGGTCAGGAGATTGAGACCATCCTGGCTAACACGGTGAAACCCCATCTCCACTAAAAAATACAAAAAATTAGCCGGGCGTGGTGGCGGGCGCCTGTAGTCCCAGCTACTCAGGAGGCTGAGGCAGGAGAATGGCTTGAACCCGGGAGGCAGAGGTTGCAGTGAGCCGAGATCGCGCCACCGCACTCCAGCCTGGGCGACAGAGCAACACTCCATCTCAATAAATAAATAAATAAATAAATAATAACAATAATAAAATAAAAGTCTGTGGCATCGTAGGAGGGACATGTGATTTGTTTAGGAAAATAAAACAACAACAGAAGCTTGTCTGTGGCTGACGGCATGATAAAAGTTCTGATATCTGTCCCGGCTCCAATCTCGTGTTCACTTGTCATCCTCAAAGCTGGGAGCCTGGTGAGAGATGTTGGATCTGAGAGGCAGATCCCTCATGGTTTGGTGCTGGTCTTGCAGTAGTGAGTCAGTTCTCTCGGGATCTGGTTGTTTAAAGGCTGGGAGCACGGTGGCTTACGCCTGTAATCCCAGCACTTTGGGAGGCTGAGGCAGGCGGATCACCTGAGGTCAGAAGTTCGAGACCAGCCTGGCCAACATGGTGAAACCCGGTCTCTACTAAAAAATACAAAAATCAGCTGTGCATGGTGGCAGGTGCCTGTAATCCCAGCACTTTGGGAGGCCGAGGCAGGTGGATCACCTGAGGTCAGAAGTTCGAGACCAGCCTGGCCAACATGTTGAAACCCGGTCTCTACTAAAAATACAAAAATCAGCTGGGCATGGTGGCAGGTGCCTGTAATCCCAGCACTTTGGGAGGCCGAGGCAGGTGGATCACCTGAGGTCAGAAGTTCAAGACCAGCCTGGCCAACATGGTGAAACACCGTCTCTACCAAAAATACAAAAATTAGCCAGGCGTGGTGGCTGGTGCCTGTAATCCCAGCTACTTGGGAGGCTGAGGCAGGAGAATCGCTTGAATCCGGGAGTGAGCCAAGATTGCTCCACTGCATTCAAGCCTGGGCAACAGAGTGAGACTCCGTCTCATAAATACATAAAAATAAAATAAAGTGTGTAGCACCTCTCCCCCATATCCAGCTCCCACACTCACCACGTGACATGCCTTCTCCCACGTTGCCTTCCGCCATGACTGTAAGCTTCCTCATACCTCACCAGAGGCTGAGCACATGCTGGCACCATGCTTCGTGTATAGCCTGCAGAACTATCAGCCAAGCCAATGAAACCTCTCTTCTTTATAAATTAGCCTCACGGGGTAGATTGCCTGAGCACAGGAGTTCGAGACCAGCCTGGACAACATGGTGAAACTATGTCTCTACTAAAAATATGAAAAATTAGCCTGGCGTGGTGGCAGGCACCTGTAATCGCAGCTACTCGGGAGGCTGAGGCAGGAGAATCGCTTGAACCCAGGAGGCGGAAGTTGCAGTGAACTGAGATCGCACCACTGCACTCCAGCCTGGGTGACAGAGCAAGACTCCATCTCCAAAAAATAAAAAACAAATTACCCAGCCTCAGATATTTCTTTATAGCAATGCAAGAAAGGCATATTACACTGCGTAACTTTGTCAAGCTTCTCCAGGAGCCTGAGTCTCTGGTTCTGTTCAGTGAATATTCATAGGTTTATAAGACTTGGGCCGGGTGTGGTGGCTCACGCCTATAATCCCAGCACTTTGGGAGGCTGAGACGGGTGGATCATCCAAGGTCAGGATTTGGAGACCAGCCTGGCCAACATGGTGAAACCCCAACTCTAGTAAAAATACCAAAAAATTAGCTGGGTGTGGTGGTGGGCACCTGTAATTGCAGCTACTCAGGAGGCTGAGGCAGGAGAATTGCTTGAATCTGGGAAACGGAGGTTGCAGTGAGCCAAGATCGTGCCATTGCACTCCAGCCTAGGCAACAGAGCAAGATTCTCTCTCCAAAAAATTAAAAATAAATTACCTAGCCTCGGATATTTCTTTATAGCAATGCAAGAATGAACTAATGCACTGCGTGACTTTGTCAAGCTTTTCCGGGAGCCTGAGTCTCCGGTTCTGTTCAATGAATCTTTATAGGTTTATAAGACTCAGTGACAGAAAGGTCCTGAAAGGGTTTTCAGGCTGCAAAGGATGTTTTCTATGTGAGTTTGGCTGCAGTGGGAGGTTTGGTTCCATGAAATTGTCCTGATGATCTGATGTTTTTTCTCGATATGTGGTGAGGGGGGCTGGCTGTTCTCTGCAGAGCATATGGGAAGTTGGGGGTGGGTGGGTTGCTGGGTGGGCAAAAGAATCAAGTGCCTCCACTGGCATTTGGTTGGGGGAAGCCTGGGATTTCAACTCGTCGCAGAGTACAGGGCAATGCTACCTAGCAGAGAACACACCCCTGACCCACATGACTCGTGAGTGTGGGACCCAGATGGCCACAAAGACAGAAAACCTGTTTACGATTCACCTGAGCGTAGCACTTAACTCGGCTTACACATATATACAAAGGATTGATTTTCCAGTCAAAAAAAAAAAACACTGCGTTAACAGAGAGACGATTGGACTGGCTGCGTTTCATCACCATTTGGGGAAATCAGAGGACAGGAGAGGACTCATGGTGTTCGAGTTACCAGGACACCAGGCCGGGGCGGCCTGTGATTGCCGTCGGCCACCCAGTCGTCTAATGGGGTAGATGATCATGTCATCTTGTGGATTCAACACATAGAGGCACGACGCATATTACTGCCTCGTTATTTCCAGGGTAGAGGTAAGCCCAAAAGTTGAGATGTACCAATGCATGTTGCTTTATTATTTATTTATTTATTTATTTTTTGAGACGGAGTTTTGCTCTTGTTGCCCAGGCTGGAGTGCAATGGCACAATCTCGGCTCACCGCAACCTACGCTTCCTACGCTTCCTGAGTTCAAGTGATTCTCCTGCCTCAGCCTCCTGAGTAGCTGGGATTACAGGCGCCCACCACCACGCCTGGCTAATTTTATATACATACATACATACATACATATATATATATATACACACACACACATACACATACATACATATGTATACACACATACATATATATACACACACACATATATATACACATACATACATATATATATACACACACACACATATATATATCTATATATATTTTTTTTTAGTAGAGACGGGGTTTCACCATGTTGGTCAGGCTGGTCTCAAACTCCCGACCACAGGTGATCCGCCCGCCTCGGCCTCCCAAACTGCTGGGATTACAGGCGTGAGCCACCGCGCCCGGCCACATATTCCTTTATTATAATTTGCATGATGTGGATATTAGGATATTATTAAATTTTCTTAGGGTGATAGTAAGGATGATTTCATTTTTTAGAAGAGTAAAGCGGGAATTAAAAATACATTTTGGGGCCTTGCACAGTGGCTCACACCTGTAATCCCAGCACTTTGGGAGGCCGTGGTGGGTGGATCACTGAGTCCAGGAATTCGAGACCACTCTGGCCAACATGGTGAAACCTCGTCTCTACTGAAAATACAAGAATTAGCCAGGTGTGGTGGTGCACACCTGTAGTCCCAGCTACTTGGGGGGCTGAGGCAGGAGAATCGCTTGAACCCTGGAGGTGGAGGTTGCAGTGAGCTGAGATTGCACCACTGCACTCCAGCCTGGGTGACAGAGTGACACTGTCTCAAAAAAATATATATCTATCTCTATCTATCTATCTATCTATCTATCTATATCCTATATATCCATATATATATACACATATATATATGCCAGACTCAGTAGCTTACACCTGTAATCCCAGTGCTTCAGGAGGCTGAGGTGGGAGGATTGCTTGAGGCCAGGAGTTTGAGACCAGCCTGGGCAGCATAGCAAGATCCCATCTCTACAAAACATAAAAATAGTTGGCTGGATGTGAAGATGTGCACCTATAATCCCAGCTACTCAGGAGGCTGAGGTGGGAGGATCGTTTGAGCTCAGGAAGTGGAGGCTGCAGTGAGCTATGATCATGCCATTGCACTCCAGCCTGGTCCACAGAGCAAGAACTGGTCTCTAAAAAAACAATGCATCATTTTACATCCATGCGATGGAATATTACTTAGCCATAAAAAAGGAATGAAGTGTGGATACATGCCACCACACAGATGAACCTCAAAAAGTATTATCGTAAGTGAAAGAAGCCAGACGCAATAGGTCACCTGTATGATTCCAGGTCTGTAAAGTAGCAGAATAGTTCAGTTCAAAGAGACAGAAACTAGATTAGTGGTTGCCGTGGAATAGGGCCCGGGGAATGGTAGTGGCTGCTGTTGTATATGGTGTTTCTTTTGGGGTGATGAAAATGTTTTGGAACTCAAGAGTGATGATGGTTGCCCAACATGGTGAACATCCTGAATGTCACAGAATTGTACACATTAAATGGTTAATTTTTTTTTTTTTTTTTGAGACAGAGTCTTGGTATGTCACCAGGCCTGGAGTGCAGAGGCACGATCTCGGCTCACTGCAACCTCCACCTCCCGGATTCAAGTGATTCCCCTGCCTCAGCCTCCCGAGTAGCTGGGATTACAGGCATGCACCACCATTCCCGGCTAATTTTTTTTTTTTGTATTTTAGTAGACACAGGGTTTCACCATGTTGGCCAGGATGGTCTCGAACTCCTGGCCTTGTGATCCACCTGCCTCGGCCTCCCAAAGTGCTGGGATTACAGACGTCAGCCACCGCGCCCGGCCTAAAATGGTTCATTTTATGTTATGTGACTTATATTTCCTTTTTATTTTTTTGAGATAGGGTCTCCCTCTGTTGCCCAAGCTGGAATGCAGTGGTGCAATCCCAGCTTACCGCAGCCTCTACCTCCTGGGCTCGAGGGATCCTCCCACCTCAGCCTCCATAGTAGGTTGGACTTCAGGTACATGCCACCACACCTAATTGTTTTTTAATAGACATGAGGTCTCACTGTGTTGCCCAGGCTTGTCTCAAACTCCTGGACTCAAGCAATCCCCTCTCTTTGGCCTCCCAAAATGTTGGGATTACAGGCATGAGCCACTGAATCGGCAATGACTTACATTTCAATAAAACATAATAATATATTGATTACGAAGATGCCAATTTCCTCAGAGGCCAGGCTCTGCCCAGTGCTGAGTTGGCAAACGTTGGGTGCTCACGTGTGTGCCTTTAACTGGATCAAACCAAAAGATGGAACAGGGCGCCTCTCTGCTGACTGTCATTTGTCCTGGATGCAAGAATCACATAGGAAACCACCGCTTTGGGACAGGTTTTTTGCATCGTGATTCCAATGGGGGTAGATGATGACTGTGTTTTCAGAAAGGGCTAAGCCGGTGATGATGGCATCGGCATAGCTGTGATTATGAATCCCAATGGATTCTAAAGATCCTCTAGATTATTCCAAGAACAGGAATCAATATCCGATTCATCTGCCTATGGATTAACCTTCAGGAGAAGGACCATCCTGGAAGGGGATCTTTGGTTCTATGAATCCTAATGAATTGCAAAGATCCTCTAGATTATTCCAAGAACAGGGATCAATACCTGATTCATCTGTCTATGGATTAACCTTCAGGAGAGGGATGACCCTGGAAGAGGCTCTTTGGTTCTATGAATCCTCATGAATCCTGAACATCATCGTGATTATTCCAAGGACAGGGATCAATACCTGATTCGTCTGCCTACGAATTAACCTTCAGGGGAGGGAAGACCCTGGAAGATACTCTTTGATTCTGAAGGTGCACACCACCACACACTATCTCAAAACATAAAAACATTTTTTAAAGTTTATTTTTAGCAGAGACGGGGATCTCACTACATCTACAGGTGCACACCACCACACCCTATCTCAAACATAAAACATTTTTTAATGTTTATTTTTAGCAGAGATGGGGATCTCACTACATCTACAGGTGCACACCACCACACCCTATCTCAAAACATAAAAACATTTTTTAATGTTTATTTTTAGCAGAGATGGGGATCTCACTGTGTTGCCCAGGCTGGTTGCAAACTCCCGAACTCAAGCCATCCTCTTGCTTTGGCCTCCGAAAGCACTGGGCTTACCGGTGTGTGCCAGGGATTGAGGCATGAGTTACGACCACAGGCTGTCACAGAGACGGGCCAGTCCTCAAGCTGAGTTATTTTTTGGTTCAGTCTCCTTGAAAATAATCAGTGCAGATATGGTTTCTGTTTTCAAGAAGGCTTTGCTTCTACCCATGACGCCCTTATTTTATGCCAGGATATTTCCAGCACCATTTCATTTAAACCTCTCCACTGGCCGGGCGCGGTGGCTCACGCCTGTCATCCCAGCTTGGGAGGCCAAGGCAGGCAGATCACGAGGTCAGGAGTTCAAGACCAGCCTGGCCAACATGGTGAAACCCCGTCTCTACTAAAAATACAAAAAATTAGCCAGGCGTGGTGGTGCACGCCTGTAATCCCAGCACTTTGGGAGGCCGAGGCAGGCGGATCACGAGGTCAGGAGTTCAAGACCAGCCTGGCCAACATGGTGAAACCCCGCCTCTACTAAAAATACAAAAAATTAGCCAGGCGTCGTGGTGCACGCCTGTAATCCCAGCACTTTGGGAGGCCAAGGTGGGCAGATCACGAGGTCAGGAGTTTAAGACCAGCCTGGCCAACATGGTGAAACACCATCTCTACTAAAAATACAAAAATTAGGCCAGGCGCAGTGGCTTATGCCTGTAATCCCAGCACTTTGGGAGGCCAAGGGGTGGATCTTGAGGTCAGGAGTTTGAGACCAGCCTGGCCAACATGATGAAACCCCCATCTCTACTAAAAACACAAAAATTAGGCCAGGCACAGTGGCTCATGCCTGTAATCCCAGCACTTTGGGAGGCCGAGGCAGGCAGATCACAAGGTCAGGAGTTCAAGACCAGCATGGCCAACATGGTGAAACACCGTCTCTACTAAAAATACAAAAAATTAGCCGGGCATGGTGGCGCCTCTAGTCCCAGCTACTCGGGAGGCTGAGGCAGGAGAATAGTGTGAACCCGGGAGGCAGAGCTTGCAGTGAGCCGAAATCGCACCACTGCACTCCAGCCTGGGCGACAGAGCAATACTCCATCTCAAAACAAAACAAAACAAAACAAAAGTTAGCCAGGCGTGGTGGCAGGTGCTTGTAATCCCAGCTACTCAGGAAGCTGAGGCAGGAGAATGGCTTAAACCTGGGAGCGGAGGTTGCAGTGAGCTGAGATCTTGCCATTGCCTTGGGGACAGAGGAAGACTCTGTCTCAAAAACAAAAATCAAACCTCTTACCACTTAAGGTGAAGCATACCCATCACATATTTAGGCCAGGAAACAGAGGGGTAAAAAAGTCCTACAGCCACTGATGGCCCCCAGGTCCCTGCCCACTAGACCACAGGACAGTATGGTTGTCCACCCCATCAATTACCCCGCCTCAGATATTTCTTTAGAGCAATGCAAGAATGGCCTACTGGACTGCATATTAGCATATGCAGTGTGTTAAGATGACATAAGATAACATGACATAAGATTAAGATAAGATTACATAAGACTATCATATTGTATTTTTACTGTGCCTTTTCTACGTTTAGATACGATTAAATACACAAATATTTACCATTGTGTTACAGTTACCTACAGCATTCAGTACAGTCATATGCTGTTGTGAACCCAAAAGTACCTAAGGTCATCCCCCCCTTACCTGCACGTTTGCTTTTCCCGGTTTCGGTTACCCAAAGTCAACTGTGGTCTGAAAATATTAAGTGGGAAATTCCAGAAGTAAATAATGTATAAGTTTTAAATTGCACATCATTCCCAATAGTGAGGTCAAACAGCCCTGTCCCACTATATCCTGCCTGGAACTTGAATCATCGCTTTGCCAGCCCCTCCACGCTGTCTGCACTACCCACACCACCCAAATCAACAGTGGCCGTATTGTAGTGTTTACGTTCAAGTAACCCTCACATTACTTCATAATGGATCCAATGCACAAGAGTAGTGATGCTGGCATACAGTTATCATTTTTCTATTTTATTATTACTGTTGAGCTGGATGCGGTGGCTCACGCCTGTAATCCCAGCACTTTGGGAGGCCGAGGCGGGCGGATCATGAGGTCAGGAGTTCGAGACCAGCCCGGCCAATATGGTGAAACCTTGTCTCTACTAAAAATACAAAAATTAGCCGGGCATGTTGGTGCATGCCTGTAATCCCAGCTACTCAGGAAGCTGAGGCAGAAGAATTGCTTGAACCTGGGAGGCAGAGGTCGCAGCGATCCAAGATCGCACCAGTGCACTCCAGCCTGGGCAACAGAGGGAGATTCCATCTCGAAAAAAAAAAAAAAGGCAATTATTAGTTACTGTTAATTTCTTACTGTGCCTAATTAATAAATTAAACTTTATCATAGGTATGTATGTGTAGGGGAAAACATTAAAAAAAGTACCTGAGTCAGGTCTCAATCAAAATTGAGAACATTGCTTTTGCCAAGGTTAAGGATGCACCTGTCACACAGACACTGCAGGTCTTGATGACACGTGTCCAAGGTGGTTGGGCACAGCTTGGTTTTATACCTTTTAATGAGACATCAGTCAATACATGTAGGATGTACGTTGGTTCCTTCCAGGTCATAGGTAGATTTAAACATTTTCTACTAAACACACACACACAAAAAAAACAATAGCCAGGCATGGTGATGGATGCCTGTAGTCCCAGCTACTCGGGAGGCTGAGGCAGGAGAATCACTTGAACCCAGGAGGTGGAGGTTGCAGTGAGCCGAGATCACGCCACTGCACTCCAGCCTGGGCGACAGAGCGAGACTCCATCTCAAAAAAAAAAAAAAAAAAAAAAAAAATTCTGATTGATTGGCAGTTGGTGGTTGAAAGAGTTATTATCAAGAAGAATGGCTGGGTTAAGACATGGGGTTGTGGAAACCAAGGTTTCATCATGCAGATGAAGCCTCTAGGTAGCAGGCTTCAATAGATTATCAACATTTCTCACCAGAATTAACGTCTATGTTGATGTGAATACTGCTCGCCTTTTCCTGAATTCCACAGAGGAGGAGGGTATTAGGAGACATGTCCAACCCACACTTCCATCATGGCCTGAACTAGTTGTTTGTTTGTTTGTTTGAGACAGAGTCACGCTCTGTCACCCAGGCTGGAGTGCAATGGAGCAATCTCAGCTCACTGCAACCTCCACTCCCGGGTTCCAGCAATTTTCTGCCTCAGCCTCCCAAGTAGCTGGGATTACAGGCATCCACCACCACGCCTGACTAATATTTTTGTATTTTTAGTAGAGACGAGGTTTCACCATGTTGGCCAGGTTGGTCTCGAACTCCTGACCTCATGATCCACCCGCCTCAGCCTCCTGAAGTGCTGGGATTACAGGCGTGAGCCCCTGGGCCCGGCCTCTGAACTAGTTTTTCAGCTTAACTTTGGAATGCCATTAACTGAGAGGAAGGGTCCGTTGAGATGGCTGGGGCTTAGAGTTTTATTTTTGGTTTACACTGGAATTTGGTTTGCAGTCTAAGGGCAATGAGCAGTACCACACAGCCTAGGTGTGTGGTAGGCTATACCACCTAGGTTTGTGCGAGTGTGCTCTACAATTTTTGCACAGCGATGAAATCCCCCGATCACACATTTCCCAGAATGTATCCCCATCGTTAAGCAACACATGGCCGGGCGCCATGGCTCATGCCTGTCATCCCAACACTTTGGGAGGCCGAAGCGGGCAGGTCACCTGAGGTCAGGAGTTTGAGACCAGCCTGGCCAACATGGCGACAACTCGTCTAAACTAAAAATACAAAAAATTAGCTGGGCGTGCTGGTGGGTGCCTGTAATGCCAGGTACTCAGGAGGCTGAGGCAGGAGAATCGCTTGAACCTGGGAGGTGGAGGTTGCAGTGAGCTGAGATTGCGCCATTGCATTGCAGGCTGGGCGACGAGAGGGAAACTCCATCTCAAAAAAAAAGAAAGAAAGAAAAAATGACACATGACTGTATTTTCATCCGTAATGTTCCAATACTGGGTACCTCGGACAGGGCTTTTGAGACATACTCCACAGAATCATATCTTGACCTTTAGACATTAAGTTGTGGAAGACTCCTGTCAAACAGTTAATTTCCATGTCAAGTCAATGCCCCAGAAAGAAAAAGATAGCTATAGGCCAGGTGCGGTGGCTCACGCCTGTAATCCCAGCACTTTGGGAGGCTGAGGCGGGTGGATCACGAGGTCAGGAGTTCAAGACCAGCCTGGCCAAGAAGGTGAAACCCCGTCTCTACTAAAAATACAGAAATTAGCCGGGCGTGGTGGCGGGCTCCTGTAATCCCAGCTACTCGGGAGGCTGAGGCAGGAGAATGGCGTGAACCCAGGAGGCGGAGGTTGCCGTGAACCGAGATCGCACCACTGCACTCCAGCCTGGGAGACAGAGCAAGACTCTGTCTCAAAAAAAAGAAAAGAAAAAAACATAGCTACCTCTTCAAGGTCTTAGCCTGTCTTCCTACGATGCTGCTTTTTACCCTTCTCAATGTATAAACATGTAACATCTAGGCAATATAATCTCACAATTTTTCCTGGTTGAGAGCCAAGCCTCCTTCCCCCATCTCCTGGGTTGGTCTTAAAGTAACCCAGACCACAGATTGGAATATAAATGACTTTCATGTGGCTTCACTTTCTTCTTTGACCTTCAGGTATCCTGACCCAGGCAAGCAGATTTTAAAGCTCATTTCTAGCAAAAGTCCTGCTTCGTTGAAAGCTCCAGCACCCTCTTTCTAAAGGATAAGGGAGAAGGAGTTGGTGAAGTGTTCCTAGCAACCTTCAAAAAAATGGAAATGAATTGATCCAATTCGGTTTCTTCAATTTCTGCAAGTCTTTGAAATTCTAGCCGTGGAAATTTTTATAAGTGGCAAAGCAGGGTAAAAAATATAGCATTCGATGTTTTAGAATTCAGGGCCTCCAAGGAGGCGGCATAAATTGTGGTGCGCCCTTCCTGTGGCTGGAGGAAGTCGTAGAAGTGTCCCGGATGATTGACAGCACTCAGGCAGCTGCCAACGGTACAAGGATTGCTTACAGAATATGCCTTAGGTGCTAGGACAGACGGCTCACGGTTAAGTTATATATGCAGAATAATTCCCCTGCAGAAGTGACAGAAAGAGTCACCAGGCAGGACTAACGGCAGCTTTCTGCTTGGAAAGGGGTGAATGAAGCATTAATATATCAAAGGAATGGATGCATTTCAGAGAGTGTATAAACTACTCGCCGGAGGCCAGGACGGAGCAGTAAACAGCAGCAAGTGGACAGGCACCTAGACCTCGGCTTTTTCACAAATTCCTTTCATGAATGTGTAAAAATGTGTAACGTTTGTGGGATGACATGATTGGCTACTCAAAGTATCTGCCATCTGGGGAGTGCTGGTGTTTGGGGCTGGATGATTATCTATGGCGGGGCCATCCTGTGCACTACAGGGCATTTACCAACATCCCTGGTGGCCTCTACGCAGGAGATGCCAGAAGCACACCCTCCACCCCGGAGTCAAGATGACCAAATACATCTCCAGACATCAGCAAGGGTCCTGTGGGAAGTACAGTTGTGCCTGGTTGCAAACCACTGCCATAGATGATAGATGGATTAGAGATAGATGATAGATAGATAGATAGATAATAGATAAATAGAAGGATGGGTAGATAGGCAGGTAGATAGATGATAGATGGATTAGAGACAGATGGATGTGTAGATAGGTAGGTAGACAGATGATGGATGGATAGATAGATACATGATAGAGAAATGGATGGATGGATGGGTAAGTAAGTGGATAAATAGATATAGATAGGGAGATAGATAAATAGATGACAGCTAGCTACATAAATAAATACAGAGTAGATAGATAGACAGATTATATAGATGGATGGATAGATCGATGGATGGATTGATGGATACCTGGATAGATAAATAGATAGATGATAGCAAGATAGATAGATAAATACATAGAGTAGATAAATAGGTGGATAGATAGGTGGGTGGGTGGGTGGATGGATGGATGGATGGGTGGGTGGGTGGGTGGGTGGGTGGATGGATGGATAGATACACAGATACCTAGGTAATAGATAGAAGACAGAGGTTTCCCAGCCTGTCCTCTCTATCATTGAGTGCCAACAGGCGGGAAGCTGGGCATCTCTCTTGGTGTCGGATACAGAGGCACAGATGGGTACGTGATAGATAGATGTGTAGATAGATAGATGATAGATAGATGATAAACAGACTAGATACATAGATGATAGACGGATGGATTGATAGATGATGGATGGATGGATGGATAGACAGATACATGATGGATGCATGGATGGATGGACTAGATAGATGATAGATGGATGGGTAGATAGATTGATTAGAGAGAGGTTAAGGGAAAGAGAGCTATAGATTGATACACAGAGAGATGGGTGAAGGAAGGAAGGAGGGGAAAAGGGAGAAGAGAGAAGGAGCAATGTGAGAGAGAGGGTCAGTCATGCTAACAGTCTTTTTCAGCCTCAGTGCTGCCAATATTTGGTGGTGCATGACTCTTTGTGGTGGGGCCGTCCATCCTGTGCACGGTTGGGTGTTGAGCAGCGTCCCCGAGCTCCACCCATCAGGGGCCAGGAGCACCTATCTCCTCCACCTCCCTTGTGACAACTGAAAATGTCTGCAGACATTTCCAGATAAGCCCTGGGAGGTCCGAATCACTCCCTTTGAAGAACCAACCGTGACAGACATTTAAAACTATATGCGCAAGATTTTAGACTTGCATAACTACAGAACACATTAAAATTCCAAGTGAGTTATCACTCTCTTCCAGACCAAAACAAGAACAAAGAAAACACCCCTGAGATCCACAGCAGCCCCTGAGCACCACTGCTTCATCTTCAAAGGAGAGGTTTCTCCCTGTCCAAGTGCGGAGGGGCAGGAATCTGGGTATCTCCCAGGGTCTGGGATGCAGAGGCGTAGAGGAGAAGCTGGTGCGTGTGAACATCCCACCGGCCTCCACCTGCTAGCATCCATGCTGGCCGGGATCCACCATCCCTCTCTAAGAAGCAGTTCCCACATCTGCATAGAGCCAATTCCATACCTACTCTGGGGAAAGTGACTTGGGGATGGAAGACATCAGGGCTGGCCTTTGTCAAGCACCCAGTGACAATTACATGCCTGGCCTTTCTCCAATCAAAACATTTCGGCAGCACTTTCAGCTCAATTCTGGAGCTAGATTCTGCTAGATTCAGCTAGATTCTCAGCTAGATTCTGGACCAGTTGGTGAGAGTTAGGTGTGGGGTGCTGGCCACACCTGCAGGCTCCCAGGTTTGGTGCACACCTTTGTGAGCAAAGCATTCTAGCCTGTACCCCAGTGCACATCTGCAGGTGTGCAGATGTTATACGTGCCCATTATGGATGCCCCTGATGCTGCACCACACATAGATAAACCTTTTAAAACCATGACATATAAAGAAATGCAGACAGCACTTCCAATATTTAGTTCCTAACCCTAAGGCTGACTTTGTATGCTCTCTCTCAAGTAGCACGTTTTGAATGCAGGTGTATTTTTAATTAAAAAATGAATTATGATAAAATATGCATAGCATCAAATTTACCATTGTAACTTTTTTTTTTTTTTTTGAGACAGAGTCTCGCTCTGTCACCCAGGCTGGAGTGCAGTGGCACAATCTCGGCTCACTACAACCTCTGCCTCCCGGGTTCAAACAAATCTCTTGCCTCCGCCTCCCGAGTAGCTGGGATTACAGGCACCATTTTTAGTAGAGACAAGGTTTCACCCTGTTGGCCAGGCTGGTCTCGAACTCCTGACCTCAGGTGATCCACCTGCCTTGGCCTCCCAAAGTGCTGGGATTCCAGGCATGAGCCACTGCACCTGACCCATTCGACTTTCTTTCTTTTGGTCCCAATGTGACGACTCTGAGGACCTCATTCAAGTGGTATCATAGAGTATTTTTCCTTTTTAGGACTGGTTTCTTTTACTCAGCGTAATGTCCTCATGGTTTGTCAATGCTTGATCAGAGCTTCTGTCCTTTTTGAAGGCTGAATAATATTCCACCGTATAGACAGACCACATTTTGCTTACCTATTTATCTGCCAGTGACCACTTGGGGAGGCCTTCCACGTTGGGGCTATGGTGAGTAACACTGCTATGAACACAGGTGTGCGAATATTGGTTCAAGTCCCAATTTGAGGGAGCGGGTGCATAGACCCAGAAGTGCATTTGCTAGATCCTGTGGGAATCCCATCTTCAACCTTTTAAGGTTGATGTGGTTACTCTGTTGAAACGCCAAGAACAACCTTCCTGGGACTGGCAGAGGGCAGGTAATTGCAAGCCCTTGTCTTGTGCTACAACACAAGCCTGCACTCTTTCAGTATGCCATTCTCTGTTGTTTGGTGCACAGTCATACGTTTTAATACATGTATGCATTCAGGTACCCAAGACCCCATCAGGATTCAGAACAAGTCCATGACTGCAGAGAATTCCCTCACCTTGCCCATCCACAGGCAACCCCAATCCTCAGCCCTAACCTCTGGCAAGCACTGGTCTGTTTTTTGTCTCTGTATTTGCCGGGTCCACAAAGTCATATACGTGCCTTCATGCAGTAAGTACCCCTTGGAAAGTGGCTTCTTTCACTTCGTAATATGCATTCGAGATGCAGTTAAGTTTTTTTTGTTTTTTTTTTACTTTAAGTTCTGGGATACATGTGCAGAACGTGGAGGTTTGTTGCATAGCTATACATGTGCCATGGTGATTTGCTGTACCCATCAATCCGTCATCTAGGTTTTAAGCCCTGCATGCATTAGGCATTTGTTCTAATGCTCTCGCTCCCCTTGCCCCCCAACCCCCAGCAGGCCCCGGTGTGTGATGTTCCCCTCCTTGCGTCCATGTGTTCTCGTTGTTCAACTCCCATTTATGAGTGAGAACATGAGGTGTTTGGTTTTCTGTTCTTGTGTTAGTTTGCTGAGAATGATGGTTTCCAGTTTCATCCATGTCCCTGCAAAGGACATGAACTCATCCTTTTTTATGACTGCATAGTATTCCATGGTGTCTATGTGCCACATTTTCTTTATTCAGTCTATCATTGATGGGCATTTGGGTTGGTTCCAAGTCTTTGCTATTGTGAATAGTGCTGCAGTAAACATATGTGTGCATGCGTTTTTATAGTAAAATGATTTATAATCCTTTGGGTATATACACAGTAATGGGATTGCTGCGTCAAATAGTATTTCTGGTTCTAGATCCTTGAGGAATCGCCACACTGTCTTCCACAATGGTTGAACTAATTTACATGTCCAGCAACAGTGTAAAAGCGTTCCTATTTCTCTACAGCCTTGCCAGCATGTGTTTTTTCCTGATTTTTTAATAATTGCCATTCTAACGGGCCTGAGATGGTATCTCATTGTGGTTTTGATTTGCATTTCTCTAATAACCAGCGATGATTAGCTTTTTTTTCATATGTTTGTTGGCCGCACAGGCAACCTACAGAATGGGAGAAAATTTTTGCAACCTATCCACCTGACAAAGGTGTAATATCCAGAATCTACAAGGAACTTAAATAAATTTACAACAACAACAAAAAATAAACAACCCCATCAAAAAATGGGCAAAGGATAGGAACAGACACTTCTCAAAAGATGCAGCCAAGTTTTTACCTGAAACAATGGTCCACTCCTTTTTCTTGCCTTCCTGTGGATGGGAAGATATTCCTTTTGGAAAGAAGGAGATGGTGTTTGGACCCACGAGTGCTTAGAAAAATTGCACACTGCTTTTACTCTGCAAAATGAACGCCAACTCCAAGGAAGTCTCTCTCCTTTCTTTACCCCTGCCTCAGGTCACTGGTTGCTTTTTCCTTATTTTCCCATCTAAGATTCTTGCCTTGTGTTTATGTGGACTCGATTGGAAAGACAGAGAAGAAAATATATCCTAGGGTGTGTCCACAGACATAGCACCTAGAAGATAGAAGACAGTTGCAATTACCTACCCTCCACAATTCCCAGAAAGGTGGTTCTTAGCGTTTTCAACAGAGTAACCACATCACCCTATTCATACTCTGCCATTCCTCTATCTATAACCAAATGGGACATTGGATGCTCAAAACCATTATTAATAAAAATTACCTCGGGTGCGGTGCCTTACGCCTATAATCCCAGAACTTTGGGAGGCTGAGGCAGGTAGATCACAAGGTCAGGAGTTCAAGACCAGCCTGGCCAAGATGGTGAAACCCCATCTCTACTAAAAATACAAAAATTAGCCAGGTGTGGTGGTGGATGCCTGTAGTCCCAGCTACTTGGGAGGCTGAGGCAGGAGAATCACTTGAACCCAGAAGGCGGAGGTTGTAGCCAGCCGAAATTGCACCACTGCACTCCAGCCTGGTGAGAGAGTGAGACTCCATCTCAAAAAAAAAAAAAAAAAAAAAAATGTGTTCCGTAGCAGACAGAAATGGTCAGAAAATGGGGTCTCCCTTACAGGCTCCAGAAGGAACCAGCCATGCCAACACCTGGATTTTACCCCGGGAGACCCATTTCGGAGTTCTGACCTCTAGGACTGCAAGATCATCTATTGGTGTTGCTTGAAGTCACCTAAAGCAGTTTAGTGCTGTGGGCATTTGTCACAGCAGTCACTGGACGTGCACCTGCCTCCCAAATCCCACCCTGTCCAGGTGGCTGTAATGCACGTTTAAGAGGCTCCGTTTTGTAGATACAGGGTCTTGCTGTATTGCCCAGGCTGGTCTCAAACTCCTGGGCCCAAGCAGTCCTCCAAATGGGCTCATCCAGTTTAGAAGAAATTGCCCCAGACGCCGGACATTTCTTACTATGGCCTGAGTTTCTCCTTGTCCTTAATATGGTCCAGCACTGAAGTCTATCAGGACACAAACACACAAGATCTCCTTGCATGGAAGGAGAGCTCGCAAAACAGTCTGTTGGTGAAAATCAGCTGCGCCCCGCCTCTGCATTTTCCTGCTCCTCTCTTTCCCTCCCTTGCTGTGATGATTCCTCTCCCCTCCTCCATCCCCACTCCCCCCGCGGCTCTCCTTCTTGGATTTCCATTTCAAATCCCTTCCAATTTCATATCAGCTGCCCCGCAGTGTTTGCCGGTCCCTCGGAAATTAATTTAGCGACTTTCACACGGACATATCATTTCTAACTTCAAAGTCCCGGACGCGGGGGTTGAGCCTCTGTCCAAGGGCACAGACACGGAGACTGCAGTCAGAGCCCTGCCCCTCCAGGCGTTTGCTTGCAAACCACATTAGTCACTGACACCCCGACCTGCCTCCCAAGCAGAGGTTTTAGCGCTGTCCTTTGAAAATTCCCCAAGTCACTGTAGATATCAGGATCTGTCAGTATGAATGATAAGCTAGAGAGAAAAACAAAACAAAACAAAAAGAAAAGAAAGCAAAGGAAAAAGAAGGGCCTTCCTGTAAAATTAAATAAAACCTTACAATTTACATGCAATAGCTCCAGGTAAAGGCGTGTGCACCCGTGGATCTGTAACAGCTTATCCAACTCTGCATAGGATCTCATTTATAAGGGAAAGCTGGATGGGGTAGAGGGGGCTTAAGCGATCACTTTCAGCCCTTCCTCCCCCAAAGCTTAGGAGTGGAGACTGCTTCCATCCTGAAGCCATCCACACAATACATTTTGAATTGGTGGATTTTTGTAAAAGGTCAGGGTTCTGCAGGAAGTACCGCTGGATAAGTGTCACGCGCGTCCGTGAAGGGACCACCAAACAGGCTTTGTGTGAGCAATAAAGCTGTGTATTCACTTGGGTGCAAGTGGGCTGAGTCCGAAAAGAGAGTCAGCGAAGGGAGATGGGGAAGGTGTGGCTTTACAGGAGCTGGGTAGGTAATGGAAAATTACAGCAAAAGGTGGTTATCTATCGTCAGCAGAAGAGGGGGTTACAAGGTGCATGGTGGAGAGATCATAAGACTGATTGTCCAGAAGAAGAATGTCACAGAGTTGATTGATCAGCTAAACTGGGGCAGGGACAAGTCACAATAGTAAAATATTGTAATTTTAGTTAATCAGTTAAGGCAGGAACTGGCTGTTTAACTTCTTTGTAGTTTTTTTCTTTGGCTGCTCCAGAATTCTTGGCTCCTGCAGGCCACCTGGATGTATATGTGCAGGTCACAGGAGTGATAATGGCTGAGCTTCAGCTCAGAGGCCTGACAGGTAAGATCCCACAGTGGGGTCCCACTTGCCCGGAAATGGTACCTTCCACCCAAGGCGGTGACCCACTTGCCCAGGAATGGTACATTCCACCAAAGGCGGTGACCCACTTGTCTGGAAATGGTACCTTCCATTGAAGGCGGTGACCCACTTGCCCGGAAATGGTACCTTCCACCCAAGGCAGTGACCCATTTTCCCGGCAATGGTACCTTCCATTGAAGGCGGTGACCCACTTGCCCGGAAATGGTACCTTCCACCAAAGGCGGTGACCCATTTGCCCGGAAATGGTACCTTCCATTGAAGGCGGTGACCCACTTGCCTGGGAATGGTACCTTCCACCGAAGGCGGTGACCCACGTGCCTGGGAATGGTACCTTCCATTGAAGGCGGTGACCCACGTGCCTGGGAATGGTACCTTCCATTGAAGGCGGTGACCCACGTGCCTGGGAATGGTACCTTCCATTGAAGGCGGTGACCCACTTGCCCGGGGAATGGTACCTTCCATTGAAGGCGGTGACCCACTTGCCCGGAAATGGTACCTTCCACCAAAGGCGGTGACCCATTTGCCCGGAAATGGTACCTTCCATTGAAGGCGGTGACCCACTTGCCCGGGAATGGTACCTTCCACCGAAGGCGGTGACCCACTTGCCCGGAAATGGTACCTTCCACCGAAGGCGGTGACCCACTTGCCCGGGGAATGGTACCTTCCATTGAAGGCGGTGACCCACTTGCCCGGAAATGGTACCTTCCACCAAAGGCGGTGACCCACTTGCCCGGGAATGGTACCTTCCACCGAAGGCGGTGACCCACTTGCCCGGAAATGGTACCTTCCACCGAAGGCGGTGACCCACTTGCCCGGGGAATGGTACCTTCCATTGAAGGCGGTGACCCACTTGCCCGGAAATGGTACCTTCCACCAAAGGTGGTGACCCACTTGCCCGGGAATGGTACCTTCCACTGAAGGCGGTGACCCACTTGCCCGGGAATGGTATCTTCCATTGAAGGCGGTGACCCACTTGCCCGGAAATGGTACCTTCCACCGAAGGCAGTGACCCATTTGCCCGGGAATGGTACTTTCCACCAAAGGCGGTGACCCACTTGCCTGGTAATGGTACCTTCCATTGAAGGTGGTGACCCACTTGCCTGGGAATGGTACCTTCCACCGAAGGTGGTGACCCACGTGCCTGGGAATGGTACCTTCCATTGAAAGCGGTGACCCACTTGCCCGGAAATGGAACCTTCCATTTGAAGGCGGTGAGCCACTTGCCCAGGAATGGTACCTTCCACCGAAGGCGGTGACCCACTTGCCCGGGGAATGGTACCTTCCATTGAAGGCGGTGACCCACTTGCCCGGAAATGGTACCTTCCACCAAAGGCCGTGACCCACTTGCCCGGAAATGGTACCTTCCATTGAAGGCGGTGACCCACTTGCCGGAAATGGTACCTTCCATTGAAGGCGGTGACCTACTTGCCCGGAAATGGTACCTTCCACCTAAGGCAGTGACCCATTTGCCCAGCAATGGTACCTTCCACTGAAGGCGGTGACCCACTTGCCGGAAATGGTACCTTCCATTGAAGGCGGTGACCCACTTGCCCGGAAATGGTACCTTCCACCAAAGGCGGTGACCCATTTGCCCGGAAATGGTACCTTCCATTGAAGGCGGTGAGCCACTTGCCGGGAATGGTACCTTCCACCGAAGGCGGTGACCCACGTGCCTGGGAATGGTACCTTCCACCGAAGGCGGTGACCCACTTGCCCGGAAATGGTACCTTCCACCGAAGGCGGTGACTCCAAGGTCATGGGGATTGTAAGTTGAGCCTTTGAGACACAGAGGCTGATTCGATAACAGTTTTGTGCTGAAACTTCCACTTTCAGGAGGGGTATCACCAAGTTTGCTGTTTTTGCATCAAACACTGAGTCTCTTAAGATGCTTTCATTTTCTGAAACGTTTCTCAGCCTCAGCACTGCTGGCATGTGTGAGCTGGAGGATTCTCCTGGGGCGGGGCGGGGCTGTCCTGTTCACCGTAGCGTGTTGAGCAGCGCCCCTGGGCTCCACCCACCAGATACCAGGAGCACCCCCACAGTTGTGATAACCAAAGCTGTCCTCAGATATAACACAGTGACCCCAGGGGAGAAAAATCACCCCGAATTGAAAACCACTGTCATCGACAGATAAATGATAGTGATAGCTGGATAGATATAGATAGATGATACACAGATAGATAAAGATTATTGATAAAGAGATACAGAGATGCTAAATGATAGATAAATAGATGCTGGATAGATGATAGAGACACAGATAGATAATAAACAGGATAGATAGCTACATAGGATATGATAGATTGAAAGAAGGACAGATGATTGATAGATTGATAGATGATTGATAGTTAAATAGACAGAATCTCTTATGCCCAGCCATTACCTTGATGTCAGGGTTTCTCAACTTCAGCACCGCTGACATTTCAGACTGGAGGACTGTCTGTGGTGGGGCCATCCTGGGCACTGTAAGGTGTTGAGCAGCGTACCTGGGATCTACACACCAGAGGCCAGGATCTCCTCCATCAGGTGGTGACAACCAAAGATGCCCTCAGATGTTAGGCAGTATGTCCTCAAGGGCAGAATTTTCCTTGGTTGCAAACAACTGCCACAGATAGATAGATGAGCAGATGGATGGATGGATGGATGGATAGATAGATAGATAGATAGATAGATAGATAGATAGATAGATAGAAAGATGGGTAGATGGATGGATAGATGGATAGATAGATAGATAGATAGATAGATGGGTAGATGGATGGATGGATAGATAGATGGCTGGATAGATAGAAACAGGTGGGTGGATGGATGATAGGTGGACGGGTAGATGGATGGATAGATAATAGGTGGATGGATGGATAGATACATGATAGGTGGGTGGATGGATGATAGGTGGACGGGTAGATGGATTAGATAGATAATGGGTGGATGGATGGATAGATACATGATAGGTGGGTGGATTGATAGATAGGTGGATGGGTGGATGGATGGATGGATGGATAGATGAATGGATAGACATATGACAGGTGGGTGGATGGATAGATAGGTGGATGGGTAGATGGATGGATGGATGGATAGGTGGATAGATAGATACATGGTGGGTGGATGGATAGATAGGTGGATGGGTAGATGGATGGATAGATTAGATGGATAGGTGGATGGATAGATACATGATAGGTGGATGGATAGATACATGGTGGGTGGATGGATAGGTGGATGGGTAGATGGATGGATAGATTAGATGGATAGGTGGATGGATAGATACATGATAGGTGGATGGATGGATAGATACATGATAGGTGGATGGGTAGATGGATGGATGGATGGATAGATGATAGGTGGGTGGATGGATGCATAGGTAGGTGATAGATGGATAGATAGATGATGGTGATGATATAGTTAGACACGTGATGGTGATAACAGATGATGATGGTTAGATAGATGATAGTGATAGATCGATAGATAGATAATAGATAGACAAAGAAAATTGATAGGTAGATACAGATGGATGCTAGGTGATGGCCAGATGAGACATAAACAGACAGAGCCTCTCATGCTAAACCAGAGTTTCTTGACCTCAACACCATTGCCATGTGGGATGGATAATTAAGAGGCTGTGCTGTACAGCATCCCTGGTCTCCACCCACTAGATGCCCATAGCATCCCTAGCTTGTTATGACCACCAAAAATGTCCCTAGATATTGCCAAATGTCGCGGCGTTGGGGGAGGGGGGGTGGCGGTTAGGGAACAGAACCACTCCCAGATGAGAATCACTGCTATAGAACGAGGTATTCTTTGCATGTAAAAAATATCAGAACGACTCCCCTGACCATAACATACCAGACACACACACACACCTGTCTACACCATGGTGCTGACCCCTAGCTCTGCATCAGGTGCAAAGCAGAGATCTGCATGCATTCTGGTCACGTTCCAGCAGGCACTGAGTCTGTCCTTCCCACCTCCAGGACGGGAGGTACCGCTCCTAGGGATTTAAATCTGTCAGTGTGAATCATCGCAGAGACAGCAAAGCCGCAGCATCGGGCAGCATTCAGGGATGAGGCACGGTCATGCACATAGATACAGGAAATGATCCCAGAGGATCTGGGGACGTCCAGCACCCCAGTATTGAGAAGGAGGCTGCCACCGTGATGCCTTCCGTGAAGCATAGAGCTGCAGGTCCATGCTACGTCTATGCAATAGATACATAATACATAATGCAAGTCCATGCTACGTCTATGCAATAGGTACATAATATGTAATATGTAATACATAATGCAGGTCCATGCTACATCTGTGCAATAGACACAGAATACATAATGGAATACATAATGGAAGTGCATGCTACGTCTATGCAAGAGACACATAATACGTAAAGCAGGTCCATGCTACGTCTATGCAAGAGACACATAATACGTAAAGCAGGTCTATGCTACGTCTATGCAAGAGACACATAATACATAAAGCAGGTCCATGCTACGTCTATGCAATAGGTACATAATACATAATGCAAGCCCATGCTACCTCTGTGAAAGAGCTTCACTTGGCTGTGTTAATCCCACACGTCTTCATTTTTTAGGCAACGTGAGCTTAAAGGAGGGCATTTTGGGAATGGAGGCTTGCATGTAGAGAATGTTCAGTTTCTTTTACTCCTGGGTGTGACTTGGGCTGACCCCTGAATTCCAGACGTTCCTCAGTTTAAGAGCAGAGCACAACTTGGTCGTCCTAGAGAGGGAAGAATTTGGCATTTGCCTAACAGATAAGGCAGATAATACAGAGACTGTTTCACCAAGACGTCCTGTGGTGAACAGCGGGTTCTGAGAAGCTTCAGGACAAAACACTGTGAGGGAATCATGCAGAGACACCACTAAGCTCTTATTTTTTTATTTTCCAACTTCCTCCTCTTCTTTGCTGGAGGCGATCTGGAGACAATCTGCTACATAAAGACAGTAAGAACTCAAAGAAAAGAAAAAGGCAGGATCTCGGCTCCTTATTCAGACAGAGGAATGCAGTTGGATAAAAATTACTGTACTTGGCCGGGCACGGGCACAGTGACTCACGCCTGTAATCCCAGCACTTTGGGAGGCTGAGGCAGCCAGATCACGAGGTCGGAAGTTCAAGACCAGCCTGGCCAACATGGCGAAACCCCATCGCTACTAAAAATACAAAAATTAGCCAGGCGTGGTGGCACACTCCTGTAATCCCAGTTACTTGGGAGGCTGAGGCAGGAGAATTGCTTGAACCCAGGAGGCAGAGGTTGCAGTGAGCTGAGATTGCACCGCTGCATTCTAGCCTGGGCAACAGAATAAGACTCCGTCTCAAAAAACAAACACAAAAAAACTGTAATTCATGGTGCTTACAGTGTTGGCTCAGGGCTGATGCGTTAAACCCTAAAGTCACCCCTAGGACAACAAATCACCCTACTTACAGCCTCTGCTTCCCATTAAATTCTCCTTCTCCAAACCTCATGTCTCCTGTTTTCTCATGAGAAATACTAAGAATTAATTGAGAAGATCAATGAATGTACTTAATGATGAATTTATTCTTCCCACAAATATTGTCAACTATGAGCCAGATACTGGTTTTTCACCTGAAATGGAGCCAGGATTAAAAGGGAGGGAGGCAATGGGAAAGGAAATCTAGATACAGATATGAAACAGGAATGGAAATGGACCTAGGTACAGACACAGATATGGGCATAGATACATAGATATAGAGAGACAGAGGCATAGAGATGAATACGGAAACAGGTGTAAAATAGATACGGTCATAGATTCAGATATAGAAAGAGACACAGACATGGATACAGATACAGAATTGGGTCTGGATACAGATGTACATAGATACATAGGTACATAAGATTTATAGATTTGATGATTGATGATAGATAGATGATATAGTTACATAATAGCTAAACTAGATAACCGATGCACAACAGAGAAATAACAGATGATATACATAGATAATAAATGATTGGTATTCATAGATAAGAGATAGATTAGCTGGGTGCAGTGGCTCACGCCTGTCATCCCAGCATTTTGGGAGGCCAAGGCAGGCGGATCATGAGTTCAGGAGTTCAAGACCAGCCTGGCCAACATGGTGCAATCTTGTCTCTACTAAAGATACAAAAAATTAGCTGGACATGGTAGTGTGCACCTGTAATCCCAGCTACTCGGGAAGCTGAGGCAGGAGAAGCGCTTCAACCAGGGAGGTGGAGGTTGCAGTGAGCCAAGATCACAGCATTGTACTCCAGCCTGGGTGACAGAGCAAGACTCCATCTCAAAAAAAAAAAATAGATTAGATGATTGACAGATAATAGATAACAGATAGGTAGTTAGATGTGCATAGATTAGATAGATAGGCAATAGATGACGGATATAAATAATAGATAAATAGATTTGATGACATAATAAGCATATTAGATGATTAATAACTAGACAATAGATACAGATCCATTGACTGACATTAGATAGATTAGATAGATAATTTAGAGATACAGAGAGACAGATAATAGATGAGATACATAGATGATAAATAGATGATGGATAGATATATAGATAGATGATAGACGGATAGATATACATAGACAGATGATAGATATAGATAGGCAGACATGATAGATAGGCAGATGATAGATAGATAAGTAGATTTAGATAGACAGACCGATGATAGATAGATAGATAGATACATAGAGATAGGCAGACAGATAAAAGATAGATAGATAGATGATAGATAGATATAGATAGGCAGACAGATGATAGATAAGTAGATTTAGATAGGCAAACAGACCGATCGATAGATAGATAGATAGATAGATAGATAGATAGAGGCAGACAGACAGATAAAAGATAGATGATAGATATAGATAGGCAGACAGATGATAGATAGCTAGATAGAGATAGATTAGATAGATATAGATAGGCAGACAGATGATAGATGGATAGATATAGATAGGCAGACATGATAGATATAGATAGACAGATGATAGATATAGGTAGATGGGCAGACAGATATAGGTAGATAGGCAGGCAGACAGATGATAGATGAGCTACATAGATGATAAGATGGATAGACAGATAATGGAGAGATGATGCATAGATAGATAGATACGTAGATGACGATAGGCAGATAGATATAGATAGGCAGACAGATAAAGGATAGATGGGCTACATAGATGATAGGTGATAGATAATAGATGATGCATAGATAGATGATGGAGAGATATATAGATGATAATAGGCAGATAGACGATAGATCGATAGATACATAGATGATGCATAGAGAGATCATGGATAGATAGCTATGTAGATAGATGATAGAGAAATAGATGGATAGATAGATAATGCATAGCTAGATAGGCAGATACGTAGGTAAATAGATAAATGGATAGACAGGTAGATGATAGATACAGGTGTAAATGCAGGTAGATGTGAGTGTGGATGTGGAATTAGACGTAGGCATACTCGCAGACATGAATATAGCCAGAGAATGTTGAGAGCCAAGAAGAAAGCTGAAGGAAGGTACCGGAGAGAAGCTTCTAGAGAGTGGTGAGAGAAGGTGAGGGAAGGGTTGACCCTGAAGCCAAAGACCCTCTTGATGAGAAGGTGAGGGCCACACGGATATGGGGGTAGTGAGAGGAGAGTATTCCAATCAGAGGGAACAGCACACACAAAGACCCCGAGGCAAGAACTGACGTAGCGATTCCAGGAGCGAGGGAGGGCACTGTGGCCGAATCCAAGAGTCACCCCTGCATGTCAGGGCCTTGGGCTGAATTTCATTCCAGGAGCCGGAGGAGGCGGAGGTGCTGGAGCAGCGGACTGACATTGCCCAGTTTGGACAGGGCATCTAAGCATCTGGGAATTGAGGGTAACACGAGGCATGAACAGTGAGGAAGGAAAGGCAAACTGTTGGGGTGCGGCTGAGAGTAGAGAGACCAGATAAAAAGGAGGGAAGGGCCGGGCGCGGTGGCTTACGCCTGTAATCCCAGCACTTTGGGAGGCCGAGGCGAGTGGATCACAAGGTCAGGATGTAGCAGGACGAGCTGCAGACAAAACCTCTCAGACACCGAGTTGCAGAAGGAAGGGCTTTATTCAGCTGGGAGCATTGGCAAGCTACTGCCTTAAAATCTGAGCTCTCCGAATGCACAATTTCTGTCCCTTTTAAGGGCTCACAACACTAAAGATTTTACATGAAAGGGTCATGATTGATTTGAGCAGGCAAGGGGTACGTGACAGGGGCTGCATGCACCTGTGGTCAGAGAGAAACAGAACGGGCAGGGAGTTTCACAGTGTTCTTCTATACGATGTCTGGAATCTATGAATAACATCGGTTTCTAAGTTATGAGTTGATTTTTAACTACTGGGTTTAGGGCCGGCAGCCCCAGGCCTGGTTTCAGGCCTGGCGCCGGGCTGCCTGTCTTTGGTTTTACTTCCTTGTTGTTTCTTCTTAAAACAGGTGCTGAGTATATAAAACAATATGAGAGGGTCTCTCTCTTCCTTCAAGGAGATCGAGACCATCCTGGCCAACATGGTGAAACCCTGTTTCTACTAAAAATACAAAAATTAGCCAGGCGGGGTGGCAGGTGCCTGTAGTCCTAGCTACTCAGGAGGCTGAGGCAGGAGAATCGCTTGAACCCAGAAGACGAAGGTTGCAGTGAGCTGAGATCGTGCCGCTGCACTCCAGCCTGGTGACAGAGAGAGACTCCATCTCAAAAAAAAAAAAAAGGGAAGTTGGTTGCTTAGGGGAGGGAACAGAAATTGGAGCCCCGTGGCTGAGTCTTTCGACCACCCTGGGGGCATCACGCATTTCTGGAGCCTCCAGGCATTTGATGATGGAGCTATACAGGATGTGTGTGTGTGTGTGTGTGTGTGTGTGTGTGTGTGTGTGTGTGTGTAGCTTCTGACCTCCCTGAAGCTGCAGGGAGTGTCTTACACACAGAGGGGCTTGTAGCCAGCTTGGCATGAGTTCAGATCCCAGTGAGATACATGATAAAATGACCAGCGCAACCTGATACCGTATCAGGTTGGGATGATTTTCTTTTCTTGTTTTCTTTTTTTTTTCTTTTAATTCTACTTTAAGTTCTGGGGTACGTGTGCAGAACGTGCAGGTTTGTTACGTAGGTATGCACGTGCCATGGTGGTTTGCTGCACCCATCAACCCATCATCTACATTAGGTATTTGTCCTAATGCTCTCCCTCCCCTAGCCTCCCACCTCCCCGGCAGGCCCTAGTGTGTGATGTTCCCCTCCCTGTGTCCATGTGTTCTCATTGTTCAACTCCCACTTATAAGTGAGAACATGCAGTGTTTGGTTTTCTCTTCCTGTGTTGGTTTCTGGAGAAGGATGGTTTCCACCTTCATCCATGTCCCTGCAAAGGACATGAACTCATCCTTTTTTATGGCTGCATAGAATTCCATGCTGTGTATGTGCCACATTTTCTTTATCCAGTCTACCATTGATGGGCATTTGGGTTGGTTCCAAAGTCTTTGCTATTGTGAACAGTGCCACAATAAACATACGTGTGCATGTGTCTTTATAGCAGCATGATTTATAATCCTTTGGGTATATACCCAGTAATGGGATGGCTGGGTCAAATGGTCTTTCTGGTTCAACGTCCTTGAGGAATCGCCACACTGTCTTCCACAATGGTTGAACTAGTTAACACTCCCACCAACAGTGTAAAAGCGTTCCTGTTTCTCCACATCCAGGCTGGGAGGATGTTCATTCACAGCTTCCACCTGAAGGACCACGTGGCCTCTCATCAACGATGTGACATCACTAGCCAGAGTTCTCGAAACGGCAACGTGCTTGTGGAGGCGTGCAACGCTGCATGAAGGAACCCACAGATGAGGACCAGTGACCTCATTTGGTAACGTGGACAGAAGGTGGCAATGACTTGAGAGGGAGGGATTCCCTCCACATCGGATAACTGAGGAGCAAAAGATGGAGGAGGAATCCAGCAGTGTAGGATGTCTGCGCCAGAAGGCAGCTTCGGAATCAGCCAGGTCAAGCGACGGTCGACAGGACCACCTAGAGAGAGAAACAAGGTTGAATCATACCTGCTATTTTCCACCTGCCTGACCCTGCACAGGTTATTAAACCACCCCATGCACCAGTTTTCCATTCTGTGCTGGGGTAACAACAAATACCCCTAAGTTATGAGAATAAAATCAGAGCAACTGCTCAAGATTGTGGTTGCCAGCCAGGCGCGGTGGCTCACGCCTGTCATCCCAGCACTTTGGGAGGCAGAGGCAGGTGGCTCACGTGAGGTCAGGAGTTCGAGACCAGCCTGACCAAGTTGGTGAAACCCTGTCTCTACTAAAAACACACAAATTAGTTGAGCGTGTTGGTGCGTGCCTGTAATCCCAGCTACTCCGGAGGCTGAGACAGGAGAATCGCTTGAACCCAGGAGGCGGAGGTTGCAGTGAGCCGAGATCTTGCCACTGCATTGCAGTCTGGGTGACAGAGCAAGACTCTGTCTCAAACACAAACAAACAAAAAAGACTGTGGTTGCCATGGTCAAATTCTAGTGGAACCTATTCTCTTTAGTGAGACAGAAGCAACAAAAGAGACTGGCTAAGTTATTTGAGATCACAGAGCTGGACTTGGGTCAACACATCCCAAGCCTTTTTGCAAAGTTCAAAGAAGCGTTGTTGCCCCAGACGACACTCTAGGAAAACAGACGCACCACTGGAGCAGAAGTCAGGAGGCAGGAGCTGCTTTGGACCAAAGATGCTGGATTGTATTGTGGTTTTGTTGAATTTCAAGAGGCCAAATGTAACCACCCAATTTGTATTATGTTACAGACATCTCACTGTGCCTCAGGGTGTCTCAGTATGCATGCATGTGTGTGTATGCATCCATATGTGTGCGTGTTGTTTGTGTGTGTTTGCATGAATTCACGCATCTGAATGCACGTGTGCACACATCACTGCATGCCTGCAAATGCATATGTGAATTTGTGTGCATGAAGGTGTGAATGTGTATGCACGATTGTGTGAATGCCTTGTGCATGCGCAAATGCGTGTTCAATGCACACATGCATGTGTGAATGTGTGCATGTGTGTGTGCACCGTGCATGCACTGTGAAAGGGTTGCATGTGTATCATGTATGTGTGTTTCTGTGCATGTGTGTACATGCATGTGTGAATATGTGTACTTGAGTGGATGCTTGTGTGTGCATGTATGAACGTGTATTCATGGGTATGAGAATGCTTCGTGCATGTGTAAATATGTGTGTGGGCTATGCATTTATTGATGTATGTGCATATGTGTGCATGCATGTGTGCCTGCGTGTGCATGAGTGTGAAAAACTGAGTGCACCTGTGCACGTGTGCAGATGCCTCATGTATGTGTGAAAATCTGCACATATATGCAGTGTGTATGTGCATGGGTGTACATACCTATGTGTGAATCGATGTGTGCAATGCATGTATACGCACGTGTGTACATGCAGGTGTGAGTGTATCTGTACATGCATGTGTATGCCTGGGTTTCAGTGGAAGCAGGGCTGCAAAGAGGAGAAACACTTAGACCCTGACACACAAGAGTTCTCATTTCGGTAGATGAGCTGGCTGTGTATGCAAAGAGGAGAATAGAGGACAAAGACAGGATCAGCATCGTAGCGCTGATGACGACAGCTCTGGACTCCTCTTGATGAGGGCTGTGGCACACATCGAGGGGAGCACTGCTGAAAACAACATAGAATGTGATTTGGACCCAGCATGCAATCTACAAAGGCCGTGCTGCCGACACGGGGCAGGATTTTGGTTGACAGGTTGGTGTTGGAGTGGAAGACCTTCTCCAAAGAGGCTTTCTTGAAATCACAAAAGGAAGGGATCCATGAAGGAGAAGCAGTGCCGAGAGGAAGGGCAGAGACCACAGAGTGCACCCGTGCACGTGTGCAAATGCCTCATGTGTGCGTGAATGCATGTGTGCGTGTGTAAAATGCACATATGCTTTTAGCTGCATGCGTGCGTGTGCAGATGCGTGTGAAAACCTGTGCACACCTGCAATGTATATGTATATGTGTATGCACGAGTGTGAATAGCCGTGTGCATGCGTGAGTGTATGTGTATGTGGATGAGCGTGGGAACCCTGAAGGGAGCCTCTCTGCAGTTTCTGGGACACAGGTTGTAGTTAACCTAGGACAAAAAGTCAGTAGAGTCCTTTATGGGCTGCTGATGAATGAGGCCTGCTACCAGGAAGGAATGGTTTTTTTGTTTTTGTTTTTGTTTTTTTTTTCCGACAGAGTCTTGCTCTGTCTCCCAGGCTGGAGTGCAGTGGGCCGATCTCAGCTCACTACAACCTCCGCTTCCCGGGTTCAAGCGATTCTCCTGCCTCAGCCTCCCGAGTAGCTGGGACGACAGGCATCCGCCACCACGCCTGGCGATTTTTTTTTTTTTTTTTTTTTTTTAGTAGAGACGGGGTTTTACCATATTGGGCAGGCTGGTCTTGAACTCCTGACCTTGTGATCCGCCCGCCTCGGCCTCCCAAAGTGCTGGGATTACAGGCGTGAGCCACCGCACCCGGCCAGGAAGGATTGTTTTGCACGCCAGGGTTTCTCTTTAGCTTATGATTTCTTCCACCAAATCTGTCCCAACCCTGCTGTGTCTGTCCCTACCAGCGGCTGCAGTGTGAGTGAATCCAGGCATGACTGCATGAACACCCAGCTTCCTGTTTGGTCACTTAGTAACCACTAGATGACGTTTACTGAGCTCTTAGCAGGCACATTCTAATCCCCGTAATTTTGTTTACTCGGTTGGAGGAGAAACATTGTCTCTTCTCCACTTTCCCAGCTGTAATGCAAACCTTAGCATACAAGAAACAGGCCGGGCGCGGTGGCTCACGCTTGTAATCCCAGCACTTTGGGAGGCCGAGGCGGGCGGATCACGAGGTCAGGAGATCGAGACCACGGTGAAACCCCGTCTCTACTAAAAATACAAAAAAAAAAAAAACAAAAAAAAAAAACCCGGCGCGGTTGGGGGCACCTGTGGTCCCAGCTACTCGGAGAGGCTGAGGCAGGAGAATGGTGTGAACCCGGGAGGCGGAGCTTGCAGTGAGCCGAGATTGCACCACTGCACTGCAGCCTGGGCGACAGAGCAAGACTCTGTCTCAATAAAAAAAAAATAAAAAAGAAACAGAAGGAGGCACGCTAAAAACTAAAAGTAGGAGGTTAAGGGAAGGGAGGAAAGAGAAAAACCAAAGGATGGGGGTGGGTTCAAACCACATTTTATGCCGCTGGATCGTGTTGTAATATTTCTACATGCTTGGGAATTACAGGCATGCATGGAATAGTATGCAACTGTGAAAAAGGAATGAGATCATGTCTTTTACAGGAATATGGATGGAGCTCGAGGCCATCACCCTTAGCAAACTAATGCAGTAACAGAAAATCAAATACTGCACTTTGTCACTTATAAGTGGGAGCTAGGCCGGGCGCGGTCACTCAGGCCTGTAATCCCAGCATTTTGGGAGGCCGAGGCAGGTGGATCACGAGGTCAGGAGTTTGAGAGCAGCTTGGCCAACATGGTGAAACCCTATCTCTACTAAAAATACAAAAATTAGCCGGGCGTGGTGGCAGGCACCTGTAATCCCAGCTACTGGGGAGGCTGAGGCAGAAGAATCATTTGAACCCGGGAGGCGGACGTTGCAGTGAGCCAAGATCACGCCATTGCACTCCAGCCTGGGCGACAGGGTGACACTCCGTCTCAAAAAAATAAAAAAATAAATAAGTGGGAGCTAAATGAGGAGAACTCATGAACACAAAGAAGGGAGCAAGAGACACCTCTACTTGAGGGTGGAGGGTGGGAGGAGGGAGAGGGGCAGAAAAGATAACTATTGGTACTGGGCTTAATACCTGGGTGATGGAATCATCTGTACAACAAACTGCGGTGACACAAATTGACCTACAACAAACCTGCACGTGTACCCCCAAACCTAAGATAAAAGTTTAAGGGAAAGAATGAAGCAAGCTAAACTTTAGACAACAATAACAGCAACAAGAAAAAGAAGTGACAGGTGTAATTACTTTCATTACTGCCTCAGCCACTTGTGGAAGCATTTTTCCGGTGTTGTGGTATTGTTACATTTTATGGACAACGTTTTTGTGACGATGGACAAACCTGAGCCCCAACACTTGAAAACAAAATTATGTTTTCAGGGCTGGGCGCGGTGGCTCACGCCTGTAATCCCAGCACTTTGGGAGGCCCACGTGGGTGAATGACAAGGTCAGGAGATTGAGACCATCCTGCCTAACGTGGTGAAACCCAGTCTCTACCAAAAATACAAAAGATTAGCCGGGCGTAATGGCTCACACCTGTAATCCCAGCACTTTGGGAGGCTGAGGTGGGCGGATCACGAGGTCAGGAGATCGAGACCATCCTGGCTAACACCGTGAAACCCAGTCTCTACTAAAAATACAAAAGATTAGTTGGGCATGGTGGCGGGTGCCTGCAGTCCCAGCTACTTGGGAGGCTGAGGCAGGAGAATGGCGTGAACCCAGGAGGCAGAGCTTGCAGTGAGCTGAGATCGCGCCACTGCCCTCCAGCCTGGGCGATAGAGTGAGACTCCATCTCAAAAAAAAAAGAAAAATTTGTTTTCAGATCAATTTTTTAAAAAAGAGCTGCCATTTATCAATGGCTTGTTATTGGCCTTAAATTTTGCTAGATACTTACACATATGATTTTACTTGATACCCGTGAACATTTTATGAGGAAAGTTTAATTTTACCCATTTTACAGATGAGAAAATGGGAATAACTGAGTTATTGGCACACGGTCACACACAACCACGGTTGACAGACCTCACGTATCACCTGTTTTTTTTTTTTTGTAAACAGTAATCCTGGTGCCATTTCTGTAATTATAAACATTAAATCAGTGCTTAGCATATTAATCTCGGCTCCCTCGGCTTCTCAAATTGCTGGAATTACAGGCATGAGCCACTGTGCCTGGCCGGTGTTTTCTTGTTAGTCTTTAAACATTCAACAGAGTACAGAGGGTATAATATGAAACTTTTGGTTTTATGTTTAACTTAAAAGGTAACTTTTGGACCATTTTAGATGCTGGAGGTCATGAACTCACAAAATATTTGTATAAAGAACAAGATAGAAAATATTTCAGGCTTTACAGAGCCCACCTAATTGGACGGTTATATACATCACCTGATTTTGTTTTTGTAAACAGTAATCATTTCTGATGCCATTTCCATAATTAACATTAAATCAGTGCTTAGTATATTAACAAAGTTGAACTTCTCAGCATTTTCTTTTTCCAATACAATCACCAAAATGCTTAACTTTTTGGAGGCAAAGATTTAACTATTGATAAAAACATTATTTTCTTTCTTTATTGAGGGATGGGATCACACTCTGTTGCCCAGGCTGGAGTGCAGTCGCACCATCATAGCCCACTGCAACCTCCATCTCCTGGGCTCAAGCCATCCTCCAGCCCCCGTAGCTAAAATTACAGGTGTGGGCCAGTATGCCCAGCTAATTTTTTACTTTTCTTAGAGGCAGAGTCTCACTATGTCGCCCAGGCTGGTCTCAAACTGCTGAACGCAAGCAATTCTCCCACCTCTGCTTCCCAAATTGCTGGAATTACAGGCATGAGCCACTGCGCCTGGCCAGTTTTTTCTTGTTAGTGTTTAAAAATTCAACACAGTACACAGGGTATAATATGAACCTTTTGGTGTTATGTTTAACTGAAAAGGTAACTTTGGGAACGTTTTAGATACTGGAGGTCGGGAACTCGCAAAATATTTGTGTAAAGGACCAGAGAAAAAATTTTTCAGGCTTGACAGAGCCCACCTCATTGGATGGAGCATGGATGGAAAGTAAACTTTCATCTTGACTGGGCCACTCACTGTATTTCTGGATCTCCTGGGTATCGCTGTGAGCTTTAACCCTGACTCATTCAGCCAGCTAGTGAGTGAAGACCGGTGTTTGATGGGAGGTCTCTGGATTCTTCCTATAGCAGGACTGCTTCTCATCGTGCAATGAGCTGGCAAGAGAGCATCATAGACCAGTGGGTCTTGATGCAAGATTGCCTTTGACTGTGTCTCTAAGGACAGGCGGAATGCAAGAAGGTGGACAGGTGGAGGAAGAATATTTCAAGCTTCTGGACGTGAAGTCACAATGAGGCACACAGTGATCACAAGATCCATTTGGCTGATCACAGGAAGATATATTTGAAATAGAAGTTGAAGCATATCAGATTGGACCCTGAACCAGGAAACTGAATTTATCCTGCAGATAATGGGGAAGTGTATTGGTCCATTCTTGCACTGCTGTAAAGAACTACCTGAGACTCGGAATTTACAAAGAAAAGAGGTTTGGGCCAGGTGCAGTGGCTCACGCCTATAATCTCAACACTTTGGGAGACTGAGGCAGGCACATCATCAGGTCAGGAGTTCAAGACCAGCCTGATCAACATGGTGAAACCTCATCTCTACTAAAAATACAAAATTAGCCAGGTGTGGTGATACATGCTGGTAACCTCAGCTACTCGGGAGGCTGAGGCTGGAGAATCACTTGAACCTGGGAAGCAGAGGTTACAGTGAGCGAGATCATGCCATTTCACTCCAGCCTGGGCAACAAGAGCGAAACTCTGTCTCAAAAAAAAAAAAAAAGGAAAAAGGAAAAGAAAAGAGGTTTTGGCCAGATTCAGTGGCTCACACCTGTAATCCCTGCACTTTGGGAGGTTAAGATGGGCGGATCATGAGGTCAGGAGTTCGAGACTAGCCTGGCCAACATGGTAAAACCTCATCTCTACTAAAAATACAAAAATTAGCTGGCTGTCAGGGTGCATGCCTGTAATCCCAGCTACTCGAGAGGCTGAGGCAGGAGAATCGCTTGAACCCAGACACAGAGGTTGCAGTGAGCTGAGATTGCACCACTGCAATCTCAGTCTGGGTGACAGAGCCAGACTCTGGACCGCCCCTGGCCACATTAAGCTAATTATTAATGACTAAAACTACTACATTCGGTAATATATCTGCAGTACATTTTCACTTCATTAATCTCAACAGAATTTTCACGTTTGGAAAATGTGTGCCACACACACACACACACACACACATCATGGCAGGTGCATTTGACAGTTTGCAGATTTCTCATAAAAGCTCTGTGCCCTACCACTGACATGGGTTGAGACCCAGCTTCCTCACTTGTTGTTGTTGAGACAGGTTCTCACTCTGTGGTCCAGGCTGGACTGCAATGGTGCGATCACAGCTCACTGCCGTCTCAGCCTCCCAGAGTCCAGGTGATCCTCCAGCCTCAGCCTCCCAAAGTGCTGGGATTACAGGTGTAAACCACCGTGCCCAGCCTTAATCTAGGTTTTGAGGCCATGTCTTTTTCTTTCTATTTCTCTTCTTTCCTTGTAATCCGTAGTCAGTTTTACTTAGGAAAGGTGGGAGGGTGGAAAAGGAAGAAGAGAAATTTGAAACCGTGTGTTCAATGGGTAAACTTTGTAAGAGTCCTTTTCAGGAAGATCGGGAGCATGTAATTTAAACATGAAATGAAAGCAGAAAACATGCACCTGACATTGTTACATTAGTGTTGCAACATTCTCGTCATCTTGCACTGAAAAATGGAAGGAAAAATGCACCAAGCAAAGTGTATTCAGTCCCCTGATGTGAAGCAAATTATCAACTCCACTGCACTTCAGCCTGGGCGACAGTGAGACTCCATGTCAAAAAAAAAAAAAAAAAAAAGGAAGAAAATGTGGTACATATATACTATGGAATACTATGCAGCCATAAAAAAGAATAAAATCATGTGCTTTGACCGGGCACGGTGGCTCACACCTGTAATCCCAGCACTTTGGGAGGCCGAGGCAGGCAGATCATGAGATCAAGAGATCAAGACCAGCCTGGCCAACATGGTAAAAACCCCATCTCTACTAAAAATACAAAAATTAGCCGGGCGTGGTGGTGGCAGGCGCCTGTAGTCCCAGCTACTTGAAAGGCTGAGGCAGGAGAATCACTTGAACCTAGGAGGTGGAGGCTGCAGTGAGCCAAGACTGCACCACTGCACTCCAGCCTGGGCGACAGTGAGACTCCATCTTAAAAAAAAAAAAAAAAAGAAAAAGACAGTGGCTCACGCCTGTAATTCCAGCACTTTGGGAGGCCAAGGCAGGTGGATCACGAGGTCAGGAGATCAAGACCACGGTGAAACCCCGTCTCTACTAAAAATACAAAAAAAAAAAAAAAAAAATTAGCCAGGTGCAGTGGCAGGCGCCTGTAGTCCCAGCTACTCAGGAGGCTGAAGCAGGAGAATGGCATGAACCCGGGAGGCGGAGCTTGCAGTGAGCCGAGGTCGTGCCACTGCACTCCAGCCTGGGCGACAGAGCAAGACTCCGTCTCAAAAAGAAAAGAAAAGAAAATGTGGTACATATGTACCACGGAATACTATGCAGACATAAAAAAGAACAAAATCAGTGGTCATTAGAGAAATGCAAATGAAAACCACAATGAGATACGGTCTCACGCGAATTAGAATACAATCATTAAAAAGTCAGGAAACAACAGATGCTGGAGAGGATGTGGAGAAATAAGAATGCTTTTACACTGTTGGTGGGAGTGTAAATTCATTGAACCGGCCGGGCGCGGTGGCTCACGCCTGTAATCCCAGCACTTTGGGAGGCTGAGGCGGGTGGATCATGAGGTCAAGAGATCGAGATCAGCCTGGCCAACATGGTGAAACCCTGTCTCTACTTAAAATACAAAATTTAGCTGGGTGTGGTGGTGCACACCTGTAATCCCAGCTACTCGGGAGGCCAAGGCAGGAGAGTTGCTTAAGCCTGGGAGGCGGAGGTTGCAGTGAGCCGAGATCGTGCCATTGCACTGCAACCTGGGCGACAGAGTAAGACTCCGTCTCAAAACAACAACAGCAACAACACAACAACAAAAACCTCTCTTCCTCCCCAGTTCCTCTGCATCTCATTATTGGGCCATGAGAAATAGCAGCCCCCACCTCAGTTGGGTACAGGAACACAGTCATAACGTATGTCTACGGTTTCCATTTCTCGTATGCACATTTACCAGGAAAAGGAAAAATAAAAAGCAAGACAGCTCGTGAGAACCTGGAGGAACATATTACCATTCCTCCAGCTCTTATCTTCCAAGATGCCATTAGACCCAGCCCAGCAAGCCTCCAACCGCCGTGTGACCAACAGTCTGTTGGATTTTAACCTCATGAAGAAAATGGACCTGACTGTGAATAGCTGGGCTACCGTCTTGGGGAGTCAGAGACAGGATGCAGAAATAGCTGGAACGTTTTACTGGGATTCTGCTAGGCTAAATGCTGGAGCAATCCATTACGATGGAAAGGTTCCAATTTAGGTGATTATTTAAGTAAGTAATGAGTATCCCGTTCAGCACGTTAAACTAGATATCTTTTTTTTTTTTTTTTTTTTTTCTGAGGCAGAGTCTTGCTCTGTCACCAAAGTTGGAGTGCGGTGGTGCGATCTCGGCTCACTGCAACCTCTGACTGTCTGGCTCAAGTGATTCTCCTGCCTCAGCCTTCTGAGTAGCTGGGATTACAGGCGCCCGCCACCACGCCTGGCTAATTTTGCATTTTTAGTAGAGATGGGGTTTCACCATGTTGGCCAGGCTGGTCTCGAACTCCTGACCTCATGGCCCGGCCTAGATATCCTTTTGTATTTGTTCTCCATGCTCAACTCTTCTGAAAAGCTGCCCTTCCGGGCTTTGACTCAATTCATGGGAAACAGGAAAAGCAAAACTAGTTGATCTTGCTACTAAGGCGGACTGAAGTTTCTTGTCTTCATTGCTAAACAACTTCCAAATCACTTTGACTCTTTGACCATATTCATGTCTATTTCCCATTAAAGCATCACAAAATAATGAAGGAATTCTTAGGAAGAGCCTCAAGATGCCCATGTGGCGTCTGTGTGGGCTGCCTCATCTGGTAGTTCAGGGACCCACTGGGCCATTTGAAGGGCAAAGAGAAAGCCCCAGGTCTCATGGCAGGAGACAAGACTTCCACAGTGGTGAGCCAGTAAGGAACAGGGCACACAGGCTGGGCGTGGTGGCTCACGCCTGCAATCCCAGCACTTTGGAAGGCTGAGACGGGCAGATCACGAGGTCAAGAGATCAAGACCATCCTGGCCACTGTGGTGTAACCCTGTCTCTACTAAAAATACAAAAATTAACCCGGCGTGATGGTGCCCAGCTACTCGGGAGGCTGAGGCAGGAGAATCACTGGAACCCAGGAGGCGGAGGATGCAGTCAGCCGAGATTGTGCCACTGCACTCCAGCCTGGGCAACAGAGTGAGACCCTGTCTTTCAAAAAAAGAAAAAAACAAAAAAAGAAACAGGGCACACAGCCCATCTGAATGCAAATCACATCCTAGTTCAAAATGCAACCAGACCTCATTATCTGTGTATTTTCTTTATTTTATTTTATCTTATATATATATATATTTTATTTCCATGTGTTATTGGGGAACAGGTGGTGTTTGCTTACATGAGTCAGTTCTTTAGTGGTGATTTGTGACATTTGGATGCACCCATCACCTGAGCAGTATACAGTGAACCCAATTAGTAGTCTTTTATCTCTAGTCTCCTTCCTACCCTTTCCTGCTGAGTCCCCAAAGTCCATCATATCATTCTTAGGGCTTTGCATCCTCCTAACTTGGCTCCCACTTATGAGGGAGAACAAAGGATGTTTGGTTTTCCATTCCTGAGTTACTTCACTTAGAATGATGGTCTCCAATTCCATCCAGGTTGCTGTGAATGCCATTCATTCATTCCTTTTCCTGGCTGAGTAGTATTCCACTTTATATATATATAGCGTGTGTGTGTGTGTGTGTATATATATATATATATATATATACACATACACAGCACTATATACATAGACATATATATATATTGTGTGTATATATATTCAGCACTATATATAGACATATAGTGTATATATACACACACAGTGTGTAAATATATATACACACACACTGTGTGAATATATATACACACACACTGTGAATATATATACACACACACTGTGTAAATATATTTACACACACTGTGTAAATATATATACACACACATTGTGTGTAAATATACACACAGTGTGTGTAAATATATATACTCACACACATTGTGTGTAAATATATATACTCACACACATTGTGTGTAAATATATATACTCACACACATTGTGTGTAAATATATATACACACACATTGTGTGTAAATATATATACACACACTATATACACACACACACACCCCCCCCACAGTTTCTTAAGCTCCCATTTATGAGGGAGAACATAGGATGATAGGATGTTTGGTTTTCCATTCCTGAGTTACTTCACTTAGAATGATGGTCTCCAATTCCATCCCGGTTGCTGTGAATGCCATTCATTCATTCCTTTTCATGGCTGAGTAGTATTCCATTATATACACACACACGAGATATATATATATATATATCTCGTGTGTGTGTATATATATACAGCACTATAGACATATGTATATATAGTGCTGTATATATAGACACATGTATATATTGTGTGTATATATATACTGTGTACATGTATATATGATATATAGTGTGTATATGTGTATAGTGTATATATATAGTGTGTATATATATAGTATGTGTGTGTATATGTGTGTGTGTGTGTATATATATATACATATATATATATACGTATATATATATATACACATATATATATATATATATATATATATATATATATATATATATACCAGAGTTTATCCACTCATTGATGGGCATTTGGGTTGGTTCCACGATTTTGCAATTATGAATTGTGCTGCTATAAACATGCGTGTGTGGCTGGGTGCGGGGGCTCACGCCTGTCATCCCAGCACTTTGGGAGGCTGAGGCGGGCGGATCACGAGGTCAGGAGATGGAGACCATCCCGGCCAACATGGTGAAACCGCGTCTCTACTAAAAATACAAAAACTAGCCGGGCGTGGTGGCGGGCGCCTGTAGTCCCAGCTACCCGGGAGGCTGAGGCAGGAGAATCGCTTGAACCCAGGAGGTGGAGGTTGCAGTGAGCTGAGATCGCGCCACTGCACTCCAGCCTGGCAATAGAGCAAGGCCGTGTCTACAAAAAAAAATGCGTGCATATCTTTTTCGTATAACGACTTCTTTTCCTCTGGGTGGATACCCGGTAGTGGCACTGTTGGATCACATGGTAGTTCTTTCAGTTCTTTAAAAAACTCCCCACACCGTTTCTCTAGTGGCTGTGTGAGTTTGCATTCCCACCGGCAGTGTAGAAGTGTTCCTGTTCCCTGTATCCACACCAACATCTGTTATTTTTTGATGTTTTGATTATGGCCATTCTTCGGGAGAAAGATGGTATCACATTGTGGTTTTGACTTGCGTTTCCCTGATCATTTGTGACGCTAAGCATTTTTTCATACGTTTCTTGGCCACTTGTCTTGAATAGACAGTTCTCAAAAGAAGATGTACAAATGGCCATTATCTGCACATTGTGAATTCATGAATTCCCCTGCTCACTAAAATTGATTTGTCACCCCAAATCAATAGTGAGGGTGCTTCCTGGGTCACTCACAGACACATACTGAATATGAAAAGATTTGAATCACCCAACACACACACACACACACACACACACACACACACACACACACTCCCAGCTGACATCTAACAAAGAAAGGCTGTGTCTTGTGACTTCAGCTCTCCCACTCTAAAAGACAAACAAATAAATAAAAGTGTTCTTTTTGCTTTCTCTTCACTGCCACACTTCTTGCCTTCTTACGCTTTTTCTTGGTGACTTTGCTGTTTAAAATGACCCCCAAGCAGGCCGGGCACGGTGGCTCACGCCTGTCATCCCAGCACTTTGGGAGGCCGAGGCGGGCGGATCATCTGAGATCCGGAGGTCCAGACCAGCCTGGCCAACGTGGTGAAACCCCGCCTCTACTAAAAATACAAAAATTAGCTGGAGGTGGTGGCAGGCACCTGTAATCCCAGCTACTCGGGAGGCTGAGGCAGGAGAATCACTTGAACCCGGGAGGCGGAGGTTGCAGTGAGCCGAGATCGCGCCATTGCACTCCAGCCTGGGTGACAAGAGCAAAACTCCATCTCAAAAGAAAAAAAAATCCATGCATAGTGTTGAAATACTATTTAGTGTTCTGAAGTGCAAAAAACTGATGTGTGTCTTGCAGACAAAATCCGTGTGTTAGAGAAGCTTTTCCCAGACATGAGCTATAGTGCTGTTGACTGTGACGTCAGTGGGAATGCGTCTACAATATCGATTCAGTAAGGTGTCTGGGAACAGAAACACACATACAACAAGCTCATCTATGGACTGGCGGCCAACAGTTTTATGAACAGTTGCTCACGGGAACCTAAGTCTATATTTCCCCTGGAATCCCTGGTGTCATATTTGCTAATTTAGTATTTGCTATGACTTTATAGACTCTCTCTACCCTAAATAATGAGAAAGTACTGCAATTGTAAAGAATTTTTTTTTTTTTTTTTGAGGCAGTGTCCTGCTCTGTCACCCAGGCTGGAGTGCAGTGGCATAATTTTGGCTCACTACAGCCTCAACCTCTCGGGCTCAAGGAATTCTCCCACCTTAGCCTCCCATGTAGCTGGGACTACAGGTGCGTGCTACCATGCCCAGATAATTTTGTTGTATTTGTACAGATGGGGTTTTGTCACGTTGCCCAGGCTGGTTAAGAATGTAAATGTTGGTACATTCTCCTACCGCAACTTAAAAAGACAGGGAACCAGCCCAAATGTCCACCAATGATAGACTGGATAAAGAAAATGTGGCACATAGACACCATGGAATACTGTGCAGCCATAAAAAGGATGAGTTCATGTCCTTTGCAGGGACATGGATGAAGCTGGAAGCCATCATTCTCAGCAAACTCACACAAGAACAGAAAACCAAACACCGCATGTTCTCATTCATAAGTGGGAGTTGAACAATGAGAACACAGGGACACAGGGAGGTGAATGTCACACACCAGGGCCTGTCGGGGCTTGGGGGGCAAGGGGAGGGAGAGCATTAGGGCAAATACCTAATGCATGCAGGGCTTAAAACCTAGATGATGGGTTGATGGGTGCAGCAAACCACCACAGCACATGTATACCTATGTAACAAACCTGCACATTCTGCACATATATCCCAGAACTTAAAGTATAGTTAAAAAAAAAAAGAAAATGGAATTTTGTTGTTGTTGTTGTTGAGACAGAGTCTCACTCAGTCCCAGGCTGGAGTGTGCAGTGGTGTGATCTTGGCTCACTGCAACCTCCACCTCCCGGGTTCAAGTGATTCTTCTGCTTCAGCCTCCTGAGTAGCTGGGATTACATGTGCACACCACTAGGCCTGGCTAATTTCTGTATTTTTAGCAGAGACGGGGTTTCACCATGCTGGGCAGGCTGGTCTCGAACTCCTGACCTCAAGTGATCTGCCTCAGCCTCCCAAAGTGCTGGGATGACAGGCATGAGCCACCGCAAGTGGCCTAAAAATAATTTTTTTTACAGAGGAATTAAGAACAAAGTTATCAGCAGTTTCTAAGTCAAGTCAAGGGACTTTCTGGCATTCCTCATGTGATTGGAGATACAAAGTGAAATAAATAAAGGTTCCTCTTTTTCAGGAGTGACTACCTAGACCATAGGACAGGTACACCATAGCGAGAGTTGTCTCTGACTAATTTAAGCTCAACAGGTGCAGGAGGTGCAGGGAAGGTTATGCCTATGGGGGAAAGTGTAGGTTGGAGATGGTAGGGGCTGTGTTCATCAGGTGGACCAGCAGAACAGGCAACACAGATAGAAAAGCACATGCAAATCCCAAGAGATACCCGACAGCCAGTTGTGTGGAAGAAAACCACCAGCTAAGATGCAGACTCAAAGGGGAAGAGGATGTGAAGGAACATACCTGGGGGAAGACTGAGCCTCCCAGAGCTCCTTGGGATTCATTCCCTGGAGACATTTTTTTTTTTTTTTTGAGATAGAGTTTTGGTCTTGTTGCCCAAGCTGGAGTGCAGTAGTGTGATCTCAGCTCACTGCAACCTCCACCTCCCAGGTTCAAGCGATTCTCCTGCCTCAGCCTCCTGAGTTGCTGCGATTACAGGAATGCACCACCACACCTGGCTAATTTTTTGTATTTTTAGTAGAGATGGGGTTTCACCATTTTGGCCACGCTGGTCTCGAACTCCTGACCTCAGGTGATCCGCCCACCTCGGCCTCCCAAAGTGCTGGGATTACAGCGTGAGCCCCTGCACCCGGCCGTATTCCCTGGAGACTTTTAAGCTCTCAGTGACTGCCTCAAATGTTCAGTATAGAATTCTCACCTTCACCTGCCTCCTGGAAGACAAACTCGAGAAAGACTCCCAGTAGGAAGGAACAACATCATTCCCTGAGCCGGAAAGCATCGCTTAAAATCATTTTCCCTTGTTCTCTATTCAAAATGTATGCAGCTGCCAGCTTTTCATCTGAGGCAGTGGCTGAAAAGCAGGATGTATCTGGAAATCCTGTCTGTGCACAGCAGCACACATGAGGTTGGAGGCCGCTCACTCCGCTGCCTGGGGCTTGTGCCGTCTTGAGTTCTAATGCCCGTGCTCATTAGGATGGACCAGCACAGCGTGGGCAGACACCGTGGAATGACAGGCATCCCTCCTGCAGCGTTCTGCCTGTCTTTAACAGGTGCTTCCAAAGCTCGTTCCCTAAGGCCATTAAGCAGCCCTCAGGTAACAGAGACACTTTGACTAAATTGGCCCAAGAAACGTACCCTTCATTCATTGTTGGAGCTCGATGCCAACTTAATTTTGCTTGTAGACCAGCACACAGCTCTGCAGAGCTGTCAAACACAGACACAGTAGAATGACATGTTCTCAAGCGTGCGTCTAAACTCATCTGTATGGAAAATGGAAGTCATAAGACCTCCTTTGCTGTGTTGTTTGAAAGATCAAATGCAAAATATGTGTGATTCCTTATACAACACTCTTGCACAGTGATGCATTTGTAAAGCCTATTTATTTTTGATGAACTCTTAAGAAAGCCTTGAAGACATTCTGTGTGCATGGTGTCTGCCCTTCTGCCCAGAAAATACACATCTGACATTTTATTTTCTCCATCTTCCAGCAATCTCATGGTAAAAAGTCATTGGAAGATCATACACCAATATGGCGCCCACTGGAAACCAGTCATGTGAACGTATATAATAAGCTTTGTCTCTTCTCTCCGTTCTGCACGTAGTAAAGCTCTGTCTTAACGTTGCAAAATCTGGGCAAATCTCCTGTAGATTCCAGAAGAAATACCAAGTCTGAGATGAAAGCTGTTGCTCCCTGGTGCCACCCTCAATGCCTTCTTTATGTCATTCTGACTTAGAACTTGCTAATGAGTTTTCCTCTTAATTTGTCTTTGAAAAATTACTTTTCATGGTGGTAAAATAGCATACCATAAAATGTACCATCTTGACCATTTTTTAAAGTGTACAGTGGCATTGAATACATTTATAGAGTTGTGGAACCATCAACACCATCCATCTGCAGAACTCTCTTCAGTTTGCAAAATGGAAACTTTGGACTCATTAACAAGCAACCCCCGGTTCGCTCTAGTCCCTAACCTACTGGTAAGTTTTGTCCTTGACACTATGATGGTGTGTTTTTTTTTTTTTTTTTGAGACAGAGTCTCGCTGGGTCGTCCAGGCTGGAATGCAGTGGTGCGATCTCAGCTCACTGTAACCTCTGCCTCCCAGGTTCAAGCGATTCTTCTGCCTCAGCCTCCTGAGTGTCTGAGACTACAGGTGCACACCACCACGCCTGGCTAATTTTTGTATTTTTAGTAGAGACAGGGTTTCACCATATTGGCCAGACTGGTCTCGAACTCCTGGCCTCGTGATCCTCCCGCCTTGGCCTCCCAAAGTGCTGGGATTACAGGTGTGAGCCACCGTGCCCAGCCTTTTGATGGTTTTATAAATAGCAACTGTGATGGCCTCTTACGGGAGGCTGCCCTGGCCGGAACCAAAACATTTTGTAATTCAAAGGTGCGTGGAGCCATTGAACAAAATTGTAGTGTGTACCAGGATCCCCTCGACTTACTGGAAGTTCTTCCTAGGGAGTATAGCTCCCCAAGAAAGATGAAGTTTCTCCAAACAGCCATACACTCCACCTCCTTGGCTTCCTGCCATGATCTCACTCCACCTTGAACTCTGATGTTCCTCTGAACTTCTCAGAAGACAGAAGGGAGTCTCCGGCCAGGTCAGGCTCCCGAAATAGGTCATCACAGTTGCTATGTATAAGACCATCAGAATTCCCACATGTTGTGGGAGGTACCTGGTGGGAGGTAATTGAATCATGGGAGCATCTATTCAAAAAGAAAATGAGCAAATGAGAACCTGCTTATGTCTGACAGTTACTGCCGAGCAAGTTCTCCCCTTCTGGGCCTCTTTCAATAATGCCAGGCAGGGTTTCCACACCACTGTTGCATGCATTGATTTCCTGAGTGCTCCAGTTGTAACACTCCGAGCTGAGCACACTGGATTTTAAACCTTGTCCCTGGTGGGGCAAATAGCATCTCCACTGCTGTGTGTAGACTGGGCGGTGAGTGTAGATGATAATATACCAAGGAAAGGTCTTCAGTCAGAAGGCTGTGGACCCATAATGTGAGAAATGAACAAGGAAAAGTGTGAAAAATGGCCACAAGGGACTGTGGATTTTTATCTACCCCAAGAGTAGTCCATAGAATTGATAATATGAATGTAGAATACATGTCTCATCTGAATGCATCGTCATTCATTTTTGCAAATAAAACACAAATATGTCATAAATTATGAGTAAAGGAATAGTAGCTTTTGGAGGCACTGTGCATGTTCTCATTCTAAGAATAGCATGATATCCTTCAATCATGTGGGGTTGCATAACTTTTTTTGCTATCCAAAAGGAGCCATGTTACCCAATATGGTTCAGAGTGATTGATGTGTGTGGAGCTGCTGGCAGCAGATGGTTCCTGAGATAAATTCTGATGTCGAGTGACGTGAGTTGTCATGGGCAGAATAACATCTGCTACAGGCAGAACTTCTTGATGCTGCAACCAGAAAATCCAGGGCAGGGAATGGTTTTAAAATATAGGCTTTATCATGATTTAGGTAGAGTAAGGTCAACAGACCAGGAGACGACTGCTCTTGAGAAGAAAGTTTTGTTACTTTCCCAAGAAGGTCCCAAGAAGATGGGGGTGTCATATCACGCAGGGCCCCATGGAGGAGCTCAGGAGACGGAAGGAGTAGGAAGAAAAAAATGGGTGAGAGGCTTTATTGCGGTTTCTGTAGGAAGGAACAGGTGAGGTAGGATGAGCAGGTTTAGGATTGCCTAGTTTGAATGATTTCAGCAAGCTCTGGGGGTACAGGAGCTGAAATGGTTTGGCTGTGTCCCCACCCAAATCTCATCTTGAATTCCTACTCATTGTGGGAGGTTCCTAGTGGGAGGTAATTGAATCATGGGGGCAGGTCTTTCCCGTGTCGTTCTTGTGATAGTGAATAAGTTTCATAAAATCTGATGGTTTTATAAGCGGGCATTTCCCTGCACAAGCTCTCTCTCTGCCTGCTGCCATCCATGAAAGACATGACTTGTTCCTCCTTGCCTTCCACCATGATTGTGTGGCTTGGAACTGTAAGTCCATTAAGTCTGTCTTTCTTTTGTAAACTGCCCAGCCTGTGGTATGTCTTTATAAGTTGCATGAAAACAGACTAATACCGGGGCTCTCCGTATTCGCCTGGTACCTGGCACTGGGGACCTTAGGGCAAGTGGAGAGTGGCCATGGGATGGGAGACTCCCACACAGAATGTTGTTGGGGTGTGGAATCTAGATTGATTGTTTTGCATATGAAAGACATGCTCATAGAGGAGTTGTTCATGTTCTCCAGAAATTGCCTAACCCTGAGATGGTCAGTTTCTCTAGAGGCAGCAAGACCCCCTAGTGTCAAAGCATCACATACAGAAATCAGGAAATGCAATAATGATAGGAACATTCCCCTGCCAAAGGACCCTTACACAGTCTTTAGCTGCTTTCAAGAGATGCTTGGTGGAGGGGGAGGGGGTCCTCAGCCCTACCAAATTGTGGAAGAATGCAGTCTTCTCAAAATACATGGACTTGTGCTTCTAAAGCGTAGCTCTAATGCATAGTGAGTCTTGCTGTATTAGTCCGTTTGGATGCTGCTGATAATGACATACCTGGGTATGTCTTCCAATTCTGTAAATCTGCCATGACTACAAATCCCCATGTCTCGTTTCCTAGCTGTTTTTAAAGAAAACCAGAGCCACAAAACACACAAAGCAATGGAAGCTATGCTGTTCTCCTTTACTTTCATAAATGCCTATTTCCACTCAGGAGAAGACGTACCTGATACAGACATACTTGGGAGACTGGGTAATTCATACAGAAATAGAGGTTTAATGGACACACATGCCATGTGGCTGGGGAGGCCTCACAATTGTGGCAGAAGGCAAGGAGGAGCAAGTCACATCTTACATGGATGACGGCAGGCAAAGAGAGAGCTTGTGCAGGGAAATGCCCTCTTATAAAACCATCAGATCTCGTGAGACTTATTCACTGTCATGAGAACAGCATTGAAAAGACCTGCCTCCATGATTCAGTTACCTCCTCCCACAGGGTCCCTCCCACAACACGTCGGAATTCAAGATGAGATTTGGGTGGGGACACAGCCAAACCATATCACTTGCTTTATCCCTCATTTTTGGAAACAGCTCATCATACACATATGGCTTTCCTCATGCAGCAGAAATGCCTGGCTTTTAATGACTGGATAGTAGGAGAATGACCTACCTTGACTATTGACTGGATTCCTTCCTAGTTGTGTCTGGGGAGATTTTCGTCATTCTTGTATCTTTTTACAACACCCTCAAAATCTGGAATTACTTTGGATGTCTCCAGATTTCTTTTCTTTTTTTATTTTCCCCAGAGTTTCGCTCTTCTCTCCCAGGCTACAGTGCAGTGGCATGATCTTGGCTCACTGCAGCCTCTGCCTCCCAGGTTCAAGCAATTCTCCTGCCTCAGCCTCCCAAGTAGCTGGGATTACAGGCACTCACCATTACGCCTGGCTAATTTTTGTATTTTTAGTAGAGACAGGGTTTCGCCATGTTGGCCAGGCTGGTCTCAAACTCCTGACCACAGGTGATCCAGCCACCTTGGTCTCCCAAAGTGCTGAGATTACAGGCATGAGCCACCGTGCCCATCCAGAAGGCTCCAAATTTCTTAGTGCTTCCTGAGCGAGAGGGTGTCTTCCCTAATGTGCTTCTCTCTTTTAAAGTAGTTTCTTGGAAACGTTACACTTCTGTAAATCTGCCATGACTACCACTCCCCGTGTCTTGTTTCCTAGCTGTTTTTAAAGAAAAGTAGAGCCACAAAACACACAAAGAAATGTAAGCCGTGCTGCTCTTTTTTTTTTTTTTTTTGAGATGGAGTCTCACTCTGTCGCCCAGGCTGGAGTGCACTGGCTCCATCTCGGCTCACTGCAAGCTCCGCCTCCCGGGTTCACGCCATTCTCTTGCCTCAGCCTCCCGAGCAGCTGGGACTACAGGTGCCCGCCACCAAGCCCAGCTAATTTTTTGTATTTTTGGTAGAGATGGGGTTTCACCGTGTTAGCCAGGATGGTCTCGATCTCCTGACCTTGTGATCTGCCCGCCTCGGCCTCCCAAAGTGCTGGGATTACAGGCGTGAGCCACCGCACCCGGCCTTGTGCTGCTCTTTTTGGCACTCATAAATGCCTCAGGCAGAACACTCAGAGATACCAAATCCCAGTTCAGTGAATGTTTCTGGTTGTTAAAGACAATGTCTCTGATCTAGTATAGCAACTTTGTTCCATGGAGAAGAAAACAGAGTTCACATTTCTGAGCTTCCTGCCTAGGCTGCCTGGCAGGAATGAGTTGGTCAGCTCTGAGGGTAATTTCCTGTGCTAAGTAGAGTGGGCTGAATAATGAGCCCTAAAGATATCAAAGTCTTAATCCTTAGAGCCTACTAATCTCTGACCTCACAGGAAAACATGCACTTTGCAGGTGTGGTTAAATTAAGAATCCTGACATGGAGGGATTATACTGGATTATCCAGGGGGACTCCATAGAATCAAAATTGTCCCCTTTTTTTTTTTTTTATTGAGACAGAGTCTTGCTCTGTCTCCCAGGCTGGAGTGCGATGGCACGATCTCGGCTCACTGCAACCTCCACGTCCCGGATTAAAGCAATTCTCCTGCCTCAGCCTCCCTAGTAGCTGGGATTACAGGCACCTGCCATCATGCCTGGGTGATTTTTGTGTTTTTGTAGAGATGAGGTTTTACCATGTTGGCCAGGCTGGTCTCAAACTCCTGACCTCAGGGGATCTGCCCACCTCAGCCTCCCAAAGTGCTGGGACTACAGGCATGAGCCACCATGCCTGGCCTCAAGGGGTCTTCATAAGAGGAAAGGAGAAGGAGATTTCACACAGAAGAGGAAAAGATCAATGTGAAGATGGAGACAGAGACGGGAGTGATGTGGCCACAAGCCCAGGGATGCCTGGAGCCCCCGGGAGCTGGGAGAGGCAGAGAGGATCCTCCCGTAGAGCGTCCAGAAGCAACTGGATATAATAGTAATGCATTGAGCAGTGGCCCCCAAAATATATGTCCATGTCCTGACTCCCAGGACCTGTGAATGCAACCTAATGTGGAAATACAGTCTTTGCAGATGTAATTAAGTAAAGGATTTTGAGATGAGATCATCCCAGATTAAGGTGGGTCCTATATCTCATGACAGGTGTCTTTCTAAAAGACAGAAGAGGAGACATAGACACAAAGTAGAAGGCCATGTACTGAGGCAGAGACTGGAGTGATGTAGCCACAAGCCAAGGGATGCCTGGAGCCCCCAGGAGCAGTGAGAGGCAGGAAGAATCCTCCCCTAGAGCCCCCAGAAGGAACCAAACACAACTGCAATGGATTGAATGGTGATCCCCAAAAGATCTGTCCATGTCCTAACCCCTAGAACCTGTGAATAGGACCTCGTTTGGAAATAGCGTCTTTGCAGATGTGATCAAATTGAGGATGTTGAGATGAGATCATCCTGGATTGGGTGAGCTCTAAATGCAATGCAGGTGTCCTCCTAAGAGACAGAAGAGGAGAGACAGACACACAGGAGAAGGCCACGTGGAGACGGAGGCAGAGACTGGAGTGATGTGGCCACAAGCCCAGGGATGCCTGGAGCCTCCAGGAGCTGGGAGAGGCAGGAAGGACCCTCCCCTAGAGCCTCCGGAGGGAGCACACAGCCCTGCCCATGCCTTGATCTCACGCTTCTGGTTGCCAAGACTTGGAGAGAGTACATTGCTGCTGTTTAAAGCCACAGAACTTGTAATCATTTGTTAAAGTGGACTCAAGAAACAACTACAATGGCTTCCCACTGGGGTTGATGTCACCAACAGGCACAGAAGTTGAGCAGCATGAGAGACTGGTCAAGACAAACCAGAGCCTTGGGGAAGGGAGTGTAGGTGGTGAGTCAGCGTAGGGAGGACAGGCTGTGAATGTTCCAGCACAGACATTGCCTCTGCCCAACGTGCCGAGGTGGCCTCCTTACATCCTCCCTCTCTGAGGTTTAGGGTTCTTACCAACTCTAGCCCACTAATAACTCCCATCACTTGAGTGAATTGTTCGGGGGAATAATCTGCTTTTGCTTTTCTTTTCTTTTTTCTTTTGAGTTTTGAGACGGAGTTTCACTCTTGTCGCCCAGGCTGGAGTGCAATGGCACGATCTCGGCTCACCGCAACCTCCGCCTCCTGGGTTGAAGCGATTCTCCTGCCTCAGCCTCCCGAGTAGCTGGGATTACAGGCACATACCACCACACCCAGCTAATTTTGTATTTTTAGTGGATACTGGCTTTCTCCATCTTGGTCAGGCTGGTGAACTCCCGACCTCAGGTGATCCGCCTGTCTTGGCTTCCCAAAGTGCTGGGATTATAGGCGTGAGTCACTGCGCCCAGCCTCTAATCTGCTTTTTCTAAGCTGAATAGGTAGAACAATAATTTATAAGATGTTACAATAATTTATAAGAAATATTTTCCTTTCAGGCCGGGTGTGGTGGCTCACACCTGTAATCCCAGCACTTTGGGAGGCCGAGGCAAGCGGATCACCTGAGGTCAGGAGTTCAAAACCAGCCTGACCAATATGGTGAAACCTTGTCTCTACTAAAAATACAAAAATTAGCCAAGCGTGGTGGTGCGTGCCTGTAATTCCAGCTACTTGGGAAGTTGAGGCAGGAGAATCACTTGAACCCAGGAGACGGAGGTTGCAGTGAGCCGAGATTACACCATTGCACTCTGGCCTGGGTGACAGAGCAAGACTTAGGAAAAAAAAAGAGAGAGAGAGAGACAGAAAGAGAGAGAAGAGAGAGAAGGAAGGAAGGAAGGGTGTGAGGGAGGGATGGAGGAAGGAAGGAAGGGAGGGAGGAAGGGAGAGAGGGAAATATTTTCCTTTCAAGGTGATGACCTGAATCAGTAAAATAGAGAAAGTATTGGAGAGAAAAGACCATCATCTGATAGATGAGTTTTCTATGCTGCCAAAGCAAACTGCCACAAACTGGGGTGCTTAAAACAACAGAGATTTGTCCTTTCCAGTTCTGGAGACCCAGAGTCTGAGATCAAGTTATCTCACAGCTGTGCTTCCTCAGGAGGCTCTCGGGGAGGATCTTTCTTGCCTCTCTCCGTTTCCAGGGGCTCCAGGCATCCCTGGGCTTGTGGCTGCATCACTCCAGTCTCTGCCTCCATCTCCACATATCTTTCTCCTCTGTGTCTGTGTCTCCTCTTCTGCCTCTTAGAAGGACACCTGTCGTTGCATTTAGGGCTCACCCTAATCCAGGATGACCTCATGTTAACAGGATGACCTGCAAAAGCTCTATTTCCAAATAAGGTTACATTCTGAGGTTCCAGGTGGATGTGGATTTATTTTTTCTTTTTCTTTTTTTTTTTTTTTTTTTGAGACAGTTTCGCTCTTGCCCAGGCTGGAGTGCAGTGGCGCGATCTCAGTTCACCGCAACCTCCGCCTCCTGGGTTCAAGTGATTCTCCTGCCTCTGCCTCCCAAGTAGCTGGGATTACAGGCGCCCGCCAGCACGCCTGGCTAATTTTTTGTATTTTTAGTAGAGACGGGGGTTTCATCATGTTGGTCAGGCTGGTCTTGAACTCCTGACCTTGTGATCCACCTACCTCGGCCTCCCAAAGTGCTGAGATTACAGGTGTGAGCCACCATGCCCAGACTCTCCTCTGTTTCTGTATCTCCTCTTCTGCCTCTTAGAAGGACACCTGTCATTGCATTTAGGGCCCACCCTAATCCAGGATGACCTGCAAAAGCTCTATTTCCAAATAAGGTTACATTCTGAGCTTCCAGGTGAACATGCGTTATTTTTTTCTTAGGAGGAGCACTATTCAGTACAGTAAACTCTCCATGAGGGTGGCTTTTGGGGGCTCACGGCCTCAAACCTATCTTACGCTCATCAATAAAAACAAAAACATATATGACTGGGCGTGGTAGCGCATGCCTGAAATCTCAGCACTTTGGGAGGCCGAGGCGGGCAGATCACGAGGTCAGGAGTTCGAGACCAACCTGACCAACATGGTGAAACCCTGTCTCTACTAAAAATACAAAAATGAGCCTGGCTTGGTGGCACGTGCCTGTAGTCTCAGCTACTCATGAGGCTGAGGCAGGAAAATCGCTTGAACCTGGAAGGTGGAGGTTGCAGTAAGCCAAGATTGTGCCACTGCACTCCAGCCTGAGCGACAGAGTGAGATTCCGTCTCAAAAAAACAAAAACAAAAAAACCATATATATATAAGCTGACTTTGCTATAACTGTCATCCCCCCAGTGCAGGGAGTCAAGACCACAGTTGCAAGATGGCGGCATGCAGACACAGACATCTGCACATGTGATACCGCCACCTCTGGTCGTTCCTAGCATAAGAAGTTGTATCCGGTTGGCTTCATCTGCCCTGAATGCCTAACTATGATCTCCAATGCATGTGTCCATCCAAGAAAGAAGTCCCCATCTACCTAGAATGGGTCGATATTGAGAATCTTCAAGCCACAAAGATGCGTCTCATCTCTGAACATTTGGAAACACATTTGAGGCCCAGAATACTTCTTAACAAACATTCAAAGCAGTGTATGGAAATTGTACCCAAACTAGAATTGTGTAAATTGAAGAGTTTGTTTTTTTTTAATCATCTCTAGCCAGCTAGCTGGAGACATGTCAATGCTTTGTGAGGAACATCGTCTATGCACCTTTCTTTTATTCTTATTTTATTTTAGAGATGGAGTTTCACTCTTGTCACCCAGGCTGCAGTGCAGTGGCGTGATCTCAGCTCACCGCAACCTCCGCCTCCCAGGTTCGAGCAATTCTCCTGCCTCAGCCTCCCAAGTAGCTGGGATTACAGGCATGCGCCACCACACCCACTAATTTTTGTACTTTTAGTAGAGACGGGGTTTCGCCATGTTGGCCAAGCTGGTCTCGAACTCCTGACCTCAGGTGATCCACCCACCTCTGCCTCCCAAAGTGCTGGGGTTACAGGCGTGAGCCACCTTGCCCGGCCCAGAATACTTCTTAACAAACACTCAAAGCCTTGTATGGAAATTGTACCCAAACTGTAATTGTGTATATTGAAGGGTTTTTTTTTTTCATCATCTCTAGCCAGCTAACTGGAGACATGTCAACACTTTGTGAGGAACATGGTCTAGGCAGCTTTCTACTTGCAGCTTATGACTTGGAAGAGAGCCTCACTGTGCTCAAGAGAGCTCTTGCCTAATGATGCATTTGCTGCCTCAGGAGGCGAGGGTTTGTTGGCTTGCATAAGCACATCTTAGAGTCCAGGAATTTTGATGAGAGAGTCTTCATTATCCTTGGGAACAAGTCTCCTCCAAAAGTTCTGAACCAACAGTGCTAGGAATCATTTCAGCCTCTGTTTCATCGTTGACGTTGAGTTGTAGGACCATCCAACGAAACATCATTAAGCGGCTTTACTTTGCCAGGTGGATGACTGATAGGTGCAAATCCCAGGTACAGGATGATTCCCACACAGGTGGATCTTTTCTGGCTTAGACAAACAGGGAGAGGTGAGATGAAGGGACAATTTCAACAACACTCATCTCTTTGGGATGATATCACCCCCGTAGCTATCATGCCCAGTGGCTCCATGACCACCATGAGAATTACTTTTCACCAGCTCCTAAAGCTCTGAACCTGTGCTGTGGCAAACATCGGGGGCAAGCTTCATGTTCTGTGTGTTGGCTGATTGCACAAGAAGCTAATATCATCGGGAGTGTATTCTGAGGATCTGCCTTGTGTCTGCCATCGTCTCACAAAGCATTACATTGTAGAGGAATCAGAATAGCATGAAACCACCAGGCAAGTTGAAGCAGAGTCATACGCAAAACTCAAGACACCAGCACACATGGCATTGCTAACTTTTTCTCCACCCAGCAAAGCTCATTCTCTCAGGGACAAAGTCAGAGAGAAAAGGTGGGGACTTTCCACGGTTGGGTAATTGGATTTAGAAAGTCACAAATTTCTGCAGGGTAATAGAAGCAATTCATCACCTGTGAGGTTGGCATCTCTGAGTCTCCGCTTGTCAGCACCCGGACTTGCTGCCAACTCCTGCTCATTCACACCTCCTGCTTGACTCCCCCACCTCAACCTCCTCAACAGAACTTGCATTTTCAAGATCAAAAAAAATTTCTGCAGAACAGAACTAACTTCATGGCAGGCATTTCTCCATCTGTGCAGCAAAGGAAGGTTCCACTAGACAATGGTTAGCCTTTCCTTGCAGGCTTGGAATCCTTTCACTGTTACCTGTTTATTTAGAGCTGAGAAGCAGAATATAATCAAGGCTCAGACCATTTTTGGAGACAGTCAGAGGCTCAGGACTGCAGGAAAGAGTGAGTTGAGAATCTCTAAATAGGCAGTTGTTATGCCCCACATAGACAGAAATGAAAAGAAAGGGTTGGGCACAGTGGATCATGCCTGTAATCCCAGCACTTTGGGAGGCTGAGGTGGGTGAATCATGAGGTCAGGGGTTCAAGACCAGCCTCTGGCCAACATGGTGAAACCCCGTCTCTTCTAAAAATACAAAAAAATTAGCTGGGCATGATGGTGGGTGCCTGTAATCCCAGCTACTCAGGAGGCTGAGGCAGGATAATTGCTTGAACCTGGGAGATGGAGGTTGCAGTGAGCTGAGATCGCACCACTGCACTCCAGCCTTGGTGACAGTGTGAGACTCTGTCTCAATAAAAAATAAAAATATAAAATAAAAATAATATAATAAAAAATAAAAAATGTAGTAAAAAAAATTAAAAAATAAAATAATAATAAAAAAGAAAAGACCTGCAAGAACAGGAGAAGAACCCATAAAGTTAATTTCCCCAGTGAGTGAGGAGGAGAGAGTAGTAAACCAGGCAGAAGTCAAACCTGAAGGGAACATCAATAAGCATGCCAACGCTTCATTTGGTATCTTAATTTTATCATGTATTGATTTTTCCTGAGCATTTTCTAGGTAGCCTTTTCTTTCCATCTCTCCCTGCTAAACAGTGATATTCTTGGCCTTTCTAATGAATCATTTTGACATGGAGACGTTGTCAATACCAGTTGGTGCAGCTTTTAACATTTTGGTCATACGCCAATCATGAACACACTCAAAAGTCTTGGACATAATGAAAAGCATGAGAGTATTAAGAATTGTCGATAAAGTCTCTATGTAGCTTTTGGATGCTCAAAATGCCATACTTCTCTCAGAATCCAAGGAGAATTAAAAGGATTGATGGGTTTAAACATTTCTGTATTTATTTTTCTCTCCCCTTTCAACTGTACTCTGCCCAAGGTCTGCATTCGGGTGCAGACCTTTGGGACATACACATATCCCTAAAAATATGTCTATGTCCTAAACCCTCATAACCTGGGAAATGGGACCTCATGATGGAAAAGGGTCTTTGAAGATGCAGTTAAGGTAAAGATCGCAAGATGAGATCATATAGTGGGTGTGACCTCCAATGACAAGTGTCATTATAACTGATAGATGAAAAGACACAAAATGAAGGTCATGTTGGAGAGAAAAGCAGAAATCAGGGTGATACGTCTACAAGCCAAGTGTATTAGTCTGTTTTCACACTGCTGTTGAAGACATACCCGAGACTGGGCAATTTACAAAAGAAAGAGAGATTTAATGGACTTACAATTCTATGTGGCTGGGGAGGTCTCACAATCATGGCAGAAGACAAGGAGAAGCAAGTCACATCTTACATGGATGGCAACAGGCAAAGAGAGAGCTTGTGCAGGGAAACACCACCTTATAAAACTATCAGATCTCATGAGACTTATTCACTATCATGAGAACAGCATAGAAAAGACCTGCCCCCATGGTTCAGTTACCTCTCACCAAATCCCTCCCACAACACGTGGAAATTCAAGATGAGATTTGGATGGGGACACAGCCAAACCATATCACCAAGGAATACCTGGGGCCACTAGAAGCCAGGATATAGCCATGAGACAGATTCCTCTCTTGCAACCCTCATAACGAACCATGCTTCCCAACACCTTGATCTGAGACTTCTGCCTTCCAGAACTATGAGAGAACATATTTATATTGTTGTAAACCACCCAATTTGTATAAATTTGTTACAGCAAGTTCAGGAAAGGAACTCAAGTTCCAACCCAAATTTTTCTCTTTGAAGATCCTCTGAACCCCATATACATCATTCCCCCATCTGAAATACCGCCTTTATTGTACTTTTTTTTTCCAAACTTTTTTTGTGGGTTTATTTGGGTTTTTTTGTTTGTTTGGTTGGTTTTTTTGAGATGGAGTTTCACTCATGTTGCCCAAGCTGGAGTTCAATGGCACGATCTCGGCTCACTGCAACCTCTGCCTCCGAGTTCAAGAGATTCTCCTGCCTCAGCCTCCCAAGTAGCTGGGATTGCAGGAGCACGCCACCATGCCTGGCTAATTTTTTTGTATTTTTAGGAGAAACAGGGTTTCACCATGTTAGCCAGGCTGGTCTCGAACTCCTGACCTCAGGTCATCTGCCTGCCTTTGGCCTCCCAAAGTGCTGGGATTACAGGCGTGAGCCACCGCACCTGGCTGTCGTACTTCTATTCCAGACATGAGATGGGTCCCTTATACATAGGTGATTTAAGTATTGTTCATTCATGAATGTCAACCTCTTGAGGAGAATGCAGTTTTAGTTCTTCTCTCCTAACCATGCCTCACTCATGGGAAGGGATAAACAAATGTCCGTGCAGAAAATAAATTGGCAGATGCTCAGAGTGTGATGTGTCCTGTGTAATAATGAACCTTTGCCACTGACAGAAATCTAGCAGTCACAAGCAATTAATGTTTTCTGTGAGTCGTCCAAGGCTAATTTTAACCTCAGTAACAGTCTCCTGCCAGATCTGATAAGTTTTCTCCTCTGCTTCTGACTCTCTGGTTCCTGATGGCAGTTGGCTATGTGGAAGCTGGCATCTTGAGTACATTAACAATTTCCGGAAACTGAACTGCATAGCTGATGAATATGAATGACCTTCTCATGGGGTTATTGGATAATGCTAATACAATCTGACATTTTGTAGTTGTGATGGGTGGTCTCCATTTTACCCAGACGGAAAAGGCTCTGCTTTGCAACCTGGTGATAGACAAGAGAACAGACACCTAAACACACAGATGAAAATAATTGGAGAGATGCATCATGAAACATCCCCATTTATATTTACAGGAAGAGCTTACTGTGAAACTGTCTCAAATGGCTCCAGTTGGAATGTCCATTTTGAAGAACAAAGAGCACTCTAAATTCTCTTTCTTGAGAAAGATCTTGCATATTGGAGGCAAAAGCAGGCACCGTATCTCCATGGAAATATTCTGTATTTTGCCTGTTATCTGGATGCTGGACAATAGAACATAAAATTCACCAAAGCGACTTTTCCTCTTGGGATATTCATTCATTCATACTTAACTTGCCTTAGTGAATGTTGAGAAGGCCATTGAGATCCATCTGCCAGACTCAATGGAGAGTTAGGTCAGGCTGGCGTGGGGAGACTATCTGTTTATGTCGATTACACTCTCCCCAGGTGACCTCAGTAGATAGATCATCATCTGCTTCCTGCAATGATGGGGAAATATTGGTTACGATGGACTGTCTATGAGATTTACAGTTTATGAAAATTGGTAAGGTAAAGGTGACACATACTTGGGGACTCAAGATTTGAAAAGAGCAGTTACAAAGGGATTCAAAAAGAAATAAGAATGTTGGGCCTGGTGTGGCGGCTCACGCCTGTCATCCCAGCACTTTAGGAGGCCGAGGAGGGTGGGTCACTTGAGGTCAAGCATTCGAGACCAGCCTGGCCAATATGGTGAAACCCCATCTCTACTAAAAATACAAAAATTAGCCAGGCGTGGTGGTGGGTGCCTGTAATCCCAGCTACTCAGGAGGCTGAGGCAGGAAAATCGCTTGAACCAGGGAGTCAGAGGTTGCCGTGAGCCGAGATTGCACCACTGCACTCCAGCCTGGTGACAGAACAAGACTCTGTCCCCGCCCCCCCCCCCAAAAAAAGGAAAAAAAAATTAAATGATAGGGCACCCTGTCAAGGTAGACAAAATGTGATTCTGATCATAAAATGGGGAAGAAAAGTTGGCATATAGTTTGGTCTCTATGGGTCTCTTTGAATATTTTCCAGTTTGAGAATTAGACTGTGGCATCTTCAATACTTTTCCAAAATGATTTTAAACTGTATTGTTAGGGCCATGTCTGATGTCAGATATAAAATCACTAGCTGGGATGCCGTCTCATAAAATTTCAACATCTGAGGGTATCATTTGAGTGTCTGTCCCCTTGATGTTTTGTGTCATCTTCAACTAGGACAGAAATTTGAAATATTCACTGGTTTCAGACATTCACCTCATTGACTTCATTTTTTACTGGATGGATTCTACCTGATTTTTTTTTAAGTAAGCTAGAAAAGAAATAGGAATGGATATCTCATATACCTTTGCACTCAACTCTCTCTTGTTAAAATTAAACAAACCATGGGCACGTGGTACGATTCCTAAGACCCAGTGAGTTGTCTACAATCCTGACTGTGCCTTACACAATTTAGGGACCTAATCCTTTTTTCGCAGTTTCTAAGAGCAAGAGTTCATCGCCTGCGTTTTCTTCTTCATTGTGAAGTCTATGGTAGCTTAGTTTCCTTGGTACTCAAGCCCAGTCAGCTAAGCTCATACTCATGTCCTTTCTCCTTTGAACCACACGGCTCTATTTCCTTCCACAGCAACCCACTGTGACTAAGCTCATACTCATGCCCTTTCTCCTTCGAACCACACGGCTCTATTTCCCTCTACCGCAGCCCATTGCACCATTGCAGTCGTTTATTTTGGGATCCGCAGATTTTCCCGAAAGCTAAAATAAGCCTTCACGAAGCAACGAGAAACCCATGAGAAGTAATTGACAGTGGGCTGTTTGTCAGACTTCTGGCAGCTCAGAGCAACTTCAGTTTCTGCCACTCGTTTTTGGAAGAAGCTCACACATCATTCTTATGTGTGGGATTTCTTGTTGAAGTCTGTGGCTTTGTTTTAGGGATGCATTCACGACACAACTGGAAGAAATCTTCTAACTGTTTACAAGCAATGCAACACCCAGAGCATGAAACCTAACACCCCTCTTGGAAATTCATACTATGACCTCATAATGCTAATGAGCCAGAAGTTCTTGCTAAGCTCTAAACTAAAACCATGTCGATAGTTGCAGTTTAGTGTCCAGTGAAAACTGCATTTATTTTATTTCATTTTTGAGATGGAGTCTCGCTCTGTCACCCACGCTGGAGTGCAATGGCGTGATCTCAGCTCACTGCAACCTCTGCCTCCCGGGTTCAAGCAATTCTCCTGCCTCAGCCTCCCAAGTAGCTTGGATTGCATGCGCCCACCACCACGTCCAGCTAATTTTTGGGGTTTCACCGTGTTAGCCAGGATGGTCTCGATCTCCTGATCTGGTGATCCGCCCGCCTTGGCCTCCCAAAGTTCTCGGTTTACAGGCGTGAGCCACCGCGCCCAGCCCTGGACTGTCCTTAAGAGTACAGATCTTTTATTTTTTTCTTTCCTTTTATTTTTTTGAAACAAGGTCTTGCTCTGTCACCCAGGCTGGAGTGCAGTGGCGTGACCTTGGCTCTTTGCCATCTCCACCTCCCAGGCTTAAGCAATCCTCCTCCCTAAGCCTACCAAGTAGCTGGGACTACAGGTGCACACCACCATGCCCAGCTAATGTTTGTAATTTTTGTAGAGATGAGGTCTCGCTGTGTTGCCCAGGCTGGCCTCGAACTCCTGGGCTCAAGCGATCTGCCCTCCTCAGCCTTCCAAAGTGCTGGGATTACAAGCATGAACTATGGCACCCAGCCAGTCTTCTCTATAAATACCAATTTGGCTTGAAATTTTCACCACAAAGTCAATGTGTACCAGTTTTTCACTTATTTATCATCATCATTATAATTTTGCTTTGACCTCCAGTTTCCAGACCTGGTCAGGAATACCCCTGCTCTTTTTTTTATTTTTTATTTTTGATGGAGTCTCGCTCTCTCGACCAGGCTGGAGTGCAGTGGCGCAATCTCAGCTCGCTGCCACCTCTGCCTCCCGGGTTCAAGTGATTCTCCTGCCTCAGCCTCCCGAGTAGCTGGGACCACAGGCGCCCGCCACCACGCCAGGCTAATTTTTTGTATTTTTAGTAGAGACGGGGTTTCACTGTGTTAGCCAGGATAGTCTCCATCTCCTGACCTTGTGATCTGCCTGCCTTGGCCTCCCAAAGTGCTGGGATTACAGACATGAGCCACCACGCCCGGCCTCCTGTTCTTATTAGTAAGCCTGTTTGATTCAGTCCATCCTGAAATTAAATGTAGCATCAGTTAGCTCAATCAGAGCTCAGTCAGAAGGAACAATTCAATATCGTGAAATCTCCAGTGCTCCCGAGCCATGAAACCTGCACGAAATGGTATTTATCAGCATAAAGTCACCAGAAACCAGCATATGATCCTCAGTTTTGGAGGCTTACAAGCTAGGATTGATAAGAATAGTATAGCCATCAACTGTTGTATCAGCTTACAAGAGACCAACTTCTGACCCACGCATTACTCGTTAATTTGGTGCCATCCAGCCAGGGTGGTCATACACTCTCTTGGGAGACAGATTTGTCTGGGGCGCTACATATGACCAGAGAAGAAGTTAGTGTCAATAGAGGTTGAGGTGAAATAAATGGTATCAGGTTGGTACAAAAAGAATTGTGGTTTTTGCCATTGAAAGTAATGGCATATACATATGCCACATCAATATATGTATAAAAGATAAAACAATACAATATTCACTCAGCAGAATATCATTGAATTGTAAAAATAACTCAATATCCTCAAAGGGGCCGGGCGTGGTGGCTCACGCCTGTAATTCCAGCACTTTGGGAGGGTGAGGCGGGCAGATCACCTGAGGTCAGGGGTTCGAGACCAGCCTGGCCAACATGGCGAAACCCTTTGTCTACTAAAAATACAAAAATTAGCTGGGCATGGTGGCACACACCTGTAATCCTAGCTACTAGGGAGGCTGAGGCAGGAGAATCACTTGAACCCAGGAGGCGGAGGTTGCAGTGAGCCGAGATTGCACCACTGCACTCCAGCCTGGGCGACAGAGCAAGACTTCATATCAGAAAAAAACTCCTCAAAGGATCATGTGATTACATTTACATATACATATCTATATATATATACACACACACATATACACACACAAATATATATAAATGACACATGAACATATGTATATAAGATTTATATATTCTTGTAATATACTCTAATAAAATATGATATAGTTTGTGTATTATGTATATATTGATTGCATGCATATATATATGTATATAGATTGGTGATATATAGATAGATACATAGATACATAATCACATGAGCCTCTGAGGCTATTGAGTTAACATATGTAACTTATTAACATCCATCATATGAATCCTCTTCTAATTAGCACAGCCTCTCGACACACTCAGAAAGATGTAATTAACTGGATTCCCACTCGTGAAATAACAGTCATGTTCCCGCCTACCTCCGGGAGACTAGAGCCAGGTCCCTCGATGGGAGTTTTGGGTTTTCCTCAACTCTTTCATTAGATAGTTCTAGAAAGTCCTCAACTCTTCTGTTAGTTCTAGAAAGTCCTCAACTCTTCCATTAGACAGTTCTAGAAAGTCCTCAACTCTTCCGTTAGACAGTTCTAGAAAGTCCTCCACTCTTCCGTTAGACAGTTCTAGAAAGTCCTCCACTCTTCCGTTAGACAGTTCTAGAAAGTCCTCCACTCTTCCGTTAGACAGTTCTAGAAAGTCCTCCACTCTTCCGTTAGACAGTTCTAGAAAGTCTTCAACTCTTCCGTTAGTTCTGGAAAGTCCTCTACTCTTCCGTTAGTTCTAGAAAGTCCTCAATTCTTCCATAGACAGTTCTAGAAAGTCCTCAACTCTTCTGTTAGACAGTTCTAGAAAGTCCTCCACTCTTCCGTTAGTTCTAGAAAGTCCTCAACTCTTCCGTTAGACAGTTCTAGAAAGTCTCTTCGTCTGCATTCACCATTCAGTTGCATCCATTTGGTGAGACAATGTGTGGTTTAGTTCGCGCGCAGGCTTATTTTTCGTATTATCAAGCTCTTTAGGGGAGAATGCTGCACGGATGCACTTATCTGAAGCTTGATCCTGAAAAGACTGTAGAAGTGATTTATCTCTTGCTTTCCCAGACTGAAAGTCATTTCAGACCCCCCACTCCTCTGTAAGAACCAGCTCAACCTCCTCATTCACGTCCACCTAACCATTTATAAGCAAAGAAATTTGAATAGTGTTGGAGGAGAAAAGCTAGAGGAAAGTCAGACATTTTTCCTCTAGCTTTTCAGCTCTAACACTGTTCAAAGATGGTGGTTGTTGACTACAATGTTAATTCAGAGGGCAGCAGATCATGGTGGTTGGCTCCCAACTACTCAAATCTTTAAAGTATCTTTTCCCTCAAGAGAAGTCAGAAACTTTGTTTGCACTTCATATAGTTTGGCTGTGTCCCCACCCAAATCTCATCTTGAATTGTAGCACCCATAATTCCATGTGTGATGGGAGGGACCCAATGGGAGGTAATTGAATCATGGGGGCGGTTTCCCCCTACTGTTCTCGTGGTAGTGAATAAGTCTCATTGAGATCTTATGATTTTATAAGGGGATTCCCCTTTCACTTGGTTCTTATTCTCTCTTGCCTGCCACCATGTAAGACCTGCCTTTTGCCTTCCACCATGATTTTGAGGTCTTCTCAGCCATGTGGAATTGTGAGTCTATCAAACCCCCTTTTCTTTATAAATTACCCAGTCTCGAGTGTGTCTTTATCAGCAGCATGAAAATGGACTAATACAGCACTGAAGCCTCTGCATGCTAATTTCATAAACTCCGCACAGCTTGCATGATGGCCAACAGCTTTCTCTGCTGGTGTAGTTTGCCTCACCATTTTGGACATTGTATCAGAGAAACATTTTACTCATTCTTTTTGTTTCAGAACTAAATTAAAAACTAAGCTTCAAAATGAGCTGATGGATTTCTGGAGCCAATCACAGGCTTTGTCATAATCCATACATTTGGCTTGTAGGGGGTCAGTTTCCTGTAGAAATTCAAATTTGTCTTAAACACACCTTCGTGGATAAGTCTTGTGTACTCACACAATAATTCTCTCTCTCCTCTCTCTGGTTTATACAAAAAAAATTCCTTATAACACAATACCTCCTCCTCTTGTCCACATAGGCTATCAGCTTATACTGTCTTAGAAACACACTGATTTCTTCGAAAGAAACAAAGGATAAGAACGTACTCATTGCTACCCATGAAGAGAGGAGCAAGTTTAAAACACTTGTGAAAATTAGGTGTGTTCTCTATAAGTTTTCTATTATGTTCAGGGGTACACATGCAAGTTTGTTATGTAGGTAAACTGGGATCATGGGAGTTTGTTGTACAGATTATTTCTTCATCCAGGTATTAAGCCTAGTACCCATTAGTTATTTTTTTCTAATCCTCTCCCTCCTCCCATCTTCTTCCCTCCAATAGTTAGGACATGCTCTGTCCTTCAGGGTGTGTCGAGAGGCTGTGCTAATTAGAAGATAATTCATATGATGGATGTTAGTAAGTTAATAACATGATGGGTGTTTATGTTAATAAATTGAGTTACATATATAACTCAATATCCTCAGAGGCTCATGTGATTATCTATTATCTATCTATCTATCTATCTATCTATCTATCTATCTATCTTCTATCTATCATCTATCTTTCTATCTATCTTGAGATAATAGTGTCCAGCTCCATCCATGTTGCTGCAAAGGACATGATCTCTTTCTTTTTATGGCTGCGTAGTATTCCATGGTATATATGTACTACATTTTCTTCATTCAGTCCACCACTGGTGGGAATTTAGGTTGATTTCATGTCTTTCCTAGTGTGAATGGTGCTGCAATGAAATACAATTGCATGTGTCTTTATGATAAGATGATTGATATTCTTTTGGGTGTATGTCCGGTAATGGGGTTGCTGGGTTGAATGGTAGTTCACTTTTTAGTTCTTTGAAGAATTGTCACACTGTTTTCCACAATGATTTCTTATCTCACATGCCTTCTTTCAAAATCTCTCTTATGCCCTTGTTTCTGCATTGTCGCCCACCTCCTATGCGAAGTTGTTTCCAAAGCTCAATTAGAGCAATGGTATCCCAACTGGTTTCCATTCTTTCAGCCTCTCCCACTGGATTCTAGGTCTCTCCTTTTTCCAGCCTCTCCCACTGGGCCCCCACTGGGCTCTATGCACTAGAGCAATCCTCCATTCCTCCACGCCTTCACCACTCTCTCATTGCTTACAAGCGAAAGCACTTGGCCATCTGTTCATGGCCTTTTAGCCTTCGTTTCGACAGATCACACATCCATCACGACGTACCATGTCTTGCACCTGCTCTGGAGTCCATATTTTTCCTCAAGCAAGATCTTCATGAATAACAGTTGCCTTGTGTTTCTGGTATACCCTCTGCCTGGGATAGTTTTCTCTTCCCTCCACCAATGCAGATGCTGCCCTCATTCCAGCTTCTACTCAAGTTCAACCTCGCTTCTGCATTTTGTCTTTAACTTTCGTCCTTGGATTTCATGTTCTTTCTCTTGGTCCTTACCTTTTCCCGAAGAGTCCTTCACTGCCCCTTCCCAGCATCTCCACTGAGAGGGTCATTTTCAGGACTGTTCCTAGATCAATCTGAACTTGAGCTAGGGACCTCTTCAGCTAGCCATGGAGAAAGCCCTTCTTGTACCAGTACTTTTGTGGAGAGGGTAGAATGATGTCCTTGCTCTCATAAGTCTACCTGAGAAGGGGGTGACTTGGTACGTATCAATGGATGCTAAGTTGAGCTCTGCCTTTTGGGGTCTACTTGTCTTCTTAAGTGAGGAATTGTTGTGTCTGAATTACTAAACTCACGCTCCTCTCTGTTCCCAAGAAGAAAGAAACTTCTTCTTTCTCCAGCTCTGGCCTGGAGCTTGTAGTTCTGTTAACTGGACCGTATCTTGATGCCCATGTGTCCCCAAGGACAAGGAAGTTTCTGACACATTATATATGCATGTTGAATAGAAGGAAGGATGGATAGACAGACGGATGAGTGGATAGATGGATACATGGATGGATAGCTGGATAAATGGATGGTGGATATGTGCGTGAGTGGATGGATAAGTGGATGCATGGACAGATGGATGGGTTGCTGGCTGGCTGTCTGGATAGATGGGTGGATGGGTGGGTGGGTGGGTGGATAGATGAGTGGATGGTAGGTGGATGAATAAAGGGATGGATAGTTGGATGAATGGATCGATGGATATGTGCATGAGTGGATGGATAAGTGGATGGACGGATAGGTAAATGGATGGGTGGCTGGCTGTCCGGATAGATGGGTGGATGGGTGGGTGGGTGGATAGATGGGTAGATGGTTGGTGGATGAATAAAGGGATGGATAGTTGGATGAATGGATGGATGGATATGTCCATGAGTGAATGAATGGGTGAATGGCAGGTGGATGGATGGATGGATGGCTTATCCAGATGCCTGAAGTCTTCCTGCCTGGATTTCTGAAGTTTTCCACCCTAACTTTCCCTCACCAGGCCCCATCTACCTTGACAAACACCTTACCATGTCACCTTGGCAGACTAATGGCATTTATCTGCCTGAAAAATTATTTGAGCTTGTGGAGTCTCAGGCTGGCCTTGTTGAGTCACAGCTTCCAGATGGGCTGTCCTCCCAAATTCACTGAGGCTTGGATTCAAACTCTCACATTGCTAAGAAGACACTGCCAATCCTCACTGATGGCACTAGGACCCAACCGTCCATCATAGAAACTCAGAAAGGCTTGATAAACTTGCCACCTTTGATTTTCTGTTGCTTATCCATGGGACCCAGGTGTGACATCTGCTGTGGCCATGAGCAGATTTGTATCTTTAGTCCACTCAGACATAGCTGTGTCTGATCCAAATAAATGCCATTGTTTTACATTTTCTCATAGAGCCCTTCTTCCTACTGTATCTTCACAGCTTTGTTGGTTTCCCTCTCCTACACACATCTAACTTCAATCTCCCAGATGCATACCGCACATCTAATTCAAAATCAGTTTATTTCAAAATCAACTTATTGGCCAAGTGATGGCCATAGCCACAGATGGCTCCACTCCCCCTTATTTTCCCAGAAAGGTGAAGTAACAAAAATTAGCATTTCTATGCCTACACTTGTTCTGGACAACAAGTTCTTCCAGTGGGGGCGGGGGGGGGGGCGGGGGGAGAAAATGATACTTTTTGAACGGAAGTGAAGACAGAAAGAGAAAATCTCCAATTCTGTTTTCGTTAATTTATTCCCAAGAAACCAGAGTGACAGCACAACAAATGAGTGTACAGGCACTGAAGCAGCATTTAAAATTATTTAGGACTCTTGAACCAGACCAAATTGTTATAAGGCCACTTAGGTGGTGTCTCTCAAAGAGGCCCAGTCATCACTCTAAGTTGTTTCTAGGCCACAGAAGATGCTTCATAGTACAAAAGAGAACATCAGTCAAACCACTGCCATTCTGGGATAAAAAAGTAAGGGAGAAAGTCCTTCCAGGGCATATTGTTCTCAGATGCCCCAGCGGCAGCACTGCTGACTCGTCATGTGGGATTCAGAGTCTTATAGCTGATTATCAACATTGTAGTAATGATGATGATAATGACGATGTGATAATGACAATGGCATGGTATGATGATGGTGGTGATGATGATGGTGATGATAATGATGATGACAATGATCATGATGATGGTGATGATGATGGTGATGATAGCGAGATGATGATGATGATAATGGTAGAGATAATGGAGATGACGATGGCAATGATGATGATGGGAGAGGTAATGAAGATGGTGATGATGATGATAATGATGATGATGGTGAGGATGGTGATGGTGATGATGATAATGATTACGATGGTGAGTATGGTGATGGTGATGATGATGATGGGAGAGGTAATGAAGATGATGATGGTGAGGATGGTGATGATGATGATGGGGGAGGTAATGAAGATGGTGATGATGATGATAATGATGATGGTGAGGATGGTGATGATGAGGGGAGAGGTAATGAAGATGGTGATGATGATGATAATGACGATGATGGTGATATGATGATGGTGAGGATGGTGATGGTGATGATGATGATAATGACGATGATGGTGATAATGATGATGATGGTGAGGATGGTGATGGTGATGATTATGATAATGATGATGATGGTGAGGATGGTGACGATGATGATTATGATGATGATGATGATGGTGAGGATGGTGATGATGATGATGGGGGGAGGTAATGAAGATGGTGATCATGATGATGATGGGGGAGGTAATGAAGATGGTGATCATGATGATGATGATGGGAGAGGTTATGAAGATGGTGATCGTGATGATGATGATGGGAGAGGTTATGAAGATGGTGATCGTGATGATGATGATGGGA